>NW_025791820.1:0-330493 GCF_000001405.40 Homo sapiens | reverse complement strand
GAATTCGGAATATTTTTGATTTCAGAAAGTTTTCCCATGCATATACTCTCAGCGGGGTTTGGAGCTGCCGCGTTACAAAAAAAAAAAAAAAGGGCCAGGCGCGGTGGCTCACGCCTGTAATCCCAACACTGGGAGGCCGAGGCGGGTGGATCACCTGAGGTCGGGAGTTCGAGACCAGCCTGACCAACATGGAGAAACACCGTCTCTACTAAAAATACAAAAATTAGCTGGGCACGGTGACGCATGCCTGTAATCCCAGCTACTCGGAAGGCTGAGGCAGGAGAATCGCTTGAACCCGGGAGGCAGAGGTTGCGGTGAGCCAAGATCATGCCATTGCACTCCAGTCTGGGCAACAAGAGCGAAACTACGTCTCAAAAACAACAACAACAACAAAAACGGTATTTCTTCAAGAAAAGGTATGAACGTTCACAATAACTGGGTAAGGATTGAAAAGTGTTCCTCGGCTGGGCGCAGTGGCTCATGCCAGTAATCCCAACACTCTGGGAGCCTCAGGTGGGAGGATCGCTTGAGCCCAAGAGTTGGAGATCAACCTCGGCAACACAGTGAGACCTCATCTCTACAAATAATTTTAAAAATTAGCCCAGGCGGCCGGACGCGGTGGCTCAAGCCTATAATCCCAGCAGTTTGGGAGGCCGAGGTGGGCAGATCACGAGGTCAGGAGTTCGAGACCAGCCTGTCCAACATGGTGAAACCCCGTCTCTACTAAAAATACACAAAAAATGAACCGGGTGTGGTGGCGCTCGCCTATAATCCCAGCTAGTCAGGAGGCTGAGGCAGGAGAATCGCTTGAACCTGGGAGGTGGAGGTTGTAGTGAGCCAAGATTGCGCCACTGCACTCCAGCCTGGGCGACAGAGCAAGACTCCGTCTCAAAAAAAAAAAAAAAAAAGAAAAAAGAAAAAAATTAGCCCAGGCATGGTGGCACGTGCCTGTAATCCCAACTACTCGGGAGGCTGAGGTGGGAGGATTGCTTGAGCCTGGGAGTTCAAGGCTGCAGTGAACCATGATCAGACCACTGCACTCCTGCCTGGGCAACAGAGCAAGACCCTGTCTCCAAAAAAGGAAAAACAAAAAGAAAGGAAGAAAGAAAATTGTTCCTCGTTAGATCAGGTCAGGTTTTGTAACCAAATAGTGCCTATCTTGTGGGAAAACCATCAGTTTCCAGAGCTTTTTGTTTTTGGATAATGGATTGTGGACAGTGGAATAAACCTCTGAGCAGTGATGAGAATAAGACCCTGCCAGTGTAAAGGCTGTGTGAGAATAGGGGTTGGTGAGCATTGAGTTGCTCAGAAATAGGGCAAGCATTGTTTCAAGTGTTAGAGCCCAAGGCCAGGAGCAGTGGCTCATGCCTGTAATCCTAGCACTTTGGGAGGCCGAGGTAGGAGAATCACTTCAGCTCAAGAGTTCGAGACCAGCCTGGGCAACGTAGTGAGAGCTTGTCTCTATTTTAAAAAAACATATTTTGTAGTAGTGTTAGAGCCCAGAGAGCCCAAGGTCTGATTCTGTGTTCTGCAATCCCAAGGAAGTCCTGGCCCTAAATGTTGGGCCTCAGTTTCCTGGTTCTGAAGAGAGGGGCCAGTCAGCACAATCGTACATGAGGAATAGGAAAGTTTATTTCTGGGGGATTGGCAAGATGAATGGATGGCTCCTGGGGTGCAAGGCTGGGTGACATTTGTAGACACTTTGTTTGTATTTATTTATTTTTTAGTAGAGACAAGGTCTCGTTATGTTGCTCAGGCTGGTCTTGAACTCCTGACCTCAAGCAATTCTCCCGCCTTGGCCTCCCAAAGTGCTGAGATTACAGGCGTGAGCCACTGCGCCTGGCTAAGTGTGTTATTTTGAGCAAGTAATTTCCCCCAGCTCAGCCTTAATTTCTGCATCTAAGACATGCATCTCGTCTCCTGGAATCAGGATCCCAGAGGTACCCTGAGGGACACACTCTCCAGACTAGAAGTTGTTTTTATTCTCATCTCATTTGAAGTGGGGGAGAATCATAACTGGATGGCCAGGAGGATTCAACCCAAGGGCCTGCCTGCTCTCTCTGCCAACACAGGGCCCCTCAAAACTAAGGAAAGAGCTCCCCTCTTTCAGCCCCGGTTGCCGGAAGAGTGAGTGAATAGTGGAAGGGATGAAACATACTTTTCCTAGTGATGAGTATGTGCTTTCCAACTCTGTGAGGACACGTCTGAATTTCTGAAACAAGATGAACCTGGTTCCACTTCAACACCTTTGCACTTGCTATTCCCCCTGCTGTCAATGCCCTTCACTCAGTGCTTCATATACCTGGCTTCTGGTCATTCAGGTTGCAGCTCAAGAGTTATGTCTTCAAAGAGGCCAGAAGCTCACCATCATCTCCCACAATGTAACCTCCTTTTGCTAGCTTCATAGCTTCATGACTCTCACTTCTCTCTGAAATTGTCTTTTTTTTTTTTTTTTTTTTTTGAGAAGGAGTTTTGCTCTTGTTGCCCAGGCTGGAGTACAATGGCACAATCTTGGCTCACCGCAACCTCCACCTCCCGGGTTCAAGCGATTCTTCTGTCTCAGCCTCCTGAGTAGCTGAGATTACAGGCATGTGCCACCACACCAGGCTAATTTTGTATTTTTAGTAGAGATGGGGTTTCTCCATATTGGTCAGACTGGTCTCGAACTCCTGACCTCAGGTGATCCGCCTGCCTTGGCCTCCCAAAGTGTTGGGATTACAGATGTAAGCCACGAGCCTGGCCTTTTTTTTTTTTTTTTTTTTTTTTTTGAGATAAGGTCTCACTGTCACTCCAGCTAGAGTGGAATGGTGCAATCATGGCTCACTGCAGCCTTGACCTCCCAGGCTCAAGTGATCCTCCCACCTCAGTGTCCCAAGTAGTTGGGACTACAGGCATGAGCCACCACTCCCAGCTAATTTTTAAACTTTTTGTAGAGACAAGGTCTATGTTGCCCAGGCTGGTATCAAACTTGTAGGCTCAAACAATCCACCCGCCTCCGCCTCCCAAAGTACTGGGATTACAGGCACAAACCACCATGTCTGGCCTGAAGTTTTTTTTTTTTTTTTTTTTTTTTTTGAGACTGATTCTCGCTCTGTCACCCAGGCTGGAGTGCAGTGGTGCGATCTTGGCTCGCTGCAACCTCCACCTCCTGGGTTCAAGCAATTCTCTGCCTCAGCCTCCCGAGTAGCTGTGATTACAGGCACCTGCTACCACACCTGGCTAATTTTTGTATTTTCAGTAGAGACGGGGTTTCACCATCTTGGCCAGGCTGCTCTTGAACTCTTGACCTCGTGATCCACCAGCCTCGGCCTCCCAAAGTGCTGGGATTACAGGCGTGAGCCACCACGCCTGGCCTGGTTTTTTATTTATTCATTTTCTCGTCTTTTTTGTCTGACATCTGTCTACTCTCATTACATACATCAGCTACACAAAGAAATTTTATGTCTTGTTCCTCCAGCATCTCCACAGTACCTAGCACAGTGCAACATATACAGTTGGGGTTCAATTAATACTTGTCAATGCAGGTGAAATTGAGAGGACAGACTTGGGAATCAGGCCTTGATTAAATCGTGCTTTGACCCTCCTCTCTGTAGCTATCTGCACTCCCTGGGCCTCACTTTCCTCCTCTGCGAAATGGACATATTCGGATAGTTGAGTAGATGTGCAACTATTGTAGATGAAAATAAATATTGCAATAAAGCCAGTAGCAGGGATAAAACTAAGTACATGGTGGCTGGGGTTACTATTATTAGTCTCCTGGGTGTGACTGTATTTATAGACTGGGGCTCTTGAGCCCTTTGCTGACTTCTGAAGAACCACACCTCCACCAGGCTCTAAGTCAGGGGTAGCTGGAAGCCACCCTGGCACACTTCCCCACAATGTCTATCTACAGCTCTAACCACTCAAGTGTTCACCTCTTCACCCTCCAGCTCCCAGCTCTCGCAGCTTGTCTTCACCGTTCCTCTTTCCTCTCCAAGGCCACCTGGACTCTCGCATTCCGGTCCTTTAAATTCTTTCTTCCTTCCCCGTCCCCTCCCCACAGGGGCGAAAGTTGCCCATTCCGTCAGACCACAGCTTCCCTCCTGTGGGGGGATGGGGCCGAGTGCTCAGGATGTGGTGACAGCGGAGGTGACTGGACATTTCTGTCCTCTGCCAGCGCCTTCCTCGCGGCTACCCCGGTTGGAGTCCCGCTGGCCATATAAGCCCTGGCTGTAGGGCTCTGTTCCCAGGGTGAAGGAAACTCTGGGCCTCTCCCGTGCCGGGAACGCCCAGTGTGTGGCGTGTGCACACAAGCCCGGCTGCAGTTCTTCACCATGTACGGAAAATGGGGGCACGGCCCAAAGGTTCTAACAGCCTTTTTTAGCCCGGCCCGTCCAGGGGCGCTGACTCACACCTTCCCCACTCCGCCCCAAAGGGGGCTCCAGGACCCCAGCCGGTGCCCGGAGAGTGGTAGCCTACGTGCCAGCAAAAGCTGGCAGACTAGGCCGGAAGTGGGAGACCGCAGGCCTCTGGCGAAGGAAGCTGCCCTGCTTCTAGGCTTCTAGCCTTGCTATCCCGACGTCAGCTGAGGGTCTGTATGATTCCGAGACAGGACTGTGGATACACTGGTGCAGTCCTGCCACGACAGGCTCACCTCTGCATTCTCCATGCCATGCACAATAATTTATGTGTGAGACCCTGTACACCTCCAAAAAGGTGAAATTAATGAATAAGGAGAGGAGCAGGAGACGGCGAAGAGAAAAAGAAAGCACGCCAGACTGAGGACCGGCAGAAGCAAAGATAACATGTGCAAGCAGGAAAGCAGCAGCACGAAGCTCGTCAGCGATTACTCAAGCAGGATCGACCCACCTGCTCCTTTACAGAGTGGCCCGGGCAGCCCCACCCCGCCTCGAGCGCCTGGCAAGTCAAGACCGGATCGAACCATTTTATTACCTCCCCCTCCCAGAACCAGAAGCGCAGGCTAGCCGGCTGGAAGGGTCGTACCACTGACGCTGCGAGGGGAGTGTGGTCAGAGCCACTGAGCAGCGGGTGGGGGGACCAAACCAAGTGGAAGCTCTTGGGGAGGTGCCAAGTGCCCAGCGGCCACACGCGCCGGATCCAGGTTGGGCGGTAACTAGTGAGCCCCGCGCTGTCAGAGGTAGGCTCAGTGTCTCCGCCTTCCGGCTGCCATCTCCTGAGCGAGCTGCGCTGCCCCCCGGACCCCTAGGGCCCGCGAGAGCCGTTCCTCGCTGGGCACTAGCCAGGGCCCCGGGGAACCCGGGATCTGGTCGTTGGGATCCTCAGCGCGGCGCTCAGGAGGAGAAACCGTGGGGCCATCGGCGGCCGCCTCTGGACTAGGCTCCGGGCTGCCCCGGGTCTTCTTGAGCGTCGTCCGGGATGGAGGGTGCTGAACTAGGGAAGTGCTGCTGCTGCGAGACCCCGTTACCTCCGGCCCTCCAGGATCTGGGCTGCGATCTGGCCATGACGGGACTACGGATTAGATTGGGTGGTGAAGTAGGGAAGGGAAATCCAGGCCTTTGGCTGAGGATGGACAGGAGAACCCAAAGGCTGCGGGAGATGAGACCCTGACCCTTAGAGAAATCTCCCCTCCAGGCCTTCTGGGATCGGCACCACCCCTCACAACCCCGACACCTCCTTTCCCGAGACCCCTCCCCTCCTGGATCCAGAACATGCCCCTCAGAAATCATTTCCCACAATCTCCAAAGGAAATCAAACCCCGCTCATCTAGGAGCCCCTGCTCTCTCCTCTCTCATCCCACCTCCGTTGACTCCCAAACCACCGACCCTTTGTTTTTCAGAACTAGACCCCCTACCCTCTGGATCCCCATCCCATTTTCCCCCGGCTAAGATCCACTCTGCCTTCGCCTCTGAGAACTAAGACCCTTCCTTCCAAACACTTGCTTTTATCCTAGACCCCTTCCCTTCTCTTCCCCCAGTACCTGGAAAACCCACCCTCTGAAATTCCTATCCTCGAGACTGACACCCCTCCCTGCCCCTACGTTATTCCTATCCTGGGACCCTGTACCCCTCCCTGCCCCTACTTGTGAGAATACCATGACCTCTTGCAGACCCTCCCCACAGAGACCACCAAACCCTTCCCACCCAGAATCTCAGCTTCTCCACTCTGTGAACCTCTCCCTTCTCCTCACTGATCTCTGACTTCTCTCCCTTGGGAAACCCACCAACTCCTTTTCGGGGCTCTCCCACCCCTCGAGGCTTGCCAGGGTGGGTCTCCAGAGGCCGACGAATAACCAGGTGGAGCTGGGGGCCTCCAGCTCGGATCCGCTCCACGGCCTGGGCATGGGTGAGGCCCTGCGTTGACTCTCCGTTGATGTGGAGCACGAGGTCCCCGACCTGGAGGAGTGCAATGCAGTCGTGTTGGAAAGGCAAAAGGAGAGCACCCCAACAAAGGCAGGGATAGCACCTACCAGTGGAAGGGGCTTCAGGGCTCACCTCCAAACGACCACAGCGCTGTGCTGGGCCATCCTTCAGCAGCCCGCGCACGGCCAGCGGAGTGTCCCCAGCTACATCCCGGCCCCCACCTAAGGTGAGGCCAAAGCCTGCGTAACCGCGAACCAGCTCCACAGAGAAATGACCAGAGGCCTGGGATGGCTTCGGAGCACTACGTGCCTTACCCTGGATCAATTGGGGAGGTGCGTTACATGTCTCTAACCAACGGTGCTGGAATAAAGGACACAGGTGTACATAGTTTGCCCTGAGGCAGGAGGCCTCCGATAGAAGGATGAGATGGTACCTGGGGCCGGTGATCCACAATAGTGGCATGAGGCAGGCGACTGTCTGTGACCTCTATGTCCGCAGAGTCCAGCACGCTAACAGCTGGGAGATAAAAGCAGTGGAGAGGGCTGTTGGGGGACATGCCATGGAAACTACCTAGGACCTGTTCCCTGAGTTAACATTCTAGCCTCATCTACTTGTCTTGCCCCTGCAGCTCATATACAAACTGGCCCACCATTTACGCACCATCCCCTCAAGTAATCTTAAAGGTTCTCAGCCCAAACAAATTAACTGTTCTGACCCCACCTTCTTAATAAACAATCCTGGGCTCAGCCATGTGAATAATCTTCCAGGCCTTCCTATCTCCCTCTAATAACACGCAGAACACATCCCTCAAACAACACCATTCGGCCCACCCTGGAGAATGCTACTCCAAAATTTGGCTCCTGAACCTTCCATAGCACGCCCTCTAATTAGCCTCTAACCCTCATCCCATTCCTGACATCTCAAGCCCCGCCCCCATGGGACTATAGGCTCCACCCCCGTGACTCACATTTCAGGCCTGCCCCTTCGCTGCGTGCCCGCCCCCCAAGCACTCTCCAGGCCCTGCCTCCTCAAAAAGGACCGCCGCCAGAACGGGGGTCCAGTTCCGCACTCTCATCTAATCTAGCCCTCGCCGACTGCAATAACCCTCAAGGAATATGCTAGAATAACCCCAAGGCTCCTCCCACTCGAAGCACCCTCCGATCCCCGCCCCAAGTCGCGCCCCTTGGCCCCACCCAAGACAGGGCAGTAGCTGCTGACCCCCCAGGCCTGTCCCACTGAACCCAACTCCTCTCCGAACCCTCCCCCAGCGGAGGCCCTGCGCCAGTCACTCACCCTCCTTCCGGCGCAGGCGCAATGTGGCGCCCGCCCTGCGTACCAGCGCTGCCACGTCGACCGCAGCTCGCGCCGCCAGGGGGCGCGCGTCCAACCGCGCCAGGAGCTGCCGGGCGCTAGGGCCCGCGAGCGGGGAGGGGCCGCGGCCTGCGCGCAAGAGGGGACAGGTCAACGCCGACCCTCGGCCTCGGCCAACCCCTATGCTTCCGGACGCTCGAAGACCTAGAAATGCCCCTCAGGATACCCGGCGACCCCTGGCCACTCCCTCGATAGTTTCGGAGGTCACTGCTGTCCCTCCCCTCACGCGATCCCCGACCGTCGCGGGTAGCCGGTGCACCCCCGCTTGCTCCCACGGTGTCCCTGGAGATCGCTGTTTGACTGCAATAGTCCTAGACACCTCCGAACACCCCGTGAGGTCCTCGACTGCCCCCTAATCACCCTGGATGCCCAACTCTTCGCCCGCGATATCTCAGGGGACCCCATTTCCCCAGATATCCTGGGAGAACACGGCCTGACCCCATAGCCCCGGAACCCCCAATTCCCCGTCTAAGTATCCTAGGCAACCGCTGCTACCCCCATGAATTCCCTCAGAGGGCCCGTTCCCCCCATGGCCCACATACCTCCAGAGTCCCCCTCCACAGGTCCCCAGGGGCCCCCAGCTCCCCTCCCCCCAGTTCACTAAGACCCTGAGTGCCCAGGTGTCCCCAGTGACCACGGGCAGACCCCTCCCCGCACATCTGCACGTCTCCCTGGAGACTCCTGAGAGCCCCTCCCCTGCTCTGGTGCGCGGCCCTTTCCCTCGTGTGTGGGTGTGGGTAGGGGACCTCCAGCCCAGCCTCCATCGCTGGGCCCCTGCCCCCTGCCACCTTCACTTGGGCGCCAGAGCCGCTCTGTTTACCACCTGTCAGAAGGAAAAGGTGTGGAGCAGACAGGCGGGACGGGGATGGCGGCGACTCGCCCTGTCCTTCCCCAACGACCCCAATCCCTGTACCTCCTCTGCTCCCCCTAGGGTCCGCGGCGTCCCCTGTGCGCGGCTCCATGGCCAGTAGTCCGCCGGGTGGACGCAGGGCTGCCAGCTACGAATTTTGAGCTCTGGGGCGCGCTCACCTGGCGGCCCGCCCAGGCCCTGGAGGCTGAAGCTGGCGGGTCCCGTGCCTGGCTCCCGGACCCGCGCGGTGACCTACCTGGCGGCCAGCAAGGAGGCCTGGCTGTAGGAGCCAGGAGGAGTGCTTGGCCTCACTCTGCTGCAGGCGCCGCACTCTGTTAACTAAAGGTCCTAGTTAGAATTTAAAAGCCTGACAATACCAACTGTTGCTGAAGATATGGAGGAAATGGAACTCCTATACCTCCGGTGGAAATGTAAAATGATATTGCAACTTTATTTATTTATTTAGAGACAGGGTTTCGCTCTTGTTGCCCAGGCTGAAGTGCAATGGCACGATCTCGGCTCACTACAACCTCTGCCTCCCGGGTTCAAGTGATTCTCCTGACTCAGCCTCCTGAGTAGCTGGGATTACAGGCATGCACCACCACGCCCCCCTAATTTTGTATTTTTAGTAGAGACGGGGTTTCTCCATGTTGGTCAGGCTGGTCTCGAACTCCCTAAAGTGCTGGGATTACAGGCGAGGCCCGCCTCAGCCTCCCAAAGTGCTGGGATTACAGGCGTGAGCCACTCGTGCCCGGCCTGCAACTTTAGAAAACAGTTTGGTAGTGTCTTTAAAAACTAAGCGTACACATATGAGCCAGCCATTCCACTCCTGCGTATTTATCTAAAAGAAAGCATACATTTACACAGCCTTGTCTTACAAATATTCATAGCAGCTTTATTTCCTGTCTTATTCATTTAGAACTACTGTAACAAAATATCGTAGACTGGGTGGTTTAAACAACATAAGTTTCTCACAGTTCTGGAAGCCGGAAAGTCCACGATCAAGGTGGTAGCCAATTTGGTTCCTGGTGAGGTCTCTCCTTTTGGGTTGCAGATGCTTGCCTTCTTGCTGTGTCCTCACATGGAATTAAGAGAGTGAAGGAGAGTAAAGGCGTGAGAGAGGCACACACAGAGAGAGGGAGAGATCTCTCTCTTCTGTTTCTTATAAGGTCACAGTCCTATCTGGTTAGGGCTCCACCTTAGTGACCTCATTTTACCTTAGTTGCCTCCTAAAGAAGCTATCTTCAGATACAGTCACATTGGAGGTTAGAGCTTTAACATATATATTTATGGCTGGGCACAGTGGCTCACGCCTGTAATCCCAGCACCTTGGGAGGCCAAGGCGGGTGGATCACCTGAGTTCAGGAGTTCAAGACCAGCCTGGCGAACATGGTGAAACCCCATCTCTACTAAAATATACAAAAATTAGCCAGGCGTGGTGTCAGGTGACTTAATCCCAGCTACTTGGGAGGCAGAGGCAGGAGAATCATTTGAGCCCGGGAGGCAGAGGTTGCAGTGAGTGGAGATCGAGCCATTGCACTCAAACCTGGGGGATAAGAGCGAGACTTCTCTCAAAAAAACAAAACAACAACAACAACAACAACAAATATATATATATATATATATTTATGGGTGGACACAATTCAGTCCATAATATTTGTTAATATCCAAAAACTGGAAATAACCCAAATGTCCATTAATAGTTGAATGAGGCCAGTAATCGCAGCACTTTGGGAGGCTGAGGTGGGAGGATCGCTTGAGCTCAGGAGTTGGTGACCAGCCTTGGCAACATAGTGAAAGATTGTCTCTATTTTAAAAACATAGAAACATTGTCTCTATTTTAAAAATGCTAATGCCTGTAATCCTAGCACTTTGGGAGGCTGGAGGTGGAGGCAGGAGGATTGCTTGAGCCCAGGAGTTTGAGACCAGCCTGGGCAACATAGTGAGACCCCATCTCTCAAAAAGAAAACAATTTTCAATGAAAAAAATAGATGAATAAATTAACAAACTATGGTATACACATACAGGGTAATACAACTCAGCAATAAAAAACAATGAAGGATTTGGATGAATCTCAAAAATAATTATGGTAAAACAAGCCAGACCCACGCTCCAAAAAAGCACATGCTGTATGATTTCTTTTATATAAAAATCTAATAAAATGCAAACTGATATACAGTGACAGAAAGTGGATTAGTGGTTGCCTGGAGGGAGGGGGCCAAAAGGGCAGGAAAGAGGAAATACAAAGGGCAGGAGAAAACTTTTGGCAGAGATAGTTATACTCAGTATTTCTTTTTTTTTTTTTTAAGTGACAGGGTCACATTCTGTCATGCAGGATGGATTGCAGTGGCACAATCATAGTTCATTGTAACCTCAAACTCCTGGGCTCAAGGGATCCTCCTGAGCAGATAGGACTACACATATGTGCCACAATGCCTGGCAAATTTTTTACATTTTTGTAGAGACTGGGGTGGGGGGGTCTCACTATGTTGTCCAGGCTGGTCTTAAACTCCTGGCTTCAAAAAATCCTCCCACCTCTGCCTCCCAATGTGCTGGGATTACAGAGGTGAGCCACCACACCCAGCCTGTTCAGTATCTTCACTGTAGTGATCGTTTCACTGACATAAACATATTCAAAACCTATCAAATTGAAGTCAATTATATCTCAACCCCTTCAAAACTTAAAACAGCTGGGTGTAGTGCATGCACCTGTAGTCCCAGCTACTTGGGAGGCTGAGGCACGAGGATCACTTAAGCCCAAGACTTAGAGGTTACAATGAGCTGTGATCATGCCACTGCACTCCACCCTCAGTGACAGAGCAAGACCCTGTCTTTAAAAAAAATAAAATATAAATTCTCAAAACAGGCTGGGCATGATGACTCACGCCTGTAATTCCAGCACTTTGGGAGGCCAAGGTGAGAAGATCACTAAGGCCAGAATTTTCAGACCAGCCTAGCCAATGTAGCAAGACTTTGTCTCTAATAAATAAATAAATACAATCTTTTGTTAAATTAATGAATTGGGTGGGGCTGTGAGAGAAATTGACTTAATTCTTGAATTACATGAGGCTAAAAGGGGTAATTAGGGTTTTTTTAAATGATTTTTTTTTTTTTTGAGACAGAGTTTCGCTCTGTCACCCAGGCTGGAGTGCAGTAGTGCGAGCTCGGCTCACTACAACCTCCATCTCCTGGGTTCAAGCAATTCTCATGCTTCAGCCTCCCAAGTAGCTGAGACTAAAGGCACCCACCACCACGCCCGGCTAATTTCTGCAGTTTTAGTAGAGACAAGTTTTCATCATGTTGGCCAGGCTGGTCTCAAACTCCGCCCATCTCTGCCTCCCAAGGTGCTGGGATTACAGGCATGACCCACCGTGCCCAGCTGGGTAATTGGGTTGTATTCACAAATGGATGAGGCTAAGAGGGGCATTGATTTGAATCCACAGTGGGGCAGGGCTAAGTGAGGGTTTGCTCCCCCATAGTGTCATTGTAATCAATATTAAAGATAAGCACCAACACTGCTACCAAATAGCTTGGCTTGGCACAACACCAGCAATTTGGAAGCTTTGTTCCGAACTCTCTTGACAGTCTTACCATGCATATCTCATCACCCCCACTTCCCAGAGAGGTACATTGAGGTGTCAGGCAATGCAGTGGCTGGAGTTCCTCCCTCATGTCTGCATCCTCTCTACACCCCTAACCCTGCCAGCAGCCTCAGTGACACATACACTACTCTCTGGCCCTGGAATTTCGGCCCTGCTGGTGTCAGCTCTCTCAGTGAACACCTATCCTGGGCCCCTGCCCCTGTAATTTCAGCCCTGCTGGTGTCAGCTGTCTCAGTGAACACCTATCCAGCATCCTGGGCCCCCGCCCCTGTAATTCACGTCCCCTGAGGATGTCCTTGGACCCCTTCATTCGTTCATGATTCCCCAAGCCTGAATACCTCCCAGCCTGGAAGCAGTTTCCCATCCAGTTGGCAAGCTCCCTGATCGATGTTAGTAGATTCTACCTGGTGCTTGGATGCCTCCCCTCACTGTCCATCTGTCCTCGGCCCTTGGACAATGCCCCAGTCTGCAAGACCCTCCCATGCATGGAGCTACAGAGCCTCAAGCTCTCCTTCACAGTGTGTAAGCACCTCACTCTCACATCCACAGGTTCTTAAAACCTGGAGCCCCAGATTGGAAGCTGCCCTCTCCAGATTCAGGTGTGGAAGTCTCAACAAGAATTGGGAGGAGCAGTGAAGGAGGTCCAGGGTGTCCCCCCTTAGACAAGGTCAGGTCAGAGGTGAAAGAGGCAGGGGACTGCAGGTGGAATGAAAGCAGGAACCGTTCAGACCCTTTCACCTATGAGGATACTGGGTCTCTGAAAGGTGAACGGAGAGGCTTGCACAACCAGCCAGAATGGACATTAGGACACAGTGTGTCCACAGCCATAGTGAAATAGTCACTAACCAAGTGAGTCTTGTAGGTAAGCTGCCTGAAACTGGTGTTGTTGGCTTGCTGCAGGGACCTAGGCAGGTCCCTGAGCCTCTCAGACCCTGAGTTTCTTATTTGGCAAAGTAGTGGTGAAAGGCCCTCTCTCACTGCAATCCCATTCCTCCTTCCACTACAGTCACACTGTGTCCGAATGCTCCCTGCTTGGGGCTTATGTCCCCAGACACTCCCCTTTTCAAACATAGAAGAGGCCTCATTCCTCCACTGACATCAGCTAGTGTCCCATCCAACTCCAATGCATTCATTCACAGCCTCCTCAATTTTGGGTCCCATCTCTCATCCACTCTCCAAGGGACCTGCCCTCTGCAATTTTTTTTTCTTTTCTTTTCTTTTTCTTTTTCTTTTTTTTTTTTTTTTTCTTGAGAGGGAGTCTTGCTCTGTCACCCAAGTTGGAGTGCAGTGGAACGATCTCAGCTCGCTGCAACCTCCGCCTCCCAGGTTCAAGCGATTCTCTTGCCTCAGCCCCCCGAGTAGCTAAGATTACAGATGCCCACTACCACACCTGGCTAATTTTTATAATCTTAGTAGAAATGGAGTTTTGCCATGTTGGCCAGGCTGGTCTCAAACTCCTGGCCTCAAGTGATCCACCTGCCTTGGCCTTCCAAAGTGTTGGGATTACAGGCATGAGCCACCGCGCCCAGCCCACCCTCTCCAATTTTTGAGTTCCGCAACCTCATAATGCCCAGAGCACCAAACCATTCTTTGGCTCCAAAAGCTCCAACGGTACTCAGTCCCACCACACATTTCCAGTTTCCCAATAGGGACAGTGGGAGATAAACTTTCCCTGCAAATATACTGAGTGCCTACTTGTGCAAAGCTCTGGTGGAAATTGCAGAGTTTCCTAGTAAACTCGGGCTCCAGTTCTGCGTCCCTGCTTTTAGTTGTCAGAGGTCAGACAGTACCCTAATTTCTCTGGGCTTCGACTGCCCCTTCCTATGCTGGAATAGCAACATCCCAGAGTGGAAAAAGGAGCCAGCCCAGCGTCCTCAGCTAACGGAGGCCTCCTTGCTGGCCGCCAGATAGGCCACCCCGCAGATACAGGAACCAGGCACGGGCCCGCCACCCTGTTTCCAGGGTCTGAGCGGGTCACCAGGTGAGCACGCCCCAGAGCTCAAAACTCGTCGCTGGCTGCCCTGCGTCCACCCGGCCGACTACTGGCCATGGAGCCGCGCACAGGGGGCGCCGCGAACCCTAAGGGGAGCAGAGGAAGTACAGGGATTGGGGATGTTGGGGAAGGACAGAGCGAGTCGCCGCCACCCCCGTCCCGCCTGTCTGCTCCACACCTTTTCCTTCTGACAGGTGGTAAACAGAGCGGCTCTGGCGCCCAAGTGAAGGTGGCAGGGGGCAGGGGCCCAGCGATGGAGGCTGGGCTGGAGGTCCCCTACCCACACCCACACACGAGGGAAAGGGCCGCGCACCAGAGCAGGGGAGGGGCTCTCAGGAGTCTCCAGGGAGACGTGCAGATGTGCGGGGAGGGGTCTGCCCGTGGTCACTGGGGACACCTGGGCACTCAGGGTCTTAGTGAACTGGGGGGAGGGGAGCTGGGGGCCCCTGGGGACCTGTGGAGGGGGACTCTGGAGGTATGTGGGCCATGGGGGGAACGGGCCCTCTGAGGGAATTCATGGGGGTAGCAGCGGTTGCCTAGGATACCTAGAGGGGGAATTGGGGGTTCCGGGGCTACGGGGTCAGGCCGTGTTCTCCCGGGATATCTGGGGGAAATGGGTCCCCTGAGATATCGTGGATGAAGAGTTGGGCATCCAGGGTGATTAGGGGGCAGTCGAGGACCTCACGGGGTGTTCGGAGGTGTCTAGGACTATTGCAGTCAAACAGCGATCTCCAGGGACACCGTGAGAGCAGGCTGGGGGTGCACCCGCTACCCGCGATGGTCGGGGATCGCATGAGAGGGGAGGGACAGCAGTGACCTCCGAAACTACCGAGGGAGTGGCCAGGGGTCGCCGGGTATCCTGAGGGGCATTTCTAGTCTTTGAGCGTCCGGAAGCATGGGGGTTGGCGGAGGCCGATGGTCGGCGTTGACCTGTCCCCTCTTGCGCGCAGGCCTGGGCCCCTCCCGCCCGCGTGCCCCAGCGCCCTTCCGCTCCTGGCGCGGCTGGACGCGCGCCCCCTGGCTGCGAGGGCTGCGGTCGATGTGGCGGCGCTAGTACACAGGGCGGGCGCCACATTGCGCCTGCGCCGGAAGGAGGGTGTGTGACGGGGGTGGGGCCTCCCAGGGGGCAGGTTCGGAGAGGAGCTGGGTTCAGAGGAGCAGGCCTGGGGGGTCAGCAGCTACTGCCCTGCCTTGGGTGGGGCCAAGGGGCGCGATTTGGGAGGGCGGGGATCGGAGGATGCTTCGGAGGATGCTTCGAAGGATCCTTGGGGTTATCCTAGAATATTCCTTGAGGGTTATCGCAGTAGGTGAGGGCCAGATTAGTTGAGTGTGCGTAGCTGGATCCCCGTTCTGGTCGGCGGGGCCTTGAGGGTCCTTTCCGAGGGCTTGAGGCCTGGAGAGTGCTGGGGGCGAGCACGCAGCGAAGGGGCAGGCCTGAAATGTGAGTCATGGGGATGGAGCCTATAGGCCCATGGGGGCGGGGCTTGCGATGTCAGGAATGGGATGACGGTTAGAGGCTGATTAAAGGGTGTGCTCTGGAAGGTTCGGGAGTCAAATTTTTTTTATTATCATTATTATACTTTAAGTTCCAGGGTACATGTGCACAACGTGCAGGTTTGTTACATATGTATACATGTGCCATGTTGGTGTGTTGCATCCATTAACTCATCATTTACATTAGGTATATCTCCTAATGCTATCCCTCCCCCATCCCTCCACCCCACGACAGGCCCCGGTGTGCGATGTTCCCCACAGGAGCCAAATTTTGAAGTAGCATTCTCCAGGGTGGGCCGAATGGAGTTTGCCTGTGTGTGTGACCATATTTGGAGATAATCCTAAAGGTGTTATTTGAGAAATGTTTTCTGCGCTTTATTAAAGGGAGATAGGAAGATAAGGTCTGGAGGTGTTCAAATGGCCGGGCCCAAGATTCTTTAAGGAGGTGGAGCTTTGGGGATTACTTGAGATGAGGGTGGGGAGACAGTTTAATTGGAGGCGTGGCTCGGACGTAAATTCAAGGAGCTGCGGCTAGAAAGTGAATTTAAGGGGCGGGGCTGAGACAATTTCTATGGAGAGTCTCTAACCGCTTTCTCCGCCTCTTCAATCCCCTAGCCTTTATCGTTCTGGGCTGTAAGGACAATAATGTCATGGATAGTCGTCTGCCCCACAGACCCCCTTGCCTTTCATGCAGAGGTTCTATCATGACAAATACAGCCAGGCGTGAAAAACCTTGGGTACTTTTCTGGAGCTGTGAACAGTACGTGGCTCTGGAGTCTGCCTTAATGAACCTTGGGGGCGGGAGGCTTACAAGGGTATGGGGAAGGATGGAAGGTGAAGAAGGGCAGTGGACAAAGCTAGGCTGAAAACATAGCACAAGCCCTGAGCCAATATGGAGAATTGGGTAAGACTCCAAACTCTGGTGCTAGGCAGCCTGGGTTCAAGTCTGACTGCTTTTACCTGCTTCCTCACCTTCAGTATGTTATTTAAGCTCTTTGTGAAAAGCTTAGCTGCAGCCATACAAAAGAATGAGATCATGTCCTTTGCAGGGACATGGATGGAGTTGGAGACCATTATCCTTTACAAACTAACGCAGGAACAGAAAACCAAGTACTGCATGTTCTCAGTATAAGTGGGAGCTAAATGATGAGAACACATGAACACATAGAGAGGAACAATACACACTGGGGCCTATTGGAGATTGGAGGATGGGAGGAGGGAGAGGATCAGGAAAAATAACTAATGGTTACCAGACTTAATACCTGGGGGATGAAATAATCTGTACAACAAACCCCCATCACACACGTTTATCTATGTAACAAACCTGCACATGTACCCCTTAACTTTTTTTTTTTTTTGAGACAGAGTCTCGCTCTGTTGCCCAGGCTGAAGTGCAATGGCGCCATCTCGGCTCATTGAAACCTCTGCCTCCTGCCTCAGCCTTCTGAGTAGCTGGGATTACAGGTGCCCGCCACCACGCCCAGCTAATGTTTGTATTTTTAGTGGAGATGGGGTTTCACCATTTTGTCCAGTCTGGTCTTGAACTCCTGGGCCCAAGTGATCCACCCACCTCGGCCTCCCAAAGTGCTGGGATTACAGGCATGAGCCACTGCTCTGGGCCACCCCTGAAACTAAAAATTAAAAAAAAAAAATACTAGACCAGGCACGGTGGCTCACGCCTGTAATCCCAGCACTTTGGGAGGCCAAGGTGGGCAGATCACGAGGTCAGGAGATCGAGACGATCCTGGCTAACATGGTGAAACCCCGTCTCTACTAAAAATACAAAAAAAATTAGCTGGACATGGTGGCGGGCACCTGTAGTCCCAGCTACTTGGGAGGCTGAGGCAGGAGAATGGCATGAACCTGGGAGGTGGAGCTTGTGGGGAGCCGAGATTGCGCCACTGCACTCCAGCCTGGGCAACAGAGCCAGACTCCATCTCAAAAACAAATAAACAAACAAACAAACAAAACTAACAGAAAAGAGAAAGAAAGAAAAACTTAGCTACTCGAATGTAAACAAAATACATATATTCATGTTAAGAATCAGAACAACAACAAAAAACCAAAACCATGTAACCTGTATTTTTCTGAATCAACTTTCAGACTTTTTGTTTGAAATACAGGAGATCATGGGTAGAAAATTATTGCAATCTTTTAATAACTTTTTAATAGACATTGAGATATATATATAATTTACATACCATACAATTCACCCATTTAAAGTGTACACTTGGTTTTAGTATATTCACAAGATTGTGCAATCATCATCCCATTGTAAATTTAGAACATTTTTGTCTTCCTAAAAGAAACCCCATGCCAGTCGCAGTGGCTCATGTCTGTAATACCAACACTTTGGGAGGCTGAAGCAGGAGGATCACTTGAGCCCAGGAGTTCCAGACCAGCCTGGGCAACATAGTGAGACCCTGTCTCTCCTAAAAGTAAAAAATAAAGGTTGGGCATGGTGGCTCACGCCTTTAATCCCAGCACTTTGGGAGGCCAAGGTGGGCGGATCACAAGGCCAGGAGATCGAGACCATCCTGGCCAACATGGTAAAACCCCATCTCTACTAAAAATACATAAATTAGTTGGGTGCAGTGGCGCGTGCCTGTAATCCCAGCTACTCGGGAGGTTGAGCCACAAGAATCGCTTGAATCCAAGAGGCAGAGGTTGCAGTGAGCCGTGATCGTGCCACTGCACTCCAGCCTGGTGACAGAGCAAGACTCCATCTCAAAAAATAAATAAATCAAAAAAAAAAATAAAAATGTAGCCTGACATGATGGCAAATGCCTGTAGTCTAGGTACTTCAGGGGTTGAGGCAGAAGAATCACTTGAGCAGGAGAGGTGGATGTTACAGTGAGTCCTGATCACACCACTGCACTCCAGGCTAGGCAACAGAGCAAGACCCTGTCTCAATGAATGAATGAATGAATGAATGAATAAATAAATAAACCCTATAGCCTTTTTTTAGAGAGATGGGATCTTGCTATGTTGCCCAGGCTGGAGTGCAGTGGCTATTCACAGTTGCGATACCACTACTGAGAAGCACAGGAGTTTTGACCTGCTGTTTCCAGCGTGGGTAGATTCACCCCTCCTTAGGCAATCTGGTGGTGCCCAGTCCTGAGAGGTCACCATATTGATGACAAAGTTAGTGTGAACACCCAATCAGCATAGCACACTACAGCCCGAACTCCTGGACTCAAGTGAGCCACCTGCCTCAGACTCCCGAGTAGTTGAGACCGCAGGCACGGTCACAGAGTCTGCCCCACAACCTTTAGCTCTACTTCTCCAGCCCTTGGCAACCATTAACACACTATCTCTACGGATATGCTTATTCTCATTTCCTAAATATTGAATCATACAATATGTGGTCTTTTGTGATTTCCTTCCCAAGGCACAATGTTTTTGAAGTTCTATGTTGTAGCCTGTGCCAGTACCTCACTCCTTTATACTGCTAATTAATATTTCTTGTATGGGCATACCATATTTTATTTATACATTCATTGGTAAATGAACATTTGGATTGTTTCCACTTTTTGGCTATTATAAATAATGCTGCCCTGAACATTTGTGTATGAATTTTTGAGTGGACATATGTTTTCATTTATCTTGAGTATATACCTAGGGGTAGAATTGTTGGGTAAGTTTAACATTCTGAGGAGCTATTAAACTATATTCCAAAGTCACTGCAACATTTTACAATCCCACCAGCAATGTATGAGGTTCCCAATTTCTCCAAGTCGTCTCTAACACTTGTTATTGTCTATATATTTTTTTGAGAGAGGGTCTCGATCTGTTGCCCAGGCTGGAGTGAAGTGGCACCATCTCGGCTCACTGCAAAAAAAACCTCCACCTCCCGGGTTCAAGTGATTCTTGCACCTCAGTCTCCTCAGTAGCTGGGATTACAGGTGTGCATCCCCACACCTGGCTATTTTTTTATTGTATTTTTAGTAAAGACAGGGTTTTGCCATGTTGGCCAGGCTAGTCTAGATCTCCTGGCCTCAAATGATCCACCCACCTCAGCCTCGCAAAGTGCTGGAATTACAGGCATGAGCCACCACTCTCTGCCTTATCTGTATTTTATGTATTTATTTTTTTGACATGGAGTCTTGCTCCGGCCCAGACTGGAGTGCAGTGGTGTGATCTCACCTTAATGCAACCTCTGCCTCCCGGGTCCAAGCGATTCTCCCACCTCAGCCTCCCAAGTACCTGGGACTACAGGTGAGTGCCACCACACCCAGCTAATTTTTGTATTTTTAGTAGAGATGGGGTTTTGCCATTTTGGCCAGGCTGGTCTCAAACTCCTGACCTCAAGGGATTACCCACCTCAGCCTCCCAAAGTGCTGGGATTACAAGTGTGAGCCACCGTGCCTGGCCCCTTGTCTGTATTTTTTAATATAACATCCTAGTGGATGTGAGGTTGGATCTCATTATGGTTGATTTGCATTTTCCTAATAAATAATTATGTTTTTATATGCTTTAGATAAATGTTTTGATAGGCAGAACAATAAGCTCCCAAAGATGTTCACCTCCTAATCCCTAGAACCTGTGAATATGTTACCTTATATGGCAAAAGATACATTGCAGATGTGATTAAGGATCTTGAAATGGGGAGATTATCCTGGATTATTGAGGGGGGCAATATAGTCAAAGGAGTTCTTAAAAATAAAAGAGGATGCAGGAGAATCAGTGAAGAAAATATGACAAGGGATGAAAAGGAAATGTGAAGCAGGGGTGATAGAGAAAGATTTGAAGATGGAGGAAGTGCTAGCCGGGCACAGTGGCTAGCGGGCGGACCACCTGAGGTCAAGAGTTTGAGACCAGCCTGGCCAACATGGTGAAACCCCGTCTCTACTAAAAATACAAAAATTAGCCGGGCGGTGGCACACGCCTGTAATCCCAACTACTCGGGAAGGTGAGGCAGGAGAATTGCTTGAACCCAGGAGGCAGAGGTTGCAGTGAGCAGAGATCTCGCCATTGCACTCCAGCATGGGCAACAAAAGCGAAACTCCATCTCAAGAAAAAAAAAAGAAGAAAAAGTGGCCGGGCGCGGTGGCTCACGCCTGTAAGCACAGCACTTTGGGAGGCCGAGGCGGGCAGATCACGAGGTCAGGAGATCGAGACCACAGTGAAACCCCGTCTCTATTAAAAATACAAAAAATTAGCCGGGCGTGGTGGCAGGCGCCTGTAGTCCCAGCTATTTGGGAGGCTGAGGCAGGAGAATGGCGTGAACCTGGGAGGCGGAGCTTGCAGTGAGCCGAGATCACGCCATTGCACTCCAGCCTGGGTGACAGAGCGAGACTCCGCCTCAAAAAAAAAAAAAAAGAAAAGAAAAAGAAAAAGATGGAGGAAATGGCCACATACCAAGGAATGCAGGCCACCTGTAGAAGCTTAAAAAGGCAAGGAAAACAGATTCTCCACAAGGAAGGCAGCCCTGCTGACACCTTGATATTAGCCTGATGAGAATTCTGCCCTACAGAACTGTAAGACATTTTGTGGTGTTGTTTCAAGCCAGTAAATGTATGGTAATTTGTTAGAGCAGCAATCAGAAATTAATACAGATTTTAAGCATCTTTTCATTGTGCTTATTGGCCATTTGTGCATGTGTATATACATATATATATATAAATACATTGTGTGTGTGTATATATGTATATATATATATATATGAGACAGAGTCTTGCTCTGTCACCCAGGCTGGAGTACAGTGGCACGATCTCAGCTCACTGCAACCTCCCCTCCCTGGGTTCAAGGAATTCCCCCTGCGTCAGCCTCCTGAGTAGCTGGGATCACAGGCATGCGCCACCACACCAGCTAATTTTTGTATTTGTAGCAGAGATGGGGCTTCACCATGTTGGCCAGGCTGGTCTTGAACTCCTGACCTCAGATGATCTGCCCACCTCAGCCTCCCAAAGTGCTGGGGTTACAGGCGTGAGCCACCGCACCCAGCCAATTTTGAGCTAACTTTTAAAAAATTATTTATTTGTCGCCAGGTTGGAGTGCAGTGGTGCAATCTCGGCTCACTGCAAGCTCTGCCTCCCGGGTTCATGCCATTCTCCTGCCTCAGCCTCCCGAGTAGCTGGGTCTACAGCCACCCGCCACCACACCTGGCTAATTTTTTGTATTTTTAGTAGAGATGGGGTTTCACTGTGTTAGCCAGGATAGTCTCAATCTCCTGACCTTGTGATCTGCCTGCCTCGGCCTCCTGAAGTGCTGGGATTACAGGCATGAGCCACCGCGCCCAGCCTTTTTTTTTGGAGATGGAGTCTTGCTCTATTGCCCAGGCTGGAGTGCAATGGCGCGATCTCAGCTCACTGCAACCTCCGCCTCCTAGGTTCAAGCAATTCTCCTGTGTCAGCCTCCTGAGTAGTTGGGATTACAGGCGCGCACCACCATGCCTGGCTAATTTTTGTATTTTTGGTAGAGACAGGGTTTCACCATGTTGGTCAGGCTGGTCTCAAACTCCGGACCTCGTGATCCACCTGCTTCGGCCTCCCAAAGTGCTGGGATTACAGGCGTAAGCTACTGCACCCGGCCCTGAATGCCTATTTTTTCTTGCCTAATTGCCGTGGCTAGAACTTCTAATATGATATTGAATAGAAGGAGCAAGAGCAGACGCTCTTGTTTTGTTCCTGATCTTAGGTGGAAGGTATTCAGTCTTTCACCATTAAATATGATTTTAGCTGTCTTCTGGGCTCTCTTGTTTCTGATGAGAAGTCAACTCTTAATCTTATTGGAGTTTCCTTATAGGTGACAGGTCATTTTTCTATTTGTGCTTGCAAGATATTCTCTTTGGATTTCAAGATTTTTGACCATGATGTGCCTGAGTGTTTTGTCCTGTCTAACCATGGCTGGAATCTCTCAAAAATGAGCAGTAAGGGAGTTCCCACAAGGGAGTGGCTGAAATTGAGGAGAGAGGCCATTTCTCCTACTGTCCCCTGTCTCCAAAGAAAAGGAGGAAGTAAAAACTGAAAAATAACAGACTGATCGGCACCACTGGCCAGGCCTGTAGGTTAAAGATTAACCCACAACCTAACCGCTTGTGATATCTATATATCACAGACAATGGTATGGAGAAACACTTGCCTTGCTCACCACCCCCACCTAGTCATGTACCCCATGCTTGTTCAATCTATCACGACCCTTTCACGTGGACCCCTTAGAGTTGTAAGCCCTTAAAAGGGCCAGGAACTCTTTCTTAGGGGGGCTTCGTTCTTGAGACGCATGTCTGCCAACGCTCCTGACCAAATAAAGCCTCTTCCTTACATTTCTTGGTTCCCTGACCGGGAAGCGAGGTGATTAACGATGGTCGAGGCAGCCCCTTAGGCGGCTTAGGCCTGCCCTGCGGAGCATCCCTGCAGGGGACTCCGGCCAGTTTGAGCAACGCGGATCCTGAGAGCACTCCCGGGTAGGCATTTGCCCTCGTGGAACACCTCGTCAGAGCGGTGCATGGCAGGCCCCCACAGAGGATCAATGCAGCGGCTGAACACCAGGAAGGAACTGGCACTTGGAGTCTGGACATCTGGAATATGGTAGGACCAGTCCTGGGAACTTACCCACTCCATTTGAGTGGAAGCGTGGCCTGATCACCCACAGTGTGCCCTTATCGGCACTTTGGTCTCAGTTTTGATTATGATTTGGCTTGGCTTGTTTGAAAAAAAGGAAAGTGAAAGTGAGTGAATGCTTGTTTTAGACGGGCACAGGATGGACAGTGGTCGCCATCCAAAGTGAGCGTTGAGCCCCAAGCTGCAGTTCCGTAGGATACCTCACATGGCTAAGTGGCAGTTCGTGCTGGCGCCTGGTACCAGCCTGCTTAAGCTAAGAGGATCTGAGATTCCCGCGAGGGAAGCGGCCAGTGACTGCCGAGGAGAGTGGGTGACCCCTTTACCCTTTCCCTTCTTGTGTCGTGAGTGCCATTTTTGTCTTGGGTGGGGGTGGAGATGGGTGAGACGCAAAGTAAGACCACTCCATTAGGAACTATGTTAAAGAATTTCAAAAAAGGTTTTAATGGAGATTATGGGGTTACTATGACCCCAGGAAAACTTAGGACCTAAGTGAGATAGATTAGCCAGCATTAGAAGTGGGTTGGCCATCAGAAGGAGGCCTAGACAGGTCCTTTGTTTCAAAGGTATGGCACAAGGTAACTGGTAAGCCAGAAAACCCAGACCACTTTCCATACATAGACACTTGGTTACAGCTGGTTTTAGACCCCCTACAGTGGTTAAGAGGACAGGCAGCAGCAGTACTAGTGGCAAAGGGACAGACAGCCAAGGAAGAATCCCGCTTCACCCACTGAGGGAAGTCGGCGCCTAAAGTCCTGTCCGACCCAACATCAAAGGATTCATGGCAAGAAACAGTGCCAGTGGCCCCTCCTTTCACCAAGAAAGAAGGCCTCCCACTCCTGAGGCCACTGTGCCCAAGCTTCCACAAGGCCTACATACCCCTAGGCCACCTAGAGTAGAAAAGAAAGGATGCAAGACCTCAGGAGAAACTCCTCACTTGGTAGCCCATTTGAGGCCTAAAACTGGGATACAAATGCCCCTGAGAGAGCAACGGTATACTGGGGTAAACGAGGACGGGCATATGGTGGAAAGGCGTGCCTTTGTGTACCAACCCTCCACCTCTGCCAATCTCCTCAATTGGAAAAACAATACCCCATCCTATACTGAAAAGCCTCAGGCTATAATTGATTTGCTCCAAACTATTATCCAGACCCACAACCCTACTTGGGCTGATTGCCACCAGTTGCTCATGTGCCTGTTTAACACGGATGAACGGCGAAGGGTGCTCCAAGCAGCGACTAAGTGGCTAGAGGAACATGTTCCGGCTGATTACAAAAACCCCCAAGAGTATGTGATGGCCCAGTTACCAGGAACAGACCCCCAGTGGGACCCAAATGAAAGACAGGGTATGCAAAGGCTAAACTGGTAGAGGGAAGCCCTCCTGGAAGGGTTAAAGAAAGGAGCTCAGAAGGCCACCAATATAAATAAAATATCTGAGGTTATTCAAGGAAAGGAAGAGAGTCCAGCACAATTTTACGAGAGACTATGTGAGGCCTATTGTATGTATACTCCCTTTGATCCCAACAACCCTGAAAACCAGCGCATGATTAACATGGCTTTAGTTAGTCAAAGTGCAGAAGACATTAGAAGAAAACTACATAAGCAGGCTGGGTTTGCAGGCATGAACACTTCACAGTTATTGGAGATAGCCAACCAGGTGTTTGTGAATAGAGATGCTGTAAGCCGCAGAGAGAACTGCAGAGAGAGCGAACGCCAAGCCCAGCGAAACGCCGACCTGCTAGCCACAGCAATAGAGGGGTCCCCCCCGAAGGGGCGAGAAAGGGGGGCCCCAGGAAAAATACCCAGTCCGGCCATCCACGCTTGCAGCGTAACCAGTGTGCTTACTGTAAGGAAATGGGATGTTGGAAGGACAAGTGCCCCCAGTTGAAAGGGAAACAAGGTGACTGAGCAGGAGGCCTCAGACAAGGACGAAAGGGCCTTGTTTAATCTGGCAGAAGGGTTACTGGACTGAGGGGGACTAGGCTCATGTGCACCCAAAGAGCCCATGGTCAGAATGACAGTCGGGGGCAAGGACATTGAGTTTCTTGTCGATACTGGTGCTGAACATCCAGTAGTAACCACCCTGGTCGCCCCCTTATCCAAAAAGACTATTGATATAATCAGAACCACGGGGGTTTCGGCAAAGCAAGCTTTCTGTTTGCCCTGGACCTGCACTGTCGGGGGACATGAGGTAATTCACCAGTTCCTGTACATGCCTGACTGCCCCTTGCCTTTACTGGGAAGGGACCTACTTAGCAAGCTGAGAGCCACTATCTCTTTTACAAAGCATGGCTCTTTACAGCTAAAGTTACCTGGAAAGGGAGTCATCATGGCCCTTATGGTTCCTCGGGAGGAGGAATGGAGACTCTTCTTAGCTGAGCCAGGCCAAGAGATAGGACCAGCTCTGGCTAAGCGGTGGCCAAGGGTGTGGGAGGAAGACAACCCGCCAGGGTTGGCAATCAACCAGGCCCCCATACTAATAGAAGTTAAGCCTGGGGCCCAGCTGGTCAGGCAAAAGCAGTACCTGGTCCCCAGAGAAGCCCTTGAGGGCATCCGGGTCCATCTCAAGCATCTGAGGGCCTTTGGAATTATAGTCCTTTGTCAGTCTCCATGGAACACTCCCCTCCTACCTGTTCCCAAGCTGAGGACCAAGGACTACAGGCCAGTACAGGATTTGCATATGGTCAACCAAGCAAAGTGACTTTGCATCCAACCCATACACATTGTTGGGGTTGCTGCCAGCTGAGGACAGCTGGTTCACCTGCTTGGACCTAAAAAATGCTTTCTTTAGCATCAGACTATCTCCTGAGAGCCAAAAACTGTTTGCCTTTCAGTGGGAGGATCTGGAGTCAGCTGTCACCACTCAGTACACTTGGACCCGGCTCCCCCAAGGGTTCAAGAACTCCCCCACCATCTTCGGGGAGGCACTGGCTCGAGACCTCCAGAAAATTCCCACCAGAGACCTAGGCTTCGTGCTGCTCCAGTACGTTGACAACTTCCTGCTGGGACACCCCATGGCAGTCATGTGTGCCAAGGGAATGGATACCCTGCTCTGGCACCTGGAGGACTATAGGTATAAGGTGTCCAAGAAGGAAGCTCAGATCTGCAGATAGCAGGTATGTTACCTGGGATTTACTATCCGACAGGGAGAGCACAGCCTGGGATCAGAAAGAAAGCAAGTCATCTGCAACCTGCTGGAGCCTAAGACCAGAAGGCAGGTGAGAGAATTCTTAGGAGCTGTAGGGTTCTGCAGATTGTGGATCCCAAACTTTGCAGTATTGGCTAAGCCCCTGTACGGAGTCACAAAGTGAGGAGACACAGAACTTTTCAAATGGGGGTCCCAACAGCAATGAGCTTTTCATGAGTTAAAAGAGAAACTCATGTCGGCCCCAGCCCTGGGGCTACCTGACCTAACAAAACCTTTCACACTGTATGTGTCAGAGAGAGAAAAAATGGCCATTGGAGTTTTAATCCAGATGGTGGGGCCCTGGCCAAGACCGGTAGCCTACCTCTCCAAAGAGCTAGATGGAGTTTCTAAGGCAAGGTCTGAAAGATGCGAGATGTAGAAGTACCAGCCTAACAACTTTTCAAGTGACTCTTGGCCTAGGTGGGTGGTCTCATGCACAGCCAGTATGACTGCGGCTCCTAGCAGTTGTGGCATGGCTATTCTTCCATCCGACAACTGGATCCATCCCTCTTCTATCACCTGCCCTCCCTCTGCCTGGAGAAAGTCCAGGCAGGATGAATTGCTGGTGAATTATCTCATGCCCCCTGACAGTGCAGGTCTGGGGCAAACAGAAAGCTTGCTTTGCCGAAACCCCCGTGGCTCCAATTATATCAATAGTCTTTTTGGATAAGGGGGCGACTGGGGTGGTTACTACTGAATGTTCAGCACCAGTATCGACAAGAATTATCTGTCGATAATTGAGCCTGGCCCCTGTGCTTAAGAGCCTTGGCAGCAACTGCCCTGCTAGCACTAGAGGCAGATAAGCTACCTCTTGCCCTAACTTTATGTTTAGGGCAAAACCTAAACATAAAGGCCCCCTAGCTGGGCACGGTGGTTCACGCTTGTAATACCAGCACTTTGGGAGGCTGAGGCGGGCGGGTCATGAGGTCAGGAGATCGAGATCATCCTGGCTAACACGGTGAAACCCCATCTCTACTAAAAATACAGAAAAATTAGCCGGGCATGGTGGCGGGCGCCTGTAGTCCCAGCTACTCGGGAGGCTGAGGCAGGAGAATGGCGTGATCCCGGGAGGCAGAGCTTGCAGTGAGCCAAGATCGCACCACTGCACTCCAGCCTGGGCAACAGAGTGAGACTCCATCTCAAAAAAAAGAAAAAACATAAAGGCCTCCCCATGCTGTGGTAACACTAATGAACACCAAAGGACGTAACTGGCTAACGAATGCTAGACTAACTAGGTACCAAAGCTTGCTCTGTGAGAATCCCCGCATAACCATTGAAGTTTGCAACACCCTGAACCCCGCCACCTTGCTCCTGGTATCAGAGAGCCAAGTTGAACATAACTGTGTAGAGGTGTTGCAGTCAGTTTATTCTAGCAGGCCCGACCTCCGAGACCATCCTTGGACAACAGTAGACTGGGAGCTGTACGTGGACGGGAGCAGCTTTGTCGACCCACAAGAAGAGAGGTGTGTAGGATATGGTAATCCTGGATGCTGTCATTGAAGCCAAATCGTTGCCCTAGGGCACTTCAGCCCGCAAGACCAAACTCATTGCTTTAATTCTGGCCTTTGAGCTAAGTGAAGGTAAGACTGTAAACATTTACACTGACTCTTGGTATGCCTTTTTAACTCTCCAACTGCGTGGGGCATTCTACAAGGAAAAAGCCCTGTTGAACGCTGGGAGAAAAGACATAAAGTATCAGCAAGAGATCCTGCAATTATTAGAGGCAGTGTGGAAGCCCCAAAAGGTGGCTCATGCACTGCAGAGGACACCAGCGAGCTTCTACCTCGATTGCCTTGGGGAACCCCCAAGCTGACTCAGAGGCTCGAAAAGCAGCATCCACCCCCTACCAGGCATCAGTCACAGCCCCCTGCTCCCTCAGGCACCTGACCTTGTACCTACTTATTCTAAAGAGAAGGACTTTCTCCAGGCAGAGGGAGGGCAGGTGATAGAAGAGGGATGGATCCAGTTATCGGATGGAAGAATAGCTGTGCCACAACTGCTAGGAGCCGCAGTCATACTGGCTGTGCATGAGACCACCCACCTAGGCCAAGAGTCACTTGAAAAGTTGTTAGGCTGGTACTTCTACATCTTGCATCTTTCAGCCCTTGCCAAAACAGTGGCGCAGCAGTGTGTCACCTTCTGGCAGCACAATGCTAGGCAAGGTCTAACCATCCCCGCCAGCATACAAGCTTATGGAGCAGCCCCTTTTGAAGATCTCCAAGTAGACTTCACCAAGATGCCCAAATGTGGAGGTAACAAGTATTTGCTAGTTCTAGTGTGTACATACTCTGGGTGGGTGGAGGCCTATCCAACACGGACCGAGAAAGCTCGTGAAGTAACCCATGTGCTTCTCCGAGATCTCATCCCTAGGTTTGGACTGCCCTTACAAATCAGCTCAGACAACGGGCCGGCATTTGTGGCTGACTTGTTACAGAAGACAGCAAAGGTATTGGGGATCACATGGAAACTACATACCACCTACTGACCACAAAGTTCCGGAAAGGTGAAGCAGATGAATCGCACTATCGGAAATAGTTTAGGGAAAGTGTGTCAAGAAACAGGATTAAAGTGGGTACAAGCTCTCCCTATGGTATTATTTAAGATTAGATGTACCCCTTCTAGAAGAACAGGATATTCCCCTTATGAAATATTATATCATAGGCCCCCTCCCATACTACGGGGACTCCCAGGCACTCCTCGAGAGCTAGGTGAAATTGCGTTACAGCGACAGCTACAGGCTTTAGGGAAAATTACACAATTTCAGCCTGGGTAAATGAGAGGTGCCCCGGCAGCTTATTCTCCCCAGTTCACCCTTTCTCCCCAGGTGATCAGGTGTGGATCAAGGATTGGAACATAGGCTCCTTGCGGCCACGGTGGAAAGGACCCCAGACCATCATCTTGACCACTCCCACAGCCGTAAAGATAGAGGGAATCCCAGCCTGGATCCAACACAGCCAGGTAAAACCTGCAGCACCTGAGACCTGGGAGGTGAGACCAAGCCTAGATAACCCCTGCAAAGTGACTCTGAAGAAGATGACAAGCCCTGCTCCAGTCACACTCAGAAGCTGACTGGTCCACGCATGGCCAAAGCATGAGAAAACTCATCGTGGGACTCATTTTCCTTAAATTTTGGACTTGTACAGTAAGGACTTCAGCTGACCTTCCTCAGACTGAGAACTGTTCCCAGTCACTAAGGTAGGACAAAATCAAGTCACTAAGGTAGGACAAAAGGTTGCTGCAGTCCTATTATTTTATAGTTAGTATGAGTGTACTGGGACTCTAAAAGGAACTTGTTTGTATAATGCTACTCTATACAAGGTATGTAGCCCAGGAAGTGACCAGTCTGATGTGTACTATAACCCATCTGAGCCCCCCTATGACTACTGTTTTTGAAATAAGATCGAGGACTGGCAGCTGGGGAAAAGCTGATACTAGTAAAGTAATAACTAGAACAGAAGAGAAAGGAGTCCCCAAACAAATTATCTTAAAATTTGATGCCTGTGCAGCAATCAACAGTGACCCATATGGAAATAGAATAAGATGTGGCTCTCTAGATTGGGAAAGGGGCTATATAGTAGAAAATAAGTATGTTTGTCATGAATTAGGACTGTGAAGTGATGAATGTAGTTACTGGTCCTGTGTCATTTAGGCCACCTGGAAAAAAAGATGAGAAGGACCCTGTCCGCCTTCAAAAAGGAAAGAGTAACTCTTCCTGCACTAGTGGTCACTGTAACCCATTGAACTACTAATTACCAATCCCCTTGATCCCTGCTGGAAAACAGGAGAGTATGTAACTCTAGGAATCGATGGAACTGGACTGGATCCCTGAGTAAATATTTTAGTCCAAGGGGAGGTCCACAAGCGATCTTCCAAACCAGTGTTTCAGACCTTTTATGATGAGCTGAATCTGCCAGCACCAGAGCTTCCACAAAAAAGGACAAAGAACTTGTTTCTCCAGTTAGCAGAATATGTAGCTCATTCCCTCAATGTTACTTCCTGTTATGTATGTGAGGGAACCACTATGGGAGACTGATGGCCTTGGGAAACCCAAGAATTAGTGCCTACTGATCCAGTTCCTGACATAATTCCAGTCCAGAAGGCCCAAACTAGCAACTTTTGGGTCTTGAAAACCTCTATTAATGGACAATACTGCATACCTAGAAAAGGAAAAGACTTCACCATCCCTGTAGGAAGGCTCAATTGTCTAGGACAGAAGCTGTATAAAAGCATAACAGGGACACAGGGACAGTCACCTGGTGGGGTCTAAACCATACTGAAAATAATCCCTTCAGTAAATTTCCTAAATTACAGACTGCTTAGGCCCATCCACAATCTCATCAAGACTGGATGGCTCCCGCTGGACTATACTGGATATGTAGGCACAGAGCCTACACTCAGTTACCTGATCAATGGGCAGGTAGTTGTGTCATTGGCACCATTAAGCCATCCTTTTTCCTACTGCCCATAAAAACAGGTGACCTCCTAGGTTTCCCTGTCTATGCCTCCCAAGAAAAGAGGAGCATAGCTATAGCAAATTGGAAAGATGATGAGTGGTGCCCCGAAAGGATCATACAGTACTATAGGCCTGCCACATGGGCACAAGACGACTCATAGGGATACCATACCCCCATCTACATGCTCAACTGGATCATACGGTTACAGGCCATCTTAGAAATAATCACTAGTGAAACTGGCAGAGCTTTAACTCTTTTAGCCCAGCAGGAAACCCAAATGAGAAATGCCATCTATCAGAATAGATTGGCCTTAGACTATTTGCTGGCAGCTGAAGGAGGAGTCTGTGAAAAATTCAACTTGACCAAGTGCTGTCTGCAAAGAGATGATCAAGGACAAGTAGTCAAAAATATAGTTAGAGACATGACAAAGCTGGCACATGTACCCATGCAGGTTTGGCATAGGTTTGATCCTGGATCCCTGTTTGGAAAATGGCTTCCAGCTCTAGGAGGATTTAAAACTCTTATAATAGGAATGATAATGGTGTTAGGAACCTGCATGTTACTCCCCTGTATGTTACCCATATTTCTCCAGTTACTAAGAAGCTTCGTTATCACCTTAGTTCATCAAAAGACCTCAGCACAAGTATACTACATGAATCACTATTGATCTGTCTCACAGGAAGATCTAGATAGTGAGGATGATAATGAGAACTCCCACTAGTGAGTGAGGTTCTCAAAGGGGGGAATGAGGAGAGAGGCCATTTCTCCTACTGTCCCCTATCTCCAAAGAAAAGGAGGAAGTAAAAACTGAAAAAATAACAGACTGATCAGCACCACTGGCCAGGCCCGTAGGTTAAAGATTAACCCACACCCTAACCGCTTGTGCTATCTATAGATCACAGACAATGGTATGGAGAAACACTTGCCTTGCTCACCACCCCCACCTAGCCATGTACCCCATGCTTGTTCAATCTATCACGACCCTTTCATGTGGACCCCTTAGAGCTGTAAGCCCTTAAAAGGGCCAAGAACTCTTTCTCTGGGACTCAGTTCTTGAGACGCAAGCCTGCCGATGCTCCTGGCCGAATAAAGCCTCTTCCTTCTTTAACCCAGTGTCTGAGGGGTTCTGTCTGCGGCTCGTCCTGCTACAAAATGATCCTGAGATGGGATGAGTTGGGATTCCAAAAACAGAAGCACTAAATGCCAGGGCGATAAGCCCAAAATGCATATTGGGGGAATTTACATACAGAGTGCTGCAGAGACAGATCGCTTGTGGACCTCCCCTTGGACTAAAATATTTACTCAGGGATCCAGTCCAGTTCCATCGATTCCTAGAGACAGCACTCTGTCCTTATGAGGGACAATGAGAGAAAAGGGGTGTTCTACTTAGGTATGTCCACAGCCAAAGGGTCACGGTATGGAGTTTATATGAGGCTTTAAGGAATTTGTTCAGGGCTAGGGTCAGTTTCTTTCAGTGCTTGGGCAACAACCCAGATACCTTTATCAGTGCCTGGGAATGTTCAAGGCCTTGGTTTGGGTTCAAGCCTGCTGAGAAAAACCTGCAGCTCGCTGGGTGGAAGAATGGCCAAAGCACTCTGTGATTTTAGGTCAGAACACAAAAAGAAAGGAGGAGGAACTCAGGGATCCTACACTAGGTGTGGACCTCTTTGCATTTATCTTACTTGTTCATTGAACTTCTTGGATGTGTAGATTAAAATTTCTCCATCAGGGACCCACGTGGTGACTCATGCCTATAGTCCTAGTACTTTGGGAGGCTTAGGTGGGCAGATCACTTCAGGTCAGGAGTTCAAGAGCAGCCTGACCAACATGGTGAAACCCTGTCTTTACTAAAAATACAAAATTAGCCAGGCATGGTGGTACATGCCTGTAATCCCAGCTACTCAGGAGGCTGAGGCAGGAGAATCGCTTGAACCCAGGAGGCAGAGGTTACAGTGAGCCGAGATTGCGCCATTGCCCTCCAGCCTGGGCAACAAGAGTGAAACTCCGTCTCAAAAAAAAAAAAAAAAAAAAAAAAGGCCAGGCACAGTGGTTCACGCCTGTAATCCCAGCATTTTGGGAGGCCAAGGCGGGTAGATCACCTGAGGCCAGGAGTTTGAGACCAGCCTGGCTAATATGGTGAAACCCCATCTGTAGTAAAAACTACAAAAACTAGCTGGGAGTGGTGGTGGGCACCTGTAATCCCAGCTACTCGGGAGGCTGAGGCAGAGAATTGCTTGAACCCGGGAAGTGAAGGTTGCAGTGAGCTGAGATCACGCCACTGCACTCCAGCTTGGGCAACAGAGCGAGACTTCGTCTCAAAAAAAAAAAAAAAAAAAAGGGAAGAAAGAAAGAAAGAAAGAAAGACAAAAATTAGCTTAGCATGGTTGTGGGCACCTGTAATCCCAGCTGCTCAGGAGGCTGGGGCAGGAGAATCACTTGAACCAGGGAGGTGGAGGTTGCAGTGAGCTGAGATCGAGCCACTGCACTCCAGTCTGGTTGACAGAGGGAGACTCCATCTGAAAAAAAAAGAATAAAGAAAGTTTCTCCATCAGGCTGGGCATGGTGGCTCATGCCTGTAATCCCAACAGGTTGAGAGGCCTAGGATGGAAGATCCCTTGAGCCCAGGAGTTTAAGACCACCCTGGGCATAGCAAGACCACATCTCTACAAATAATAATTTTTTTAAAAACCTGGGCATGGTGGTGTGTGCCTGTAGTCTCATCTACTTCGGAGGCTGAGGTGGGAGGATCGCTTGAGTCTGGGAGGTTGAGGCTGCAGTGAGTTGTGTTGAGCCACTGCACCCCAGCCTGGGTGACAGAGTGAGACCCCATCTCAAAAAAAAAAAAAAAAAAAAAAAACAAGTTTCTCCATCAAATGTGGGAAGTTTTTAGCTGTTATTTCTTTGGATATTTTTTTCTGTTCCTTCCTGTTTAGTCCTGATAACTAAGTAACAAGGAAGGGGCCCTAGTTCAGGAAGGGCCCCAGGATGGGGAGAACAATGAACAATTGTTCTGAGAGATGGCTAATCACAAACAACCTGCTGGCACAATGACCTCATTCCACCAGGTAGGCCCCTCCAGCATGAACCTCCAGCCCCCGCCTCTTGGCAGACAGCCCCTTCTCTGCTGCCTGTTGTACCCTGCAATGTATCTTCATACTTTCTCTAACAAATCTGCTTTTCTTTTTTCCTTTTTTTCTTTTTTTTTTTTTTTTTTGAGACAGAGTTTAGCTGTTGTTGCCCAGGCTGTAGTACAATGGCGTGATGTTGGCTCGCCGCAAACTCTGCCTCCCAGGTTCAAGCAATTCTCCTGCCTCAGCCTCCCAAGTAGCTGGGATTAATTTTGTATTTTTTTAAATAGAGACAGGGTTTCTCCATGTTGGTCAGGCTGGTCTCAAACTCCTGACCTCAGGTGATCCTCCCACCTCAGCCTCCCAAAGTGCTGGGATTACAGGCATGAGCCACCATGCCCAGACTTTTTTATTTTTTATTTTTTTAAATTTTTTTGGGGGGGACGGCGTCTCCCTCTGTTGCCAAGGCTGGAGTACAGTGGCGCAATCTTGGCTCACTGCAACCTCCGTCTCCTGGGTTCAGGCGATTCACCTGTCTCAGCCTCCCAAGTAGCTGGTATTTCAGGCATGCACCACCATGCCTGGCTAATTTTTGTATTTTTAGTAGAGATGGGGTTTCACCATGGTGGCCAGGCTGGTCTCAAACTCCTGACCTCAAATGATCCACCCACCTAGGCCTCCCAGTGTGCTGGGATTACAGATGTGAGCCACTGTGCCTGGCCTAAATTTGTTTTTCTTTTCTTTTATTTTCTTTTTTTTGAGACAGAGTCTTGCTCTGTCGCCCAGGCTGGAGTGCAGTGGCCCGATCCTGGCTCACTGCAAGCTCTGCCTCCTGGGTTCACGCCATTCCCCTGCCTCAGCCTCCCGAGTAGCTGGGACTACAGGCACCCACCACCACACCCAGCTAATTTTTTTTTTTGTATTTTTAGTAGAGATGGGGTTTCACCGTGTTAGCCAGGATGGTCTCAATCTCCTGACCTCATGATCCTCCTGCCTCGGCCTCCCAAAGTGCTGGGATTACAGGCGTGAGCCACCACGCTGAGCCAAATCTGCTTTTCTTTACCTACGACTGTCTTGGTAAATTCCTTTACTGCTTGCAACACAGGCCCCAGCTACTCGCAGCCATGATACTTCCTGTCTTCACTTCTTTTATGTATGTATGTATGTATGTATGTATGTATGTATGTATGCTTAATGTTCCCCTTTCATCTCGCATGTCTCCACTTCTGCTGCTATTGCTGTTACTTGTGTGTTGGTGCACCTAATGGTGTCCCATATTTCTCTGATGCTGTGTTCATTTTTCTTGATTCTTTCTACTGTCTGGTCTTCAGTTTGCATAATCCATATTGTTCTCTCTACTAGTTCACTGGTGCTTTTGCCTGCCAGCTCTAATTTACTGTTATCCCCTCTAGTGAATTTTTTTCTTTTTTCTCTTCTCATTTCAGTTATTATACAGTACTATTCAACTTCAAGATTTGTGGGGTTTTGTTTTGTTTTGTTTTGAGACGGAGTCTCACTCTGTCGCCCAGCCTGGAGTGCAGTGGCGCGATCTCGGCTCACTGCAAGCTTTGCCTCCCAGGTTCACACCATTCTCCTGCCTCAGCCTCCTGAGTAGCTGGGACTACAGGCACCCGCCACCACACCAGACTAATTTGTTTTTGTATTTTTATTAGAGACAGGGTTTCACCGTGTTAGCCAGGATGATCTCGATCTCCTGACCTCGTGATCCACCCGCCTCAGCCTCCCAAGGTGCTGGGATTACAGGCGTGAGCCACCGCGCCCGGCAATTTGTGGGTTTTTTGTAATTTTTACTTCTTACTTAATCTTCTCTATTTGATGAAATAGCGTCATCATACTTTCCCCTTCCCTTAAGGTTTTTTTTTTGGTCGTTGTTATTGTTTTTTGGGTTTTTGTTTTGTTTTGTTTTGTTTTGTTTTTTTGAGACGAAGTCTAGCTCTGTTGCCCAGGCTGGAGTGCAGTGGCACCATCTCGGCTCACTGTAGCCTCTGCCTCCCAGGTTCAAGCAATACTCCTGCCTCAGCCTCCCGAGTAGCTGGAATTACAAGCATGCACCACCACGCCCGGCTAATTTTTGTATTTTTAGTAGAAATGGGGTTTCACCATGTTGGGCAGTCTGGTTTCGAACTCCCGACCTCAGGTGATCCACCCACCTCGGCCTCCCAAAGTGCTAGAATTACAGGTGTGAGCCACCGCACCTGGCCTATTTTATTTTATTTTTATTTTTGAGACAGTTTCACTCTTGTTGCCCTTGCTGGAGTGCAGTGGCGTGAGCTTTGCTCACTGCAACCTCTGCCTCCTGGGTTCAAGCAATTCTCCTGCCTCGGCCTCCCCAGTAGCTGGGATTACAAGCATGTGCCACCACACCCGGCTAATTATTTTTTAATTTTTAGTAGAGATGGGGTTTCATCATGTTGGCCAGGCTGGTCTCAAAGTCCTGACCTCAAATGATCCACCCACCTCGGCCTCCCAGAGTGCTGGGATTACAGGCGTGAGCCACCACACCCGGCCTATTTTCTTGAATAAATGTGTCTCCATTTGCTGTATGACCTTTGAAAACTCTCAGGGGGTTGTTGTTTTATTTTTTAATAATTTCCACCAGTTATGCTTGCTTTGTTGGGGAGAAGGTCCACTAAGCTCCTCATCCTACCCATCTGAAAGTCCTTCTCTCTCTAGTTTTTAAAATGGTGATATATAGCTAATAGAGAAGAACATGCATACAATGTACATAAACAGTTTAATGAATTGTAAAATTAATATATGTGTAACCCCTGCCAGGTTAAAAAAGAGACTGTGACCAATTCCCCAGAAGTCACCTGCACACTTCTGAAATTGCTTTTTCCACTTAACAAAATATTCTAGCTATTGTTCCCTGTTAAAACTTCTAGAAGAATTTTTAAACCTGTTTAATCACGGTATGGCATACACTGATTTATAAGCATACAGATTGATGAATTGTCACAAATAACACAGAAAAGCTTACTCCTATGGTTTAGACACGGTTTGGCTCCGCCAACCCTCGTGTTAAAATTTGATCCCCAGTGTTGGAGGAGGGGCCTGATTAGAGGTGTTTGGATCTTGTGGGTGGATCTCTCAGGAAGGGAGTGAGTTCGTTCTCACTCTTAGTTCCCTGGGGAACTGGTTGTTGAAAAGAGCCTGGCAAAGGCTGGGCGTGGTGGCTCACTCCTGTAATCCCAGCACTTTGGGAGGCCGAGGTGGGTGGATCACGAGGTCAAGAGATTGAGACCATTCTGGCCAACATGGTGAAACGCTGTCTCTACTAAAAATACAAAAAATTAGCCGGGCGTGGTGGCGCGTGCCTGTAGTCCCAGCTACTCAGGAGGCTGAGACAGGAGAATCGCTTGAACCCGGGAGGCGGAGGTTGCAGTGAGATGAGATTGCACCACTGCACTTCAGCCTGACAACAGAGTGAGACTCCATCTAAAAAAGAAACAAAGAGAGAGGAAGGGAGGAAGGAAGGAAGGAAGGAAGGAGGAAGGAAGGAAGAAGGAAAGAAGGAAGGAAGGAAAGAAGAAAGGAAAGAAAGAAGGAAGGAAAGAAGGAAAGAAAGAGCCTGGCACTTCCCCTCTCTCTTGCATGGCTCTTCCTATGTGATCTCTGCATGGTGGCTCTCCTTGGACTTAGGCCATGAATGAAAGCAGCAAAAGGCCCTGACCAGAAGCCAAACAGATACTGTCATGCTTCTTGTACAGTCTGCAGAACTGTGAGCCACATAAACCTCTTCACTTTATGAATTACCCAGCCTTAAATAACTAATAAGTAAATAAAAATGTTTAAAAAGATTTCAAGTGCCGGGCACAGTGGCTCACACCTGTAATGCTAACACTTTGGGAGGTCAAGGCAAGAGGGTTGCTTGAGCTCAGGAGTTGGAGACCAGCCTGGGCAACATAGTGAGTCCCAATTATATAAATAAAAAACATTTATAAATAAAAATAAATACATTACCCAGTCACAAGAAGATCACTTGAGCCCAGGAGTTCAAGACAAGGCTGGGCAACATAGTGCGACTTCCTTTCCACTAAAAAAAGAAAAAATTAGCTGGGAATTACTTGGGAGCCTGAGGTGGGAGGAGTGCTTGAGCCCAGGAATTTGAGATTGCAGTAAGTTATGACTGAGCCACTGTACTCCAGCCTGGGCAAACAGTGTGATACCTTTTCCCAAAAATAAATAAATAAATAAAAGTAAATTACCTGGCTGGATGTGGTGGCTCACGCCTGCAATCCCATCATTTTGGGAGGCCGAGGCGGGCCAATCACCTGAGGTTGGGAGTTCGAGACCAGCCTGGACAACATGGAGAAACCCCGTGTCTACTAAAAATACAAAATTTGCTGGGTGTGGTGGCACGTGCCTGTAATCTCAGCTACTTGGGAGGCTGAAGCAGGAGAATCGCTTGAACCTGGGAGGCAGAGGTTGCAGTGGGCCGAGATCATGCCATGGCACTCCAGCTTGGGCAACAAGAGCGAAACTCCATCTCAAAAATAAAAAAATAAATAAAATAAAAATAAGGCCGGGTGCGGTGGCTCAAGCCTGTAATCCTAGCACTTTGGGAGGCTGAGGCGGGTGGATTGCCTGAGCTCAGGAGTTCAAGACCAGCCTGAGCAGCATGGTGAAACCCCATCTCTACTAAAAAAAAAAAAAAAAAGCTAGACGTGGTGGCGGGTGCCTGTAGTCCCAGCTGCTTGGGAGGCTGAGGCAGGATAATTGCTTGAGCCCAGGAGGCAGAGGTTGCAGTGAGCTGAGATCATGCCACTGCACTCCAGCCTGGCGACACAGCAAGAGTACATCTCAAAAAATAAAATTAAATAAATAAAATAAAAATAAGTTACCTGCCAGGCACGGTGGCTCACGCCTGTAATCCCAGCACTTTGGGAGGCCGAGGTGGGCAGATCACCTGAGATCAGGAGTTCAAGACCAGCCGGGCCAACATGGTGAAACCTCCGTCTCTACTAAAAATACAAAAATTAACCGGGCATGGTGGCACATGCCTGCAGTCCCAGCTACTCGGGAGGCTGAGGCATGAGAATCGCTTAAACCCGGGAGGCAGAGGTTGCAGTGAGCTGAGATCGTGCCACTGCACTCCAGCCTGGGTGACAGAGTAAGACTCTGTCTCAAAAATAAATAAATAAATAAATAAATAAATAAATAAATAAATCAGGCTCAGTTATTACCTTATAGCAACATAAACAGTCTAAGACACTTATTTATCGATAAAGTAAGTGGCATCATAGTTCACTGCAGCCTCCAACTCCTGGGCTCAAGCAATCCTCCCATCTCAGTCTCCCCAATAACTTGGACTACAGGCAGGCACCACCATGCAAGGCTAATTTTTTAATTTTGGAGAGATGGGCGTGGGGGGGGGGGTCTTGCTAAGTTGCCCAGGCTGGTCTCGAACTCCCAGCCTCAAGTGATTGTCTTGCCTCAGCCTTCCAAAGTGAACTAATTCTTTTTTTTTTTTTTTTTTTTTTTGAGATGGAGTTTTGCTGTTGTTCCCCAGGCTGGAGTGCGGTGGCGTAATCTCAGCTCACTGCAACCTCCACCTCCCAGGTTCAAGCAATTCTCCTGCTTCAGCCTCCTGAGTAGTTGGGATTACAGGGGCCTGCCACCACGCCCAGCTAATTTTTGTATTTTTAGTAGAGATGGGGTTTCACCATGTTGGCCAGGCTGGTCTCAAACTCTTGACCTGGTAATCCGCCCGCCTCATCCTCACAAAGTGCTGGAATTATAGGAGTGAGCCACCGCACCCGGCCGTGATTTGTACTTCTTTCTTTTTTTTCTTTTTTTCTTTTCGTGTGTGTGTGTGTGTGTGTGTGTGTGTGTGTGTGTGTGTCTGTGTGATGGAGTTTAACTCTTGTCGCCCAGGCTGGAGTGCAATGGCGCGATCTCGGCTCACTGCAACCTCCGCCTCCCACGTTCAAGCGATTCTCCTGCCTCAGCCTCCCGAGTAGCTGGGATTACAGGTGCCCGCCACCACGCCCAGCTAATTTTTTTGTATTTTTACAAAAAATAGAGATGGGGTTTCACCATATTGGCCAGGCTGGTCTCGAACTCCTGACCTCAGGTGATCCGCCCACCTTGGCCTCCCAAAGTGCTGGGATTACAGGCATGAGCCACTGTTCCCAGCCTGTATATCTTATGTTATGAAATACCTGATTATGTCCATTGCCTATTTTTCAGTCAGGGATTTCCTGCAGTTGATAGTTATTGAATTGGAGGAGCTCTTTGCATTTTGGGGATGTTGACCCTGTATGTTTTATGCATGTTACTTTTTGGGGTTTTTTTGAAACAGGGTCTTGCTCTGTTGTCCAGGCTGGGGTGCGGTGGCACGATCTTGGCTCACTGCAGCCTTGACCTCCTGGGCTCAAGCAATCCTCCCATCTCAGCCTCCCGAGTAGCTGGGATTACAGGCGCCTGCCACCATGCCCTGCTAATAATTTTATTTTTATATTTTATTTTATTTTATTTTTGAGATGGAGTCTCACTCTGTCACCCAGGCTGGAGTGCAGTGGCATGATCTCAGCTCACTGCAACCTCCGCCTCCCAAGTTCAAGCGATTCTTCTGCCTCAGCTTTCTGAGTAGCTGGGATTACAGGTGTGCACCACCACGCCTGGCTAATTTTTGTATTTTTAGTAGAGACAGGGTTTCACCATATTGACCAGGCTGGTCTTGACCTCCTGACCTCGTGATCCACCCGCTTAGGCCTCCCAAAGTGCTATGATTACAGGTGTGAGCCACCGCGCCAGGCCAATTTTTGTATATTTTGTAAAGATGGGGTTTTGCCATGTTGCCCAGGCTGTTCTACCTTTTTTTTTAAATACTTTTAAATAAAACACAAATTTTTGTCATGTCCCATAACCTTCTCATGACTTCCTCATTACCCCAGCAAAGTCCTAATATTCCCTGCTATCCATGACCTAGCCTCTGCACCTCACTCCAACTTCACTTCCTGCCATCCTTCACAATCCTTTTTCAGTCTTCGGTCCATTTTGGAAGTAGTGCTGGGCACAATTAATCCCCATTTTGTCTGTTTGACCACCCTTCCCTACAGCCATCTGTGTCTGAGGTCTTAGACACATTTGTAATCCCTGATTTTCCCATCTCATATGAGTTCCTTGGAGGCAGGACCTGTTAACAGAGTGGATACTCAATTAATGATTATTGAATGAGCAAAAGAATAAATGGCTGGTTTTGTAAAACTTGGATATGGTTTTCCTTAATTATATGGTAAGCAAATACTTTTCTAAATGTTACTCCTGATTTTTTCAGTATGAAGTAAAGACAGAAACAAAGGTCTTTTCTCTTATTATATATTTTTCTTCCTCCCTCTTTTTTATTCTTTTGTTACAGACAGGATCTCACTATGTTGCCCAGCCTGGTCTCAAACTCCTGGGTACAAGCAACACTCCCACCTTTGCCTCCAGGGTAGCTGAGGATACAGGCATGAGTCACCATTATATTTTCACCACCAAAAATTTTGCATCAAGTTCTGCTGTGGTGGCTCACGCCTATAATCCCAGCACTTTGGGAGGCCAAGGCGGGTGGATCACTTGAGCTCAGGAGTTCGAGACCAGCCTGGCCAACATGGTGAAACCCCATCTCTACTAAAAATACAAAAATTAGCAGAACGAGGTGGCGCATGGCTGTAGTCCCAGCTACTCGGGAGGCTGAGGCAGGAGAATCGATTGAACCCGGAAGATGGAGGTTGCGGTGAGCCAAGATCACGCCACTGCACTCCAGCCTAGGTGACAGAGCAAGATTGTCTCAAAAAAAAAAATGCATCAGGATCAGGTTAGGCTGGGGTGATCTCCATGATACATCTCAGGAGCAAGTCAGAGACAAAGTGTGAACCAGCTGAGAAGGTAAAACTCTCAGGTTTTCCTAGGAACTCTTGCTTAAAAACAAAAAACAAAACTCCTTCAGGGACCTCTTGTGCCAGCGTGTATAAGGCTGCATTGCGCACATTGCCTCAGGCGGCTGCTTTAGGAAGTGGGTATCACTTCCTCCACGGACAGTTTGCATTGCAGGCAATGGAACCAGTGGAGAAACCTGGTAGACAACACCTTAACCAACTGATTCATGTTCATGTAATTAACAATAGGACTTATCAACATCATGAACTCCTTGATATGATGTGATTAGAAGGGCACATCATCTCCATGACATTCTTGCCCAAAACTCATAATCTCAGTCTAATAAATGAGAAATCACAAGACAAATCTATATTGAGGGGTGTTCCAGAAAATAAGTGAACTATATTTTTCAGAAGTATTTTTTGGACCAGGCGTGGTGGCTCATACCTGTAATCCCAGCACTTTGGGAGGCCAAAGTGGGTGGATTACCTGAGGTCAGGAGTTCAAGACCAGCCTGATCAACATGGTGAAACCCCGTCTACTAAAAATACAAAAATTAGCTGGGCGTGGTGGCACGCACTTGTAATCCCAGCTACTTGGGAGGCTGAAGTAGGAGAATTGCTTGAACCCAGGAGGTGAAGGTTGCGGTGAGCCGTGATGGCGCTGCTGCACTCCAGCCTGGGCCACAGAATGAGACTCCATCTCAAAAAACAAAAAAAAGGCCGGGCACGGTGGCTCACACCTGTAATCCCAGCACTTGGGGAGGCCGAGGCGGGTGGATCACGAGGTCAGGAGTTCGAGACCACTCTGGCCAATATGGTGAAACCCTGCCTCTACTAAAAATACAAAAATTAGCCGGGCGTTTGCGGGTGCCTGTAATCTCAGCTACTCGGGAAGCTAAGGCAGGAGAAATTCTTTTTTTTTTTTTTTTTAATGAGACGGGGTCTCACTCTGTCGCCCAGGCTGGAGTGCAGTGGCGCAGTCTCCGCTCACTGCAACCTCCACCTCCCGGGTTCACACCATTCTCATGCCTCAGCCTCCTGAGTAGCTGGGACTACAGGCGCTCGCCACCACGCCCGGCTAATTTTTTGTATTTTTAGTAGAGATGGAGTTTCACCATGTTAGCCAGGATGGTCTTGATCTCCTGACCTCGTGATCCGCCTGCCTCGGCCTCCCAAAGTGGTGGGATTACAGGTGTGAGCCACCATGCCCAGCCAAGGCAGGAGAAATTCTTGAACCCAGGAGGCAGAAGTTGCAGTGAGCCGAGGTCGCGCCACTGCACTCCAGCCTGGGTGACAGAGTGAGACTCCATTTCAAAAATCAAAAACAAAAAACAAAAACAAAAAGAAAACCAGGCCGGGTGCAGTGGCTCACGCCTGTAATCCCAGCACTTTGGGAGGCCAAGGCAGGCGCATCACGAGGTCAGGAGATCGAGACCACCCTGGCTAACACGGTGAAACCCTGTCTCTACTAAATATACAAAAAATTAGCCAGGCCTGGTGGCATGCGCCTGTAGTCCCAGCTATTCGGGGGGGCTGAGGCAGGAGAATTGCTTGAACCTGGGGGAGGTGGAGGTTGCGGTGAACGGAGGTTGTGCCACTGCACTCCAGTCTGGGTGACAGAACGAGACTCCGTCTCAAAAAAAAAAAAAAAAAAAGCAGAAGTCTAAAGTCTTTTTTTTTCTGACATGAAGTCTTGCTCTGTCGCCCAGGCTGGAGTACAGTGGCGCGACCTCGGCTCACCACAACCTCTGCCTTTGCTGCCCAGGCTGGAGTGCAGTGGTGCAATCGGAGCTCACTGCAGCCTCCAACTCCTGGGCTCAAGCGATCCTCCTGACTTGGCCTCCCAAAGTGCTGAGATTACAGGCATGAGCCACCGTGCCTCACCTTTAAATACATTTTAATGAATTTTGTTGTACCTTGAAAAGCAAAGTGGTTTTACCCTTGAGATTCCAGGGCCCATGCCAGAATGCCCAGAGCTTCTATACCTGGAAACATGGCCATGAGATTGAATAACGGGTTGCCTCTTTTTAAGACCATTCTCCAAACCACCATACTAATTTACCTTCCAAAATATGGTATGTCCCCATTTCATTCAATTTTATATTTTTTTCTTTTCTTTTCTTTTATTTATTTATTTATTTATTTATTTGAGAGGGAGTTTAGCTCTGTCACCCAGGCTGGAGTCCAGTGGCACAATCTCAGCTCACCACAACCCCTGCCTCCTGGGTTCAAGCGATGCTCCTGCCTCAGCCTCCCGAGTAACTGGGATTATCGGTAACCACTACCACACATGGCTAATTTTTTATTTTTAGTACAGATGGGGTTTCACCATGTTGGCCAGGCTGGTCTCGAACTCCCGACCTCAGAGGATCTGCCTGCCTCAGCCTCCCAAAGCGCTGGGATTATAGGCATGAGCCACCGTGCCCAGTCCATTTAATTATATTTATAGCAGCTGGTCATGCAGTGACTCACGCCTGTAATCTCAGCACTTTGGGAGGCCAAGGCAGTCGGATTACCTGAGGTGAGGAGTTTGAGACTAACCTGGCCAACATGGCAAAATCCCACCTCTACTGAAAATAGAAAAATTAGCCCAGCGTTGTGTCAGGCACCTCTAATCCCAGCTACTCAGGAGGCTGAGGCACGAGAATCGCTTGAACCTGGGAGGTGGAGGTTGCAGTGAGCCGAAATCACACCACTACACTCCAGCCTGGGCAACAGAGTGAGACCCTGTCTCAAAAAAAATATATATGTATATATATATATATTTTATATATATATATTTATTTACAACTTCCAATGTAAAGGCGTATTTCTTTCATCCAAGGTGTGTGCTGTAATTCATTTACTGCATCCCCTTCTGTTGATAATTTAAGTGGTCTTCAAGCTTTTGCCACAATAATATGATAATGAATCTCATAAAAAATTATTTTACACATCTTCAATGATATCCTTGAGCCTAATTTGTAGCAGAATTATATTACTCTTTCTTAAGAATATTTAAGTATCTGTCATCTACTGTACAAACTATTTTATTTTTATTTTACTTATTTACTTTTTTAGAGGCAGGATCTTGCTCTGTCACACAAGCTATAGTGCAGTGCCACGATCATAGCTCACTGTATCCACCAACTCCTGGCCTCAAGTAATCCTCCTGCCTCAGCCTCCCATAGTGCTGAAAGTACAGGTGTGAGCCACCACACCCAGCAACTCTGTATAAGCCACTCTGTATAAACTCTTTTTTTTTTTCATTTTAAATTTTTTTTCATTTTCTAAGGCAGAGTTTCACTCTGTCGCCCAAGCTGGAGTGCAATGACGTGATCTCGGCTCACTGCAACCTCCACCTCCCGGGTTCAAGCGATTCTCATGCCTCAGCCTCCTGAGTAGCTGGAACCACAGGCGCCTGCCACCATGCCCGGCCAATTTTTGTATGTTTAGTAGAGACAGAGTTTTGCCATGTTTGCCAGGTTGGTCTTGAACTCCTGGCCTCAAGTGATCCACCTGCCTCGGCTTCTCAGAGTGCTGGGATTACAGGCATGAACCACCGCACCCTGCCTGTATGAACTCTTGAGGTCCTACACAAGAGAGATCTGTCTCAATAATCTTTTTTTTTTTTAATTTTCTGACTGCTTCATTTTTCCTTCATATCAGTAATCTTTGAAGCCTTAGGACCTGGTTCTCACAATATGTTTAATGTTGCTATATGTATATGTGTGTGTGTTGCCCAGGCTGTAGTGCTGTGGCCTGATCACCGCTCAGTGCATCCTCAACCTCCTGGGCTGAAGTGATCCTCCCCCCTCAGCCCTCTGAGTAGCTGGGTCCACAGATGTGCGCCACCACACCCCATTAATTTTTAAATTTTTTTGTAGAGTCAGGGTGTCACTAGGTTGCCCAGGGTGGTCTCAAAGTCCTGAGCTCAAACAATCCTCCTGCCTAGGCCTCCCAAAGTGCTGGGATTATAGGCGTGAGCCACTAAGCTCGGCACATGTTGCTATATTTTTAAAATATGTATTTAAATGTCTGTATTCCCTACTAGACTACAAGTTTCTTTTTTTTCTTTTTCTTTTCTTTTTCTTTTTTTTTTTTTTTGAGACAGAGTCTCGCTCTGTTGCCCAGGCTGGAGTGCAGTGGGGCAATCTTGGCTCACTGCAACTTCCACCTACTAGGTTCAAGCGATTCTCCTGCCTCCACCTCCCGAGTAGCTGGGATTACAAGCATGTGCCACCACACCCGGCTAATTTTTGTATTTTTAGTGGAGATTGGGTTTTGCCATGTTGGCCAGGCTGGTCTCAAACTCTTGACCTCAGGTGGTCCGCCCGCCTAGGTCTCCCAAAGTGCTGGGATTACAGGCATGAGCCACTGTGCCCAGCCTATTTTATTGATATTTGAATCTAGTGCCTTGTTGAGTATTAAAATCTGACATCAGTAGGCACTATTCTTTTTCTTTTTTTTTTTTTTTTTTTTTTGTTTTTCTTTTGTTTTTCTTTTGTTTTTGAGACTGAGTGTCACTCTATAGCCCAGGCCGGAGTGTTGAGATCTCGGCTCACTGTAACCTCCGCCTCCCGGGTTCAAGCGATTCTCCTGCCTCAACCTCCCGAGTAGCTGGGATTACAGGCATGCGCCACCACACCCCGCTAATTTTTGTATTTTCAGTAGAGACGGGGTTTCACCATGTTGGCCAGGCTGGTCTCGAACTACTGGCCTCAAGTGATCCGCCCGCCTCGGCCTCCTAAAGTGCTGGGATTACGGGTATGAGCCTGGCCAATAGGCACTATTTCTTTCTTTCTTTCTTTTTTCTTTTTTAAGACGGAGTCTCGCTCTGTCGCCCAGGCTGGAGTGCAGTGGCAGGATCTCGGCTCACTGCAAACTCTGTCTCCCGGATTCAAGCAATCCTCCTGTCTCAGCCTCCCAAGTAGCTGGGGATACAGGCGCCACCACCACGCCCGGCTAATTTTTGTATTTTTAGTAGAGACAGGGTTTCACCATATGAGTCAGGCTGGTCTCAAAGTCCTGACCTCAGGTGATCCACCAGCCTCGGCCTCCCAAAATGCTGGGATTACAGGCATGAGCCACCACACCCCTCTAATTTTTGTATTTTCAGTAGAGACGGGGTTTTTTATGTCTATTATTTATTTTATGTCTATTATTTATTATTGTACACAACTGACGCTCCATCCCCCCCACCCCCGACCTTTTTCTTTTTTAGAGATGGGGTCTCGCTCTGTCACCCAGGCTGGAATGCAGTGGTGCGATAAGAGCTAAGTGCAGCCTCGAATTCCCAGGCCTCAGGCCATCCTCCTGCCTCAGCCTGCGGAGTAAATGGAACTACAGGTGCGCGCCACCACACCCAGCTGATTATTTCTAAATGATTTACTTCATCAACACTTCCCACATAAGTAGGGCACACATTAGGCGCTCCATAAATACTTGTCAAACGCCTACACGAAGGAAGATTAATGTCTGGCAAGAATGAATCCACCTTCCACCATGCCTACCCCGCTAAAAACTACATTTCCAGCCAGGCGTGGTGGCTCACACCTGTAATCCCAGCACTGTGGGAGGCCGAGGCAGGAGAATCACGAGGTCAGGAAATCGAGACCATCCTGGCTAACACGGTGAAACCCCGTCTCTACTAAAAATACAAAAATTAGCCAGGCGTGGTGGCGCATGCCTTTAGTCTCAGCTACTCGGGAGGCTGAGGCAGGAGAATCGCTTGAACCTGGGAGGCGGAGGTTGCAGTGAGCCGAGATCACGCCACTGCACTCCAGCCTGTGAAACAGAGCGAGACTCCATCTTAAAAAACAAAACAAAACAAACAAAAAAAAAACTACATTTCCCTGGGCGCTTGGCGCGACGCGCTCCCACCACGTTTGAAAGAGCGACAATTACTTCCCACGGCCCCTTACCGCCCCCTCCCGCCGGTGCCACAGTGGTTGATGGGAAGGTAGTTTTTACGCACTTTGGCCGGCCCCTAGCGATCTGAACCCAAACTAAATTTCCCAGCAAGCAGCGCGCCGGCCTGGGAAAAGGAGCAAGATGGCTGACTCCAAAGAGGGTGTTTTGCCGCTGACGGCTGCTTCCACTGCCCCAATTTCATTCGGCTTCACTCGCACGTCCGCACGGAGGCGGCTGGCCGACTCGGGAGACGGCGCGGGGCCATCTCCGGAGGAGAAGGATTTCTTGAAAACCGTGGAAGGGAGGGAGCTGCAGAGGTGACGCGCCGGGTCTTTCACCCCTTGGAAATCTCTGCGGTGGGCGTAAGCGGGAGGGAGGAATCTCAGTTGTTTGTCTTGGTGACAGTGACCTGTTAAGCCTGAAGCACAGCCTGAGTAAATTCGTGGAGGCCAGAAGGCGGGAGTTTATAGGAGGGGGTGAGGAAATTGGGCCTGATAGCTGTGGGAATTGCGAAGAGAGGATGTATTACTGAGAAGAAGTGTCTTTAGGACTTGAAGACACTAAGGTCTGTGCGTTCTGGGAGAAGGAAAGAATGAGAAAATGACAGGACCTGCTAGTGTCTCAACTGAAGGGCTGAGGCGTCCCCGATATGGGGAACGGGATGGAGCGGCAGATTCAGGTTGATGGAGGCCACCATCAGCTTAATGAGGAGAGGAGTGTCTGAGGGGTCTGAGGGAGGGATTTCCAGAAGAGAATCAGGCATCTAGGAAGCTGTTTGGGAACCTGGAGCTGGGGAAGGTCTGGGCTGAAGATAGTGATTTGTGGGCCATTGTAGAAGCCGGTATTGAGTTAAACAGAGAGTGCAGGACTTATTTCTCGAAGGCACTGACATTTATGAGTTGGGGGCACTGGGGAGATAATCCAGAGAATGCACGATCAGAGAGGAACAGGAGATCCAGACATGGAGTAGGGAAGACATGGTCTGTGGGGCTGGGGTGAGTTTGGCTCTTGTGTTTTCTCTGAATGAAGGAGTGTGACCCACTGACCCTGCCATTCTCCCAACCCCACCCCTCTGTGTCCACATCAGTGTGAAGCCCCAGGAGGCCCCCAAGGAACTCGTCATCCCTTTGATCCAGAATGGCCATCGCAGGCAGCCACCAGCCCGGCCCCCTGGGCCATCCACAGATACTGGGGCCTTGGCGGATGGGGTGGTGTCCCAGGCTGTGAAGGAGCTCATTGCGGGTGAGTGATACCCCTTTACCCTTCCCCATTGAAGGAAGAAGAGGAAGAAGGTGGAAGGATAGAGTGGGACTTCATTGCTCCCTCCTATTCTTCCTTTAGAATCCAAGAAGTCTCTGGAAGAGAGAGAGAATGCGGGTGTCGACCCCACGCTCGCTATCCCCATGATCCAGAAAGGATGCACCCCCAGCGGGGAAGGGGCAGACAGCGAACCCCGGGCAGAGACAGTGAGCTGGCCCCTTGTCCCCCTCCTGCCCCAGCCTTTCTTTGCCCTGTCCGCCAGGCTGTGTCCCTGCACGTAGCAGGGAAAGTCTGTGTGTGTGCTAGAGGCCCGCCACCTGCCCCTTCTCCTGTCATCATTTTGGAAGCATTACCAAATGAATCTGGGTATCTGGATGCTAAAAACGTACTTGAATCCTAGGATTATCTGAATGAGGTGTGCAGCAAAGGGAACAGGAAATGTAAAGGCCCTGAAGGTAGACACTGCCTAAAGTGTTTGCGGAACACCAAGGAGACCAGTGTGACTGAAGTGGAATGAGTAAGGGGAAGGGGTAGTAGACGAAGTCAGAAAGGAGATGGGGGTGCTAGACCAGGCAGGGCCTTGTAGGCCATTGTGAGGACTTTGGCTTTTACTCTGAGTGAGATGAGAGCCTGGACAAGCCCTGAGCATAGATGAAATATGATTTATGATTTGACAGTATCCCTCTGGAAGCTGTGAACAGACTCATTAGTGAAGGTGGAAGCAAGGGGATGAGTAGTCCAGGCTAGAGATGCTGGGGACTTAGACCAGAGTGGTCTGGAAGGATAAGTAGGGTTTAGTGAGAGAGGGAAGAACAGAGTGAGTACTCCTGTTAGTAGTAACAGCCCAAGCAATGGCATAGTGGTAGAAAATCGATATGGTGTGTCCATCAGTGAGGCAACATGTGGTGTATCTGGAGTGAATGGGAAGGAGTGATGATGGGAGGTGACAAGAGGGGACGTGAGAGGCATGTCTACAGAAGTAACCAAGTCTGTCTTTCATACCCACAGACCTGACTTTTCACCTCTTCTTTCATAAATTTCTTGCACTGCTTCTTTTGAGTCTAGTTCTTCTACAGCCCCACACCACTCTCTCTTTCAACTGAACTGTTCTCTTCAGCCTTCAGATGTGCCCTGGTTTCCTTCAACATTTTTTTGTTTGTTTGTTTTTTGTTTTTTGAGATAGAGTCTTGCCCTGTCGCCCAGGCTGGAGTGAAGTGGTGTGATCTCGGCTCACTGCAACCTCCCGGTCCTGGGATCAAGCGATTCTCCTGCCTCAGCCTCCCAAGTAGCTGGGATTACAGACACGTGTCACTACCGCCTGGCTAATTTTTGTATTTTTAGTAGAGACGAGGTTTCGCCACGTTGGTCAGGCTGGCCTTGAACTCCTGACCTCAAGTGATCTACCCACCTCAGCCTCCCAAAGTGCTGGGATTACCGGCGTGAGCCACTGTGCCCAGCTCCTTCATCTTTAAAGAAAAAAAAGATCCTCACTTCCCTCTTCATCCTTTCATCCTGTTCCAGCTTTGGCCTCATTCTTCTAATTTTTCCCTCTATAAACCTCCTCCTGCAGCTTTCTACATATCAGGTGACCAAAAATTCCATCCATCCTTCCTCTCACTCAGCATAAAAACCTTGGAGTCAGCCAGGGGCGGTGGCTCACGCCTGTAATCCCAACACTTTGAGAGGCTGAGGCCAGCGGATCACCTGAGGTCAGGAGTTCAAGACCAGCCTGGCCAACATGGCGAAACCCCATCACTAGTAAAAATACAAAAATTAGCTGGGCATGGTGGCACGTGCCTGTAATCACAGCTACTCGGGAGGCTGAGGCAGGAGAATCGCTTGAACCCAGGAGACTGAGGTTGCAGTGAGCTGAGATCATGCAACTGCACTCCAGCCTGGGCAACACAGCAAGACTTCATCTCAAGAAAAAAAAAAAAGAAAACCTTGGAGTCATCCTCAATTCCTCTCTTTATTTCGTGCCCCATACAATATGCCAGCACAATCCTATCATCTTTTTTCAAAATGACACCCAGAACTGACCACTTCTCACCACCACCAATACCACTGCAAAGGGCTGAGCCACCAGCATCTCTCATCTGGACTATTAGAGTAATTTCCTCACTGGTCCCTCTTGTGGCTCCCACCTGGCTCAAGGTCCTCTGACTCCTGCCCAGCTCTCCTGATTTGGTCTCTTCCCCACCCTTCTCTGCTGTCTACTCTCACTCTCTCCATTTCAGTCATGGTGACTTTCATGATACCCCTCACACATACCAAGCCTTGTCCGGCCTCAGGGCCTTTGCTGTTACTATGCTTTCAGCTTGGGACACTTTCTTCTCATATCCTCATGGCTCCCTCTGCTGTCATCTCCTGATCTCTGCTTAAATGTCAACCCAGTGGCACTCCCTCTCCATCCCTCTGCATCTTCTTACCCTGTTTTCTTGTTCTTTACATCACCACCTGACATATCATGTTTTCTGGGTTTTATTTATAGTATGTCTCCACAACTAGATCAGAAGCTCTGCAGGGGTAGGGGTTTTTGTCTGTTTGGTTCACAGCTTCATCCCCAGTACCTAGAACAGTACTTGCCATAGACAAGGTGCTTTATATTTGTTGAAGGACTGAACATGGAGGAGTACAGTGAGGGATGGAAAGAGGAAATCAAAACTCACCCTTGAGCTGATTGGAAAAGACGCGTAGCAGGTCTCCCAGTGGGGGGCAGCAAGTGCACTTCAAATAGAAGACCCAGTGTAAGCAAAGCCTGACCCTCCTTCCTCTACCTGAACCTGTAGGTGCCAGAGGAGGCTAATTATGAGGCGGTCCCCGTGGAGGCCTATGGGCTGGCCATGCTGCGGGGCATGGGCTGGAAACCTGGCGAGGGCATCGGCCGCACCTTCAATCAGTGAGTTCTGGGATAGGGTCGAGGGGACAGACAGATCATCAGGCTGCAATCAAGATCCCCAGGGTCACTGCCAAACCAGAACCACCTAGGCAGGGAGGGAGGATACATTATCGCCCTAACTAATTCAGCAGCCCCTTCCACTACTGTTTTAAACTCCCATTTGCCCTTTGAAACTCTAATAGAATCCCATTTATATAAAGTTTGCCTCTAGGGACATCAATTTCCTCATCTGAAAAATGGGGGTAATAGTACTGACTTCATAGGTCTGTTGTGAGAGTTAAATGAAATTATACACATAGGCCAGGTAGTGGCTCATGCCTGTAATCCCAGCACTTTCGGAGACTGAGGCAGGAGGATCACTTAACTCCAGGAGTTTGAGACTGGCCTGGGCAACATAGGGAGGCCCCATCTCTACAAAAGATTAATTAATTTTAAGAAAAGAAATTAGGGCCGGGTGTGGTGGCTCACACATATAATCCCAGCACTTTGGGAGGCTGAGGTGGGTGGATCACGAGGTCAGGAGATCGAGACCATCCTGGCTAACACGGTGAAAGCCCATCTCTACTAAAAAAAAAAATACAAAAAATTAGCCGGGCATGGTGGCGGGTGCCTGTAGTCCCAGCTACTCAGGAGGCTGAGGCAGGAGAATGGCGTGAACCTGGGAGGCGGAGCTTGCAGTGAGCCGAAATTGCACCACTGCATTCCAGCCTGGGTGACAGTGAGACTCCGTCTCAAAAAAAAAAAAAAAAAGGAAAAGGAAAAGAAATTATATACATAAAGCACATACAGTAGGCCCTGACCCCAAGAAAGCGTAGACTAAACATTTGCTATTGTCATGCAGACTTGCAACCCTTTCTTCACAATTGCAAACTCAATAATTCTGAAAACCAAACATTTTTTCATAACCCATTGGCAGCCAAATATGACCTGAATTGGCGTTTTTTTTTTTTTTTTTTTTTTTTTTTTGAGATGGAGTCTCTGTCTGTCACCCAGGCTGGGATGCAGTGGCGCAATCTCGGCTCGCTGCGACCTCTACCTCCTGAGTTCAAGTGATTGTCCTGCCTCAGCCTCCTGAGTAGCTGGGATTACAGGCATGCACCAGCATGCCTGGTTAATTTTTGTATTTTTAGTAGAGATGGGGTTTCCCCATGTTGACCAGGCTGGTCTTGAACTCCTGACCTTAGGTGATCTACCAACCTCGGTCTCCCAAAGTGCTGGGATTACAGGCATGAGCCACCATGCCCAACCATGTTGAGTATTTATAATCCGGTTTCTCCTGCTCGGTGTGAATGTTCATATGATTTCCCCTGTAGAAATAGTATATTTGGTTACAGCGATCTGCCTCTGATCTCACTGTAGATATTATGTAATAGATGGTATATGCAGCATGTTATTAGGTTGAACCAAATGAAATTGCTGTTTCTGTAGGTCAAAAACAGTCCTAATATGAGATCAGAAAGGGCAACCTTGAAAATATTGGTGGGGGCTGGACACGGTGGCTCACACCTGTAATCTCAGCACTTTGGGAGGCCAAAGAGGACGGATCACCTGAGGTCAGGAGTTCAAGACCGGCCTGACCAACATGGTGAAACCCTGTCTCTACTAAAAATACAAAAATTAGCCGGGCATGGTGGCATGCGCCTGTAACCCCAGCAACTCGGGAGGCTGAGGCAGGAGAATCCCTTGAACCTGGGAGGTGGAGGTTGCATTGAGTCGAGATCGAGCCATTGTACTCCAGCCTGGATGACAAGAGCAAAACTCCATCTCCAAAAAAAAAGAAAAGAAAAGAAAATGTCAATGGGGCGGGTGGGGCGGGTTTGGGCAGGAAGAGGAAGTAAATAAGGTGTTGAAGACTGTTGCATCCTCTCCAACAAACCCATATTCCTCCCTGCAGAGTAGTGAAGCCCCGTGTCAACTCACTGAGGCCCAAGGGGTTAGGGCTGGGTGCCAACCTGACCGAGGCCCAGGCCTTGACCCCCACTGGCCCCTCCCGCATGCCAAGACCAGATGAGGAGCAAGAGAAAGATAAGGAAGATCAGCCTCAAGGGCTGGTGCCTGGAGGAGCTGTGGTGGTTCTTTCTGGCCCTCACCGAGGCCTCTATGGGAAGGTAAGGAACCAAGATATCCCGGGAGCCCAAAACAGGCAGCAGGGAAGGTTGATCCGAGGGTCAGATGGAGGAATAATTGGATTTGAGGTAGAAAGGCTGGGACTCCTAGTCTTTTAGGTCTGCTTGGCCCACTGCCTCACTCAGTAACCCAGGACCACTTGCTGGCCTTTGTGAGCCTCAGTTCCCAGCTAAAAGGAAGAGAATGCCATATGCCACAAGTCCCTGAAGATTAAATGCTTAAAGGATCCAAGGAAGCCCCACAGTCAGCTGAGGGAGACACAGGAACCAGACCTGGTCCCACTTCTCAGGGGTCAGAGTCTGGTTGGGGAGACAGAGGAAGCAGGCCTCTTAGAGGTAAGGGGTTGACATCTTGGTCCTAGGAATGTGGGTGGAGTCCACAACCCCTACCTGACTTCTTCCCCTCAACACTTTAGGTGGAAGGCCTTGATCCTGACAATGTTCGGGCCATGGTTCGTCTGGCTGTGGGGAGCCGGGTGGTGACTGTTAGTGAGTACTACCTGCGGCCTGTCTCCCAGCAGGAGTTTGACAAGAACACCTTGGATCTCAGTGAGTGAGCCTCTTGTAGAGCTAGGGGAGTTGGCAACGCATTCCTAGGGGTGGCAGGGCCTGGCTAATGGGGTGGTTTTAGATCTGCAGCAGGGAGGGGCAGCAGTGTGCCTGGCAGATATGACTTCCAATCAGAGGTCAGGAGGTGAGAATGGACATAAGTGACTTACTCCATTTGATTGGAGAAAGGTCGATGTCATACCCCTGGGTCTGTAGCCTGTCTGAGTGAGAAGAAACAGGTGCAGAAACCAATTCCTACCTTCGAGATCTTTGTCCATTTGGGGTGATGAACCTCTCTTTTACTAGGGAGTGAGAACTGCTAGGATTAGGGTGTGACCAAGAAGGAAGGAATTCTAGGCAGACAGAACAGCACAGGCGAAGGCGTTTCGGTAGGACGGGGCAGTTTGGCAAATGGGTACAGACAGAGCTCTCTGGGAATCTCTAGTCCACACTAGGTGAGCATTGTTGTTGTGGGCTAGGTTGGCTGCGGGAGGGTTCCTGAAGGAAGCTGAAATGGTTGAGAGGTGGGGGAGAGGCATTCTACTAGCAAATGCATGAGGGGTGAGAGGGGCACTTTGGCAGGTGGGAGGTGGCTCTAGGCTGAGACATGGCCTTGGAAGGAAAGGGCAGTGAGACACTGAGGCTCTGTCCTGGTTCTCCTCATAACCTCTTGAACAGGCCAGATGAGCAAAACTTCCTTCCCCAGGGCAACAGAACGGAACTGCCTCATCACGGAAGACCCTCTGGAATCAAGAACTCTACATCCAGCAGGACAACTCAGAGAGGAAGCGGAAACACCTTCCAGACCGGTGGGACTCTGAGCATGCGGGAGGGGTCAAGAAGGCAGGGCTGTGGGTAGGCTCGAGCAGCCAGGGAAGGCTTCCAAGGCAAGGCGGGCTCATAGAAGGAACGGGGAACTGCATTGTGGGTGGGTTTCATAGCATAGGCAAAGGGAGGGCAACTGGAAAGTGCATCTGATGAAGAGCTAAGCCTGGTGCTGGCACCTTCTCCACAGACAGGATGGGCCTGCAGCCAAGAGTGAGAAAGCAGCCCCCAGAAGTCAGCACTGGTTGCACAGGGACCTGCGTGTGCGGTTTGTGGACAACATGTACAAAGGAGGCCAATATTACAACACCAAGGTGGGAACCCTGCAGCCTGAGTCCCCCTCCCTCTCCTAGGGACTGGGCCCCCCTACCTCTCTAAAATCTCACATCCCCCTGACCTGTATCCCCAGATGATAATTGAAGATGTCCTAAGCCCAGATACCTGTGTATGTCGGACAGATGAAGGCCGAGTCCTGGAAGGTGAGTTTGAGCGATGGCAGCTGGAGGTTGATCAAGAAGAGTGTTTTAGGCCCAGAGCCTGGCCCAGGCAAAGCTGGGAGGTTTGGCAGAGTTCAGGTATTTTGCAAGGCCTAGCATCCTCTTACAGAACATTAGACACTTCCATGATGGTGGTTGGTTATCTTGAGCCCCACTCTCCCAGTCTGTCAAGTTTTCTTTTTTTTCTTTTTTTTTTTTTTTGAGACAGAGTCTCACTCTGTCACCCAGGCTGGAGTGCAGTGGCGTGATCTCAGCTCACTGCAACCTCCACTTCCCAGGTTCAAGCGATTTTCCTGCCTCAGCCTCCCGAGTAGCTGGGATTACAGGCAAGCGTCACCACACCTGGCTAATTTTTGTGTTTTTAGTAGAGACAGGGTTTCACCATGTTGACCATGCTGGTCTTGGAACTCCTGACCTTAAGTGATCCTCCCACCTCGGCCTCCCAAAGTGCTGGGATTACAAGCGTGAGCCACCGCGCTCGGCCTCCGGTCTGTCAAATTAGCATGGAATTTACTATTTCTTCCTCTTGTGATTGGTGCCTTAGTGAAGGAATGTGTATTGAGCTCTCAGTGCAGGGCAGGGGTTAAAACATGCCCACAATAAAAGGTGCCTGTTGTTATCACCACCACCCTTTATTACAGTGATTTTTGTAAACTACTCCTTAGGCTACCTCATCTGTGAAATGGATGTGGCGGGACTCCCATCTGTCAACAGGGTGTAGAGTGGCTCCAGGGAATACAGGAAAGGCCCTTCTTTTTTTTTTTTTTTTTTTTTTTTTTTTTTTTGAAACAGAGTCACTCTGTCACCCAGGCTGGAGTGCAGTGACGCAATCTTGGCTCACTGCAACCTCCGCCTCCCGGGTTCAAGCTATTCTTCTGCCTCAGCCTCCTGAGTAGCTGGAACTACAGGTGCCCGCTACCACACCCAGCTAATTTTGGTATTTTTAATAGAGACAGGTTTTCACCATATTGGCCAAGCTGGTCTTGAACCCCTTACCTCGTGATCCTCCTGCCTCAGCCTCCCAAAGTGCTGGGATTACAGGCATGAGCCACCACACCCAGCTGAAAGGCCCTTCTTTTTTTTTTTTTTCTTTTTTTTTTTTTGAGATTGGGTCTCATTTTATCACCTATGCTGGAGTGCAGTGGCACCATCATGGATCACTGCCACCTCAAATTCCTGGTTTCAAGCCATCCTCTCACCTCAGCCTCCTGAGTAGCTGGGACTGCAGGCACTGACCACCATGCCTGGCTAATTTTAAAATTTTTTGTAGGCTGGGCGCGGTGGCTCATGCCTGTAATCCCAGCACTTTGGGAGACCGAGGAGGGTGGATCACCTGAGGTCAGGAGTTTGAGACCAGCCTGACCAACATGTCAAAACCCCATCTCTACTAAAAATACAAAATTAGCCAAACGCAGTAGTGGGTGCCTGTAATCCCAGCTACTCAGGAGGCTGAGGCAGGAGAATCGTTTGAACCCAGGAGGCGGAGGTTGCAGTGAGCCAAGACCACACCATTGCACTCCAGCCTGGGCAACAAGAGCCAAACTCAGTCTCAAAAAACAAAACAAAAAAATCTGTAGAGATGAGGTCTGACCATCTTGCCCAGGTTGGTCTCGAACTCCTGGGCTCAAGCGATCCTCCCAACTTAGCCTCCCAAAGTGCTGGGACTACAGGTGTGAGCCACCACGCCTGGCCAGGAAAGGCCCTTCTGACAGGACGCTGGTTGGGCTGGTCCTTGCTGTGGGCCTCACTCCCCTCTCCCTTATCCATAGGCCTGAGGGAAGACATGCTGGAGACCCTGGTTCCCAAGGCAGAGGGTGACCGTGTGATGGTGGTGCTGGGCCCACAGACTGGAAGGGTGAGTCTCAGACCTGGCAGTAGAGGTTTGTGGGTCGTTCAGGGCCTGTCCCAGGGTCTAGGCTTGCCTTGCTGATTCCACTTCACCTCTGTTCCAGGTGGGACATTTGCTGAGCCGGGACAGAGCACGGAGCCGGGCTTTGGTGCAACTGCCAAGAGAAAATCAGGTGGTGGAGCTTCACTACGATGCCATCTGCCAGTACATGGGCCCTAGTGACACAGATGATGACTGACCCATGGGACTCCTCCCATCCCCCAGGCTGGTACCAGTTCTGTACCATATGAGAAAGTTGCCTTCAGAAGGTGGGAAGATCATTGTTCCATCCTCTACTTCTGGTGCAGTCCTGGGACAAGGACAAGGGAAAGGGATGGGTGAACCAGTAGGGAAGCTAGAAACAAACCCAATATTTACCAAAATTTAGGGTATAATAAAAACCATTTCAAGTACTTAATAGAAAGATGAAATCATAAGTGGTATGATGAGCTGCGAGTTAAGGTGGGAACTGAGTTGACTGAGGTGGGAACCATTTCACTTTTCAGCCTTGCTTTTCTGCTCAGGGTACAGGACAAGTTAAAGGACTCATTTGATTGTGAGCTCACTCTTGGAATATAGATACTATAAGCTTGGGCACAGTGGTGCATGCCTGTAATCCTAGCACTTTAGGAGGCTGAGGTGGATGGATCGCTTGAGCCCAGGAGTTCAAGATCAGCCTGGCCAACAAGGTGAAACCCTGTCTCTACTAAAAGTATAAAAATACAAAAAATTACCGAGGTATGGTGGTGCACGCCTATAATCCTAGCTACTCAGGAGGCTGAGGCAAGAGAATCGCTTGAACCCAGGAGGCAGAGGTTGCTGTGAGCCCAGATTGCGCCACTGCACTCCAGCCCAGGGGACAGAGTTAGACTCTGTCTCAAAAAAAAAAAAAAAAATCTTTAGATGCTGTGGAATCTGAAATACTGTATCTCTGAACAACTTTCTGAGCAAGAACTCTAGCAACTAGCAGCAGAGTATGCTTTCACTCTCAGTTTAGAGCAGGACCCCAGAGAATATGCTGAGCCTGGGGTCTTCCTCTGTTGCCCAGACTGGAGTGCAGTGGTGCAATCATAGCTCACAGCAGCATTGATCTCCTGGGCTCAAGCGATCTTCCCGTCTCAGCCTCCCAAAGTGCTGGGATTATAGGCACTGGAATGAGCCACCGTGCCTGGTCTCTGGCTTGTATTTTGTTAATCGTAGGGAGGATGTTCCCAACTTCTCATGTCCAGTAGTCCATTTCCTATGCTTTATGCACTTCACTCTGTCAAGGAGGCCTCCTCCTTTCTCCAATCATAATAAACCAGCCTTGGTAGCACCTTTGAGAAGGGCTAAAGCTCCCCAGGGAATGGCACTGGGGCTCTGTCTCTGCCTGTAACACAACATAACCTGGCCATTTCAGACACCCTCCATCTCCTCCCCGTGCCACAATGCTAAAGCAGATATCTCATCAGCTTCAGATTTCCTGGAATTCATCTTTCTCCTAAGCCTACGCTTGAAAATGGGGCCCAAAGTTCTTGAATATGGCCCTTTGTCCAGAACACCTAGCTCCAGCCAAAGCGCCTGGTCTCCCTTGACAGGCCACTGGGACTTTTTCTGCTTTACCTTGAAAGGAGCCCTGCTGATCCCCATTTTGAGGACAGGGCTCCTTACATTCAGGGAAGTGTGGACAATATAAGGAGGCCTTCCCAATATGCCCTTTGTTCACTGTGCACAAACAAAGCCTTGTATCTGAAGACACTTTGAATCTGTGCAGTGTTCTCTCAGCTTGCTGCCTGGCACCTGCCTGCTGCCAAAGTTGCTCTTGCGGCAGTGGTTACTGCAGCAACGGCTTCTGTGAGCCCGAGAATTCTCTACAGGCCCCTCACAAGCTGGGGACTGTGACCTGTACAATTTGTCCAGACTGGCTTTTTTCACATCACAGGGATTGAGCAAGAGGTAGATTAAAAGGCATCTGCCTCTTCTGCCAAGCCCCCAGAAGTTTCCCTGGCAGGGGTCTGCTTCTGTTAAAAATTGTCCAGATGCCAAGCCTTGAATTTGTAGCAGCAGACTCAGGAAGCAGTTTCTTTGCCTTTCAGAGAGGAGTCAATTATTGAGGTGCTGTGGGTTGCTGTCTGGGCTGTGTTCAGTGGCAGATATGGACAGGTCAGCTCTTCTTTTAAAAAATTTTTTTTAAATAATTTTTTATTTTAAATATAAGAGAGACAAGGTCTCACTATATTGCTCAGGCTGGTCTTGAACTCCTGGGCTCAAGTGATCTTCCCATCTTGGCCTTCCAAAGTGCTGGGATTATAGGCATGAGCCACCACTCCTGGCCTCAGCTCTTTTTTTTTTTTTTTTTTTTTTTTTTTTGAGATGGAGTCTTGCTCTGTCGCCCAGGCTGGAATGCAGTGGCGTGATCTTGGCTCACTGCAACCTCCACCTCCCAGTTTCAAGTGATTCTCCTGCCTCAGCCTCCTTAGTAGCTGGGATTACAGGCGCATGCCACCATGCCCGGCTAATTTTTGTATTTTTAGTAGAGACGGGGTTTCACAGTGTTGGTCAGGCTGATCTCAAACTCCTGACCTCGTGATCTGCCCACCTCGGCCTCCCAAAGTGCTGGGTTTACAGACATGAGCCACCATGCCCAGCCTCAGCTCTCTTTTCTAACATTCCTTCCTCAGTCAAGGGAATGCTCCCCTCTACTCCCACACTGAGGCCACCTCTTCATCTCCATGTCTGCAGCACCACGCAGAGGGATGAAGTATCCAACAGCTTCTAAAGCTATCTAAGTGGGGGCGGGTCCTCACCAAGTCCCCTATCACACCAATTCATTCAACAAACATCTCTTGAGCTCCTACTGAATGCCAGGTACCATCCTGCATGCTAGGGGAACCGTATGGAGTAAATCACTTAATATCAAGACCCTACTATATGCCAGGCAGCATCCTGGGTACCGAGTATGGAGCTACAAACAAAACAAACATCCTTGCCCTTGTGGGGCTGACACTCCACTGGGGCTGAGACAGTGAGCAATAAGCAGAAGTAAGTGATGGAAGATGTTATAAGAAGCTGAGAACCATGGGGGAAAGGGGCAGTATTAATAGGATGGCCACAGAAAGCCTTAGAGAGAAGGTGACATTAAGCAACGGTATTAAGGAAGTAAGGGATGGTCATGCAGCTATCTGGGGAAAGCGGTCTAGACAGGGGAAATGAAGTGCAAAGGCCCTGTGGTAGCACTGTTGCTAGCATGTGTGAGGAACAGCCGGGAGGCTGGTGTGGCTGCAGGGGAGTAAGTGAGGGAGAAGGTGGTAGGAGGTCAGGTCAGGGAGATCCTGTAGTGCTGTAAGGTCAGTCCACTGGAACTACTATGGCTTTTGTTCTGACTGAAGTGGAAATCATGAGAAGCCTCCATATAGCCACTGCTAAAGACTGCCAGTTGACAACTCCCCACTTGCCATACACCCCCCACCATGTGCACACAGAACCACTCTAAATACATTTGTTCCTCTGGTGCTTTGGTCAATCTAGCTGATTTCCATTGTTGGGAACACAGATTTTCCCATTAGATGCCCAGCAAGGCTTCCTTTTTTTTTTTTTTTTTTTTGGAGACAGGGTCTCACTCTGTCTCCCAGGCTGATTGTGCAGGGACACAATCATGGCTCACTGCAGCCTTGATCTCCTGGGCTCAAGCAATCTTCCTGCCTACTGAGTAGCTGGGACTACAGGTGTGTGCCACCACGCCCAGCTAATTTTTTAAAAATTTTTTGTAGAGGCCAGGAGCACTGGCTCACGCCTATAATCCCAGCACTTTGGGAGGCCAAGGTGGGCAGATCACCTGAGGTCAGGAGTTTGAGACCAGCCTGGCCAACATGGTGAAACCCCATCTCTACTAAAAAGGCAAAAATTAGCCAGGCGTGGTGGCGTGCACCTGTAATCTCAGCTACTTGGGAGGCTGAGACAGGAGAATCGTTTGAACCCGGGAGGGGAAGGTTGCAGTGAGCTGAGATTGCGCCATTGCACTCCAGCCTGGGCAATAGGGCGAGACTTCATCTCAAAAGAAAAAAAAATAAATCATAACCGCCCCATGTGATGGCATTAGGGGTGAGGCCTTTGGGAGGTAATTAGGTCACAAGGGCAGAGCCCTCATAGATGGGATCAGTGCCTTAAAAGGCATCCCAGAGACTCTCGTCCTCTTTCAGCTATGTGAGAATACAAGAAGTCAGTAGTCTGCAGCCTAAATATCTTGCTTCATCTTTGGTGTTTCTGAACTGTATAAAAGTATACATCTTAGGCTGGGCACAGTGGCTTACGCCTGTAATTCCAGCACTTTGGGAGGCCAAGGCAGGCAGATCATGAGGTCAGGAGATCGAGACCATCCTGGCTAACACGGTGAAACCCCATCTCTACTAAAAATACAAAAAATTAGCCAGGTGTGGTGGCGGGCGCCTATAGTCCCAGCTACTCGGGAGGCTGAGGCAGGAGAATGGCGTGAACCTGGGAGGTGGAGCTTGTAGTGAGCCGAGATCGCGCCACTGCACTCCAGCCTGGGCGACAGAGCGAGACTCCGTCTCAAAAAAAAAAAAAAAAAAAAAGTATACATCTTAGTCTGTTTTGTGCTGTTGTACCAAAATACATGACACTGGGTAATTTATAAAGAATAGAAATTTATTCCTTATAGTTCTGGAGGCTGGGAAGTCCAAGATCTAGGTGCAGCATCTGGCCAGGGTCTTCTTGCTGTGTCATTCCATAGTGGAGGGGGAAAGAGTAAGAGAGGGCCAGAGAGGGGGCTGAACCCATTTTATTATGAGAAACCCACTCCCCACTCCCATAATAACAGCAGTAATCCATTCATGAGGCCTCTTGATTACCACTTTTTTTTTTTGGCTTAAACAACAGAAATTTATTTTCTCACAGTTCTGCAGGCTAGAATTCCCAGAACAAGGTCTGTCAGGGTCATTTCTGATGAGGACTCTTTTCCTGGCTTGCAGATTACCTCACTATGTTCTCACGTGGTAGAAAAAGACTCTCTCTCTCTCTCTCTCTCTCTTGCTTGCTTGATGACCTCTTAAAGATCTCACCTCTTAATACTGTTACAATGGCAATTACATTTCTTTTTCTTTTTCTTTTTTTGAGGCAGAGTAGTGCTCTGTCACCTAGGCTAGAGTGTAATGGTACGATCTCAGCTCACTGCAACCTCCACCTCCCAGGTTCACGCGATTCTCCTGCCTCAGCCTCCCGAGTAGCTGGAATTATAGGTGCCCGCCACCATGCCCGGCTAATTTTTGTATTTTTAGTAGAGATGGAGTTTCACCACGTTGGTCAGGCTGGTCTCAAACTTCTGACCTCAGGTGATCCACCCACCTTGGCCTCCCAAAGTGCTGGGTTTGAGAGGTACAAGTCATCAAACCATAACACTATGTAATCTTTGGAAACTTACTTTTTCCCCACTGGACATTCTAGATTTATCTTTTTTTTGTTTTTGTTTTTGTTTTTTTTGAGACAGGTTCTTGTTCTTTTGTCCAGGCTGGAGTGCAGTGCTGCAATCATAGGTCACTGCTGCCTCAAACTCAAGTATTCCTCGCCCCTCAGCCTCTTGAGTAGTTGGGACTACAGGTGCATCCCACCACACCTGGCTAATTTTTAAATTTTTAATAGAGACAGAGTCTCGCCATGTTGCCTATGCTGGTCTTGAACCCTTGGCCTCAGGCGATCCTCCTGCCCTAGCCTCTCAAAGTGCTGGGATTACAGGCATGAATCACTGCACCCGGCTTCTGGTTTTCTTTTTGTTTTTTTGTTTGTTTTGAGACAGTCTCGCTCTGTCACCCAGGCTGGAGTGCAGTGGCACAATCTTGGCTCACTGCAACCTCCACCTCCCAGATTGAAGCGATTCTCCTGCCTCAGCCTCCCGAGTAGCTGGGATTACAGGTGCCCGCCACCCAGGTAATTTTTGTATTTTTAGTAGAGACAGGGTTTCTCCATGTTGGCTAGGCTGGTCTCGAACTCCTGACCTCAGGTGATCCGTCCATCTCAGTCTCCCAAAGTGCTGTGATTACAGGCGTGAGCCACCACACCCAGCCGGCTTTCTCTTAACACTCATGTAGCACTTGATGTGTGTGTCAGGCACTGTTCTGTCCCCTTTACATTCACAATCCTTTATTTATTTGTTTGTTTATTTATTTATATTTTTGAGACCAAGCCTCACTCTGTTGCCCAGGCTGGAGTACAGTGGCACGATCTCAGCTCACTGCATCCTCTGCCTCCCAGGTTCAAGTGATTATCCTGCCTCAGCCTTCCAAGTAGCTGGGTTTACAGGCCCCTGCCACCACACCTGGCTAATTTTTTTTTTTTTTTTTTTTTTTTTTTTGTATTTTTAGTAGAGACGAGGTTTCACCATGTTAGCCAGGCTGGTCTTGAACTCCTGACCTCAGGTGATCCACCCACCTCGGCCTCCCAAAGTGCTGGGATTACAGGCTTGAGCCACTGTGCCCAGCCCACAATCCTTTAAATCATTTAAATCCTCATAATGGCCTGTGGGATACACACTGTTACCATGTCCATTTTACATATGAGGGAACTGAGGCACCGAGTGGTTAAATGATTTGCATGATAGTTCTAGCTGGCAAGCAGAGAGCCAGGATTGTAAGCCAGGCAGACCGGGCATGAGTGCACATTCTTGTCCCTCTGCTTCACGCCGTCACTCCCAGCTGTTGCTATGATTCCTGTTTGCCTGTAGGGGTAGCTGTTCATTTATTTCCACTGCCATACAGCATTCCATGGTGTGCATGTGCAGCCTGGGTGTCCATATTCTCCTGTAACGGCCCTTTGGGCTGTTTCTGGTTCTTGCTGTTTGGAGTAACACTGCAGTGTTCACTCCCGCACATGTCTCCTGGTTCACATAGGCACGCAGACTCTCAGAGGGGAATCTGAGGGCGTAGGATTTGCATGTCTCTAACTTCTTCAGGTGATGCCAGACTATTTCCACAAGTGAATGCTAGCTCAGTCCCCAGGCCTCCCCAGGCCTCAGTTTCCCCATGTATTAGATAGGCCATTTGGGGACTTGAAGCTCTCAGATACAGGAACAGCAGTTTGGAGGAGCTGAGCAGGTCTGGGGTGTGACTGACATTCCCAGGTACCTGAAGGAGGAACTGCACATCTCCAGGTGGGACCTGCAGTCCTTCCTGGAAACTTCCATGGCTCCCCACACATGCAAGTTCAAAGCCTCTCTCCTGAACCTAGGTTCAGAGCCCCTTCTGCAGTGGTAGTTCCAACCTCCCTCCCATGTCCCCACTCACAGCTAAGCTTCGGGCCTGGAGCACCTCCAACCTGCTGATCAGGGCAAGTCCCAATGTGGCCTTCAAGGCCATTGCACATGTTCATTGTGACACTGTTCGCTGAGCAGTCACTGTGTGCTAGGCGTATCTGCAGCATCTGGACAGACGACACTAAATGGGTATTGAAGGATTGAATGAGGGATCAATAATGATATCCAGTTTGATTCAGTGGTTCCAGAGGTTTTTCTAAGTGCTTTCCATTTATTAACTCATCTCACATTCACAAATGACCCCATAAAGTAAGCACTATTGTTATCCCCATTGTACTGACAGGGAAGCTGAGGTCCAGAGGAGCTTGGGTGCCTTGCTCGAGGTCACACAGCTTGTGAGTGGTGGTTGGAGCTGAGGAAACGTGAGAAATTGTTGTTCCCAAGCTGTGAGGTGCCACATGGGGGCCAAGATAAAATTATTCTTTTTCTTTTTAGAGATAGGGTCTCACCATCATTCAGGTTGTAGTACAGTGGCGCAATCATGGCTCACTGCCACCTCCAACTCCTGGGCTTAAGGGATCCTCCCACCTCAGCCTCCTGAGTAGCTGGGTCTACAGGCCAGTGCCACCATGGTGGGCTAATTTTTAAAAGTTTTTATTTTCCATAGAGATTGGGCTTTGCCATTTTGCCCAGGCTGGTCTTGAACTCGTGGGCTGAAGCAATCCGGCTCCGTCAACCTCCCAAAGCCCTGGGATTACAGGCGTGAGCCACTGTGCCTGGCCTGTTCTCCATTTTTTTACTTCTTTCTCTGCGTCCAGATTGATCCCCTTGAACACTAATTTAGGGGACACTAAAAATCTGCTACATTTGCTGGTTATTTTCTAAATTAACATTTAAAAGTTGCGTATTTCCTTATCAAGGTATGAGAATGATTTAAAAAAAAAAAAAAAAAAAAAAACAAGGTCTGGCTCTATTGCCCAGGCTGGAGTGCAGTGGCGTGATCTCGGCTCACTGCAGCCTCCGCCTCCCAGGCTCAAGCCATCCTCTTCCTCCCACCTCAGCCTCCCGAGTAGCTGGGACCACAGGCATGTTCCACCGTACCTGGCTAATTTTTATATTTCTTGTAGAGATGAAATTTTGCTGTGTTGCTCAGGCTAGTCTCGAACCTCTGAACTCAAGGGATCTGCCCACGTCAGTCTCCCAAAGTGTTGGCCCGATTTTTGTTATTTTAGTACATAATGGAATGAGTTTTCCCATTATGGACTATAGTGATTTACTAATCATTTTAATATCACGTTTCATATCATTCATATTTTTTATTACTGTTGATTGGCATCAGTAATTTGGAGCTAGTATGTATGTCTGTCTGTATGTATGTATTTATTTATTTAGAGACAGTCTCACTCTGTTGCCAAGGCTGGAGTGCCATGGTGCAATCTCGGCCCATTACAACTTCTGCCTCCTGGGTTTCAAGTGATTCTTGTGCCTTAGCCTCTGGAGCAGCTGAGATTACAAGCATGGGCCACCATGCCCAGCTAATTTTTGTATTCTTAGTAGAGACAGGATTTCACCATGTTGGCCAGGCTGGTCTCAAACTCCTTACCTCAAGTAATCCACCTGCCTGGGCCTCCCAAAGTGCTGGAATTACAGGTGTGAGCCACTGCGCCTGGCCTTTGTTTTTTGTTTTTGTTTTTTTTTTGAGACAGATTCTTGCTCTGTTGCCCAGGTTGGAGTGCAGTGGCGTGATCTCGGCTCACTGAGGCCTCCACCTCCTGGGTTCAAGCAATTCTCTCACCTCAGCCTCCCAAGTAGCTGGGATTACAGGCCCATGCCACCACACCCAACTAATATTTGTATTTATTTTTTTAATAAGACGTGGTCTCACTCTGTCACCCAGATTGAAGTGCAGTGGCACAATCTCAGCTCACTGCAACTTCTGCCTCCCAGGCACAAGTGATCCTCCCACCTCAGCCTCCCCAGTAGCTGGGACCACAGGCACACACACCACCACGACAGACTAATTTTTTGTATTTTTAGTATAGATGGGGTTTCACCATGTTGGCCAGGCTGGTCTTGAACTCCTGGCTTCGGGTGATCCACACACCTCCCAAAGTGCTGGGATTACAGGCGTGAGCCACCACGTCCGGCCAGAGCTAGTTTGTTTTTTGTTTGTTTGTTGTTTTGGTTTTTGTTTGTTTGTTTTTGAGACAGAGTCTTGCTCTGTTGCCCAGGCTGGAGTGCAGTGGCACGATCTCAGCTCACTGCAACCTCTGCCTCCCAGGTTAAAGTGATTCTCCTGCCTCAGCCTCCCGAGTAGCTGGGATTACAGGCACCCGCCACCACACCTAGCTAATTTTTGTATTTTTAGTAGAGACGGAGTTTCACCATGTTGGCCAGGCTGGTCTCGAACTCCTGACCTCAGGTGATCAGCCCACCTCAGCCTCCCAAAGTGCTGGGATTACAGGCGTGAGCCACTGTGCCCAGCCGAGCTTGTTTGTTTTTTATGTGTCTCCATCAACTCTTGCTTTTCTGCACTGGATGCCAGTATTTGGTGAGGTAATACCTCAGAGATAATTTGCTCTCCTGGGCCTTCAAATAGACTTAAAAACAGCAGCTTTAATCCAGCTTTTCTGTTTGCTTGTCTGCACAGCTGGAAGCAGAAGTAATTTACTACACAGTAAACACCAGGAACGCCCAAGAACTGGGATAGACCCCATCACCTTCGTCTCCAACCTCCAGGGGCACCAGATGAATCACCTCCTGTTTATATCTTTTTTTTTTTTTTTGAGACAGGGTTCTTGCTTTGTCACCCAGGCTGGAGTGCACTGGCATGATCACAGTGCACTGCAACCTTGAACTTCCAGGCTTAAGCAATCCTCCCTCCTCAGCCCCTCAAGTAGCTGGGACTACAGGCACACACCACCATACCCGGATAATTTTTAAAATTTTTTTATAAAGACAGGGTCTTACTGTGTTGCTTAGGTGGGTCTCAAACTCCTGAGTGCAAGGGATCCTCCCATCTCAGCCTCCCAAAGTGCTTGCATTACAGGTGTGAGCCACTATGCCTGGCTTCCTGTTTATATCTTCTGTATTTTGCTTCTTTTTGGGAAGGCATTCCCTGCAAGATCCTGGTTGCCACACCTCAGGCCCTGAGTAGGTAATAAGACACAGGGCTGTCTTCCACACCCTGGCCCCACTGATTGAGTCCTACACATAGGGAAGGTCCAGCTGCTGTCCTTTAAAACCAAACTGAGGCCAAGATGGCAAAATTTACGTTGCTATATCCTCTTCCTCCCCTCACCGTACTATCCTCATGGCCCTCCGTACCCGACTGCGGGGTGCTTCCTGGGACAGGCCTGACATAAGGAAGTGTCATTTCCCAACCCTCAGATCCAGTACGCCCTTTTAGTAAGAAACATTTCGGCCGGGCGCGGTGGCTCATGCCTGTAATCTCAGCACTTTGGGAGGCCAAGGTGGGTGGATCAACTGAGGTCGGGAGTTCGAGACCAGCCTGACCAACATGGAGAAACCCTGTCTCTACTAAAAATACAAAATTAGCTGGGCGTGGTGGCACATGCCTGTAATCCCAGCTACTAGGGAGGCTGAGGCAGGAGAATCACTTGAACCTGGGAGGCAGAGGTTGCAGTGAGCCAAGATCGTGCCATTGCACTCCAGCCTGGGCAACAAGAGCGAAACTCCGTCTCAGAAAAAAAAAAAAAAAAGAAAAGGCCTCCTTTTACCATCCTGAAATGACATTCACATTCATGTACATTACAAGTCTTGCTGGTGTGGGACAGCCCCCCAGCACCAGACCTCTGCCCATTCAGTGCCAAAGCACCCTCAAGGAGGAATTCCCAAAACACACCCCGAGGGCAGGCAGGAACAGGACCCTTGTCTGTCTGGTTCAGCGCGGAATCCCCACCACCTAATACAAGACCCTGAATGCACTAAGTAAATAATTGCAGTCTGGATAACTATGCTGTGATTTACTGCCCTCTTCCTACAAAGCTTCCCTGTCCTCTGTTCACTGCCCCTGCGTGGGGAGCCAGAGAAGAAAAACGACTCAGGGTGCACAGGGGCCAGCTCCCTTGCACAGAGAGTTCTACACAGTTCACTGATGCTGTGGGCAAATGGATGCTTCAGGGGCCCTCTGTCCTGCCGGGGGCGGAATGAGGACAGGGTGAGCACAGAAAGGAGAGACATCTGTAGAGTCAGTGACGCATGGTCAGAACACAGAGTCCAGAGTGCACAGCCTGACCCTGGCCCTGGCTCTGCTCAGCTGTGTGCCTTCTGGTAACCCCTACAGGGCCTTAGGTCTCTCATCCAGAACGCAACGATGATAATAGTAGTTAAGGTTGTTGTGAAGACGCAGTGAAATTATTCACGTAATCAGGAGAGGTTGGCACGTGTTAAAATTATCCATTACTGGGTAATTTGGATCAACGAACTATCATTCCTGACGCCTAGATTCCCCCCGTCCCTCAAGCGCCTCCTCACCCTCCTCCCTCAGACTTCCAGGCTCCACCACCACTGGTGGATGGTCAAGAACCCAGAACAGGCGACCGACCTCTCTTTTTCTTTCCCCTGCTGCACAGCCCATCTCAGAGCTCCCTTCTGTGAGGCTCAGCCAGAGGCCTGCAGGGTTGGGACAGGCTCCTGGAGCCCTCCCCACCAACGAGAGGCCCCGGCCTACTCCCCTCACCTGCACAGGAAAACCCTGGCCCAGTCAGGGAACCAGAAATCTCCTCCCAGTCCTTACCTTGCCCTCACCCTCAGCCACCACCAACTACCCCTGGACGGGCGCCCCCTACATCCCTGCACCTCGGTCTGTGTGACCCCAGGAGTGCCCACTCCCCAATGTGTGTGCCCCTGTGGGTGTCCAAAGCCCTGTCTGTGTGACCCTAGGGGTGTCCACTCCCCAGCGTGTCCGACCCTCGGACCCCAGAGCCCGCAGCCCACAGCCTGGAATGGCCTGCCGCGCGCGGGGCAGGGACGCGCGCACGAAAGCGTCCACATGGAGCCACAACACTGGGCAGGGGCAGCCAACCCGGGCACACCTTTTTGTGTGGGGTAAGGAAAGAGCCCCTCCCCCGCGCGGGGCCCGGCATGCTCGTGCCCATCCCGTCCTGTTGGCACTCCCAGACCCGAGCGGCCCTCGGCCTCTCTCCCGCCCACCGCGTTGCCCTCTCCCCCGAAGGCTTAGTCTTGACCCAACCCTCCCGCCGCGGAACAAGCAACTGGCTTAAGGCCGGGGCGCGGTGGGCTCTGATTGGTCGATGACGATTGACGGTGATGATCTGATTGGTCGATGGTTGATTGGCGCTTCTCGGTAGCTGCCCGGGCGCGCCTCCGCCCCTGCGCTCCGGGCTCCCATTCGTCGCCGCTCTGGGGCATGCGCAGTGGGTGCCATTCAGTGCCTGGGCTCCGGGAAAGTCGTGCTTTTACGGTTCCGGGTACTGGCTCCCACACCACTGCCTCGTGTGGGGTTGTTCGCCCGTGAAGGGGCAGGACAGGGTGCGCGCTGGTGGAGGTTAGTGAGGTCACACACCGGGCCGTGGCGCCTGGTGCGCTGGGCGCTTCCACCTCAACCTTCGTAGCAAACCCAGCGGGGTTCTGTGCCTGCGCACCGTGGTTCCTGCGTTCATTTACTGTCCCGTTTCTCACTCCGGAAAGTGTGGCTTTGAGTTTGATCTGCAGGAGTAGGACGGGCACAGCGGGTGTCTGGTCTTCCTCGCACCATAAATCGCAGAGCGAGCCCTCTGTGGTCTCTGGATACAGTATACCAAAGTTAGATTAACTGTACTCCTTCTCACAAGCCGGTCCAACGTTTGCAGCAGTGAAAAAGCCCTAAGTGTCAGGGCCTTTGGCGAAGCCTGTGTAAGGGAATAAACACTTTCCCCAGTTTTCCAGGCGCAAACTGATGGTTTTGGAGCATTAAGGTCTGGTCGGATGGGGCAGGATGGCTGCGTTGACACGTCTTATTTAATCCACATCATAGGTAAGGTGACCACTTATCTTTTTACAGGTTGAAATTGTTACATTTTGGCCGGGCGCGGTGGCTCACGCCTGTAATCCCAGCACTTTGGGAGGCCGAGGCAGGTGGATCACGAGGTCAGGAGATCGAGACCATCCTGGCTAACACAGTGAAACCCCGTCTCTACTAAAAAAATACAAAAAATCAGCCGGGCGTGGTGACGGGCGCCTGTAGTCCCAGCTACTCAGGAGGCTGAGGCAGGAGGATGGCGTGAACCCGGGAGGCGGAGCTTGCAGTGAGCCGAGATCGCGCCAGTGCACTCCAGCCTGGGCGACAGAGCGAAACTACGTCTCAAAAAAAAAAAAAAAGAAAGAAAAGAAATTGTTACATTTTATATATATGTAAGTTGAAATGGAAGTATATATTGCAAGCATTATAAACGTATGCACCAATATGTATAAATCCATGATTTACAGGGATATAGATGCAGATGGAGCCGTGGGCCCAGTTCATTGCCCTGGGGTGAGTCACATGCTGAAGGGACAGGGGACTGTTGATCTTTTAACTGGGTGCCCAAAATGTTAGGAAGCCTGAGCCCTGAGGCCCCAGCTTTCACTAAGTGGGAAAAAATTCCCTTAATTAGCTTAGAAACTCCAATAGCGTAGTGCTGCCTCCACTGCTGAAAACAGCCAACCTTGATATCAGGTCTGGTCCCAAGAAACAACGTTGATATCAGGTCTGGTCCCAAGAAACAACGTTGATATCAGGTCTGGTCCCAAGAAACACTGTGTGTTTTTTTTTGTTTTTTTTTGTTTTTTTTTTTTTGAGACATAGTCTCGCTCTGTCGCCCAGGCTAGAGTGCAGTGGCGCGATCTCGACTCACTGCAAGCTCCACCTTCCGGGTTCACGCCATTCTCCTGCCTCAGCCTCCTGAGTAGCTGGGACTACAGGCGCCCGCCACCACGCCCGGTTAATTTTTTGTATTTTTAGTAGAGACAGGGTTTCACCGTGTTAGCCAGGATGGTCTCGATCTCCTGACCTCGTGATCCGCCTGCCTCAGCCTCCCAAAGTGCTGGGATTACAGGCATAAGCCACTACGCCCGCCCCAGAAACATTGTTCTTTCCTTTTCTCTTAGATTGTTATTTTATCCCTCTTTTCTCAGGAATGAGGAAAAAGGTTGCTATTTTAACTGTGAGTGTGTGGGAACTGGAGTACTGGGTAGCACTCTTCAAAGGTTCAGTTGAAGTCCGGGCAATTAGTCACCTCTGGATTTTTTTTTTTTGAAATGGAGTCTCACTCTGTTGCCATGCAGGAGTGCAGTGGTGTGATCTCGGCTCACTGCAACCTCTGCCTCCCGGGTTCAAGCGATTCTCCTGCCTCAGCTTCCCGAGTAGCTGGGACTACAGGCACGCACCACCACGCCCAGCTAATTTTTGTATTTTTAGTAGGGATGGGGTTTCACCATGTTGGCCAGGATGGTCTCAAACACCTGACCTCAGGTAATCCACCCACCTGGGCCTCCCAAAGTGCTGCGATTACTGGCATGAGCCACTGTGCCAGGCCCCTCCTCTGGATGTTTCTGAGAGTGGCTGGCTTTGTAACATGTATACTTCACTTTTGTATAATACTTTGTATATACTTCCGTTTCATATAATACTTTGTATATACTTCAGTTTCGCCACTCAGATGCCATAGGAAGTGAGGGGTGCATTGTTTTTGTTTGGGATTTTGTTCTAAAGATTACAGTATAACCAAACATACAATAAGCTATATTAACTCATTTTTTGGTGGGGGGGTAGAGACAGGGTATTTCTTTGTCACCCAGGCTGGAGTATAATGGTGAAGTCATGGCTCACTGCAGTCTGGACAGCCTGTGCTCAAGCCATCCTCCCACCTCAGCCCCCCAAGTAGCTTGGAGTACAGGTGCGCCACGCTACACCTGGCTAATTTTTTACTTTTTGTAGAGATGAGGTCTCACAATGTTGCCCTGCTGGTCTCAAATTTCTGCGTTCAGGCAATCCTCCTGCCTCAGACTCCCAAAGTGCTGGAATTACAGGCATGAGCCACTGCACCCAGCCTTTATTACCTTTTTTTTTTCTTTTTTTTTTTAAGATAGGTTCTCCTTCTGTTGTCCAGGCTGGAGTTTAGTGGCACGGTCTTGACTCACTGCAACCTCCGCCTCCCAGGTTCAAGCAATTCCCGCACCTTAGCCTCCCGAGTAGATGGGATTTACAGGTGCTCGCCACCACTCCTGGCTAATTTTTGTATTTTTAGTAGAGACCAGGTTTTGCCATGTTGGTCAGGCTGGTCTCAAACTCCTGACCTCAAGTGATCCGCCCACCTCAGCCTCCCAAAGTGCTGGGATTACAGGCATGAGCCTCCATGCCCTGCAGTATTATCTTTTTTAAAGAGAGAGTACTTGAGGCCAGGAGTTTGAGACCAGTCTGGGCAATGTGAGACACCGTCTCTACAAAAATTACAAAAAATTAGCCCAGTTTGGTGGTACACACTTGTGGTCCCAGCTACTCAGGAGGCTGATGTGGGAGGATCACTTAAGCCTTGCAATTAGAGGCCGCAGTGAGCCATGATCACACCACGGCACTCCAGCCTGGGCAACAGAGACCTCATCTCAAAAAATAAATAAATAGGCCGGGCACAGTGGCTCGTGCCTGTAATCCCAGCACTTTGGGAGGCCAAGGCAGGTGGATCACCTGAGGTCAGGAGTTCAAGACCGGCCTGACCAACATGGTGAAACCCCATCTCTACTAAAAATACAAAAAATAAGCCAGGTGTGGTGGCTAACGCCTGTAATCCCAACTACTCTGGAGGCCGAGACAGGAGAATCGCTTGAACCTGGGAGGCAGAGGTTGCAGTGAGCCGAGATTGCGCCATTGTACTCCAGCCTGGGCAACAGGAGCAAAATTCCATCTCAAAAAAAAAAATAATAATAATAATAATACAAAAATTAGCTGGGGGAGGCCAGGCGCGGTGGCTCATGCCTGTAATCCCAGCACTTTGGGAGGCCGAGGCGGGCAGATCACCTGAGGTCAGGAGTTCAAGACCATCCTAACCAACATTGTGAAACCCCATCTCTACTAAAAATACAAAAAATGAGCTGGGCATGGTGGCACGTGCCTGTAGTCCCAGCTACTCGGGAGGCTGAGACAGGAGAATCGCTTAAAACCAGGAGGTGAAGGCTACAGTGAGCCCAGATCACGCCACCACACTCCAGCCTGGCGACAGAGCGAGACTCTGTCTCAAAAAAAAAAAAAAACAATTAGCTGGGGCTAGTGGTGGGCGCCTGGGCGACAAAAGTGAAACTCCATCTCAAATAAATAACAGAAACACACCCTTTCTTATCTGTTGTGCATACTTAACTAAAAGAAACACACCCAAAAGTATTTACAAATAAAGAAGATGGGGGAGGAAAAGAAAATCTTTAGCTTATTAATAAAAGAATGGGTCTATTTGAAAAGTACAAATGCTAAAAAAAAAAAGTGCTTCAATGTATATAGCTTGCCTTTTAAGTCTGTAGCCATTTAAATTATAAGAATTTCATCATTTGCTGGCCAGGCGCAGTAACTCACACCTGTAATCCCAGCACATTGGGAGACCGAGGTGGGCGGATCACGAGGTCAAGAGATGGAGACCATCCTGGCCAACATGGTGGAACCCCATCTCTTATTAGCCGAGCATGGTGGTGTGCACCTGTAGTCCCAGCTACTTGAGAGGCTGAGGCAGGAGAATCGCTTGAACCCAGGAAGCGGAGGTTGTAGTGAGCCGATATTGTGCCACTGCACTCCAGCCTGGCGACAGAGCGAAACTCAGTCTCAAAAAATAAAAATAAAAAATGTCATCACTTGCCAAGCCTGGTGGCTCATGCCTGTAATCCCAGCACTTTGTGAGGCTGAGGCAGGAGGATTACTTGAGTCCAAAAGATTGAAGCTGCAGTGAGCTGTGATTGGGCCACTGCCCTCTAGCCTGGGCAACAGAGCAAGACCCTATTCAACAATAACAAAAAAAGGAATTAGGTGATGGGAAATGCCTACCATTTGAATCTATAAAGATAAGCAAGGCAGGGTGCAGTGGCTCACGCCTATAATGCCAACATTTTGGGAGGCTGAGACAGGAGGATCGCTTGAGCTCCAGAGTTCAAGACCAGCCTGGGCAACATAGTGAGATCTAGTCTCTACAAAAATAAACAAATTTAGCTGGGTGTGGTGGTGCGTGCCTGTAGTCTCAGCTACATGGGAGGCTGAGGTGGGAGGATTGAGTGAGCTCAGGAGGTTGAGACTGCAATGAGCCATGATTACGCCACTGCACTGCGGCCTAGGTGACAGCAAAACCTGTCTCAAAAAAGAGAGAGAGAGAGATAAGCAAGAGTTACTCATGATGCTTGGACTTGGGGGAAGATGCCAACTCTGGCACATGTCAGTTACTACATAAAAAGTCAAGTGCAATGTCAAATCCAGAGCATCAAGAGGAAAAAAAGTTCAGTTCCCAAGAGAACATGGATAGCTTAATAATGTAAAACTTGGCCGGGCAGGGTGGCTCATGCCTGTAATCCCAGCACTTTGGGAGGCCGAGGTGGGTGGATCACAAGGTCAGGAATTCAAGACCAGCCTGGCCAACTTATTGAAACCCTATCTCTACTAAAAAAAAAAATACAAAAACAATAGCCAGGCTTGGCAGCTGGCGCCTGTAATTCTAGCTACTCAGGAGGCTGAGGCAGAGAATTGCTTGAACCCGGGAGGCGGAGGTTGCAGTGAGCCCAGATCACGCCATTGCACTCTAGCCTGGGTGACAGCGAGATGCCGCCTCAAAAAAAAAAAAAAAAAAAAAAAAGGCCGGGCACGGTGGCTCACACCTGTAATCCCAGCACTTTTGGAGGCCAAGGTGGGCGGATCATGAGGTCAGGAGATCGAGACCATCCTGGCTAACATGGTGAAACCCCGTCTCTACTAAAAATACAAAAAATTAGCTGGGCGTGGTGGCGGGCGCCTGTAGTCCCAGCTACTCGGGAGGCTGAGGCAGGAGAATGGCGTGAACCTGGGAGGAAGAAGTTGCAGTGAGCCGAGATCGTGCCACTGCACTCCAGCCTGGACAACAGAGCAAGACTCCATCTCAAAAAAAAAAAATTAGCCGGATGTAGTGGTGTGAACCTATAGTCTCAGCTACTCAGGAGGCTCGCCCGCCTTGGCCTCCCAAAGTTCTGGGATTACAGGTGTGAGCCACCGTGCCCAGCCTGTATTTTCTGTAGAGATGGAATTTTGCCATGTTGCTCAGGCCAGTCTCGAACTCCTGGGCTCAAGCAATCCTCCCACCTTGTCCTCCCAAAGTGCTGGGATTACAGGTGTGAGGCACCATGCCCAGCCGCAACAGTAATTTTCACAAATTACTGAAGTCAAGTAGCCAATTTTGATTCATGAAAGTGATATCACTGTAATTCTTCTAAACTTTCACTGAAATGCATGCTCCCTTTGCAGAGGGAAAGCTGGGTTAAGAGATGTCCAGGATGGTCGGGCTCGGTGGCTCATGCCTATAATCCCAGCACTTTGGGAGGCCAAGGCAGGCAGATCACCTGAGGTCGGGAGTTTGAGACCAGCCTGACCAACATGGAGAAACTCCATCTCTACTAAAAATACAAAATTAGCCAGGCGTGGTGGTGCATGCCTGTAATCCCAGCTACTAGGGAGGCTGGGGCCAAGCTGGTCTTGCACACCTGACCTCAGGCGATCTGCCTGCCTCCACCTCCCAAAGTGCTGGGATTGCAGGCTTGAGCCACCGTGCCCAGCCCTATGAATTATTTCAAATGCGTTAGATCCACCTAATCAAAATTCTGTCATTCAACATATAATTTTGAGTGCCAACTATGTCTCAAGGTCAGTGTTCAGCCCTACAGTAAACAACATGGACAGAGCTGCTGCCTTCACAGAACCTCCATCTAAGGAGCAGGTGAATATACCACCAGGCCGTAATTGGTTGCTTAGCTCCAAAATAGCGAATTTAGGGTCAATTAAGATAATAATCTACTAACTGTAATGACATCTCTAGAGTATTGTGTCTTTTAAAGTACAGTTATAGCCTGGGCAACGTGGGGAAACCCCGTCTCTACAAAAAAAAAAATTTTTTTTCTTTGAGACAGTCTTATTTTTTCACCCAGGCTGGAGTGCAGTGGGGCGATCTCAGCTCACTGCAACCTCAAACTCCCGGGTTCAAGCAATTCTCATGTCTCAGCCTCCTAAATAGCTGGGATTACAGGCGTACACCACCACGCATGGCTAATTTTTGCAATTTTAGTAAAGACGGGATTTTGCCATGTTGGCCAGGCTGGTCTCGAACTCCTGGCCTCAAGTGATCTGCCTGCCTTGGCCTCCCATAGTGCTGGGATTACAGGTGTGAGCCACCGCACCTGACCCCTCCTGTCTCTCTTAACACACATTGCCTCCTTATAGAGGTTCAGGCACCATGCTGAGCCTGGGAGGTAATACAAAAATGAATGAGTGGACCTTGTGGGTTCCATGCTAGTTAAAGACACCCTATGAGACCAGCCTGGCCAACATGGTGAAACCTTGTGTCTACTAAAAATACAGAAAATAGCCAGGCATGGTGGTGTGTGCCTGTAATTCCAGCTACTGGGGATGCTGAGGCAGGAGAATCGCTTGAACCCAGGAGGTGGAGGTTGCAGTGAGCTGAGATCACACCACTGCACTCCAGCTTGGGCGATAGAGTGAGACTCCATCTCAGAAAAAAAAGACACCCCGGGCCAGGCAAGGTGGGTCACACCTGTAATCCCAGCACTTTGGGGAACAAGGTGGGAGAATCACTTGAGTCCGGCAGTTTGAGACCAGCCTGGCCAACATAATGAGACCGCATCTTCACAAAAAATATGTTTTAAAAAGCTGGGCATGGTGAAGTGTGCCTGTAGTCCCAGCTACTTGGGAGGCTGAAGTGGGAGTATTGCCTGAGCCCAGGAGTTCGAGGCTGCAGGCTGCAGTGAACTATGATCACACCACTGCACTCCAGTGTGGGTGACAGAGGGAGACCCTGACTCATTAAAAAAAAAAAAAAAAAAGAAGGCTGATTGTGGTGGCTCACGCTTGTAATCCTAGCACTCTGGAAGACTGAGACAGGAAGATTACTTGAGCCCAGTGGTTCAAGATTAGCCTGGGCTGGCCGGGCTCAGCGGCTCAAGCCTGTAATCCCAGGGAAGAGAATTGCTTGAACCCAGGAGGTGGAGGTTGCAGTGAGCTGAGGTCGTGCCATTGCACTCCAGCCTGGGTGACAAGAGCAAAGTTCCGTCTCAAAAAAAATATAGCCTGGGCAACATAGTGAGACCTCAAGACCCCATCTCTATTAAAAGAAAACAAAGTATCCAGCTTAAAAACATAATACTGGCCAGGCACAGTGGCTCACACCTGTAATCCCAGCACTTTGGGAGGCCGAGGTCAGATCGAGACCATCCTGGCCAACATGGTGAAACCCCGTCTCTAATACAAAAATTAGCCAGGCATGGTGGTGGGCACCTGTAATCCCAGCTACTTGGGAGGCTGAGGCAGGAGAATGGCTTGAACCCAGGAGGCGGAGGTTGCAGTGAGCCGAGATGGCGCCACTGCACTCCAGCCTGGGTGACAGAGACTCCCTCTAAAAAACAAAACAAAAAAACCATAATACTAAGTGAAAAGAAACAGAATGAGGAAACACAGACCTGCGTGAGTTAGGATTGCAGTTCCCAAACTGTGTTGAGGCACCTCAGAGTGCCATAGTGAATTCTCAGGGACGCTGTAAGATGCTTTAAATTGTTTGAGGGAAATATATGGGTACTCAACATGTCAGATACCTCATAAACTATTCAAGGGAGTTCAAAGTTTCAAAGTTACATTGAACTACTTTTCTTTCAATGACATCTTTTTGCAAAGCTGGGTTTACAGCAGTTTCTGTGATAAAAAGCAAACACCTGACAAAAATCAGCATGGATAAAGTGATTTAGGTGATATCAGACAATCTGATTAAGGTTTGGGAAGGTGTGCAGAGTCTAACAAACATGCATCCATTAATAAGCAATTGTAGTTATTTAACAATTTTTTTTTCTATCTATGTGTTGTCGATTTTCTAAACTGCTACTATTTTTTTAGGACATAAATAGGTATTATATTTTGGTCCAAGCAGGTGGTGGGGGCAGGGCAAGTTAAAAAAAAAATTGGTCCAAGAAACAGAAGTGTTAGGTATTTGTTTTGAAAAAAAATAACATATGCATACACTCATGAAACCATCACCATAATCAAGATAGTGGACATATCATCATCTCCAAGTTTCCTCATGCCCCTTTGTAATTCCCTTCCTAACTGCCCCACCTCATCCCCAAGCAACCACGGATCTGCTTTGTTACTATAGCATACAAAATATAACAAAGTATACAAAATATAACAAAGTGTACAAAATATACTTTGTTATATTTTGCCTTTTTTTTTTTTTTTTTTTTTTTGAGATGGAGTGTTGCTCTGTTGCCCAGGCTGGAGTGCAATGGCGTGGTCTCGCTCACTGCAACCTCCGCCTCCCGGGTTCAAGCGATTCTCCTGCCTCAGCCTCCCGAGTAGCTGGGACTACAGGCAAGTGCCACCACGCCTGGCTAATTTTTTGTAGAGACGGGGTTTCACCGTGTTAGCCAGGATGGTCTCGATCTACTGACCTCGTGATCCACCCGCCTCAGCCTCCCAAAGTGCTGGGATTACAGGCGTGAGCCACCGCGCCTGGCATATTTTGCCTTTTTAAGAGTTTTATATAAGTGCATCTTAGTATGAACTCTTCTAAATTCCTTCTTTTTTTTTTTTTTTTTTTTTTTTTTTTTTGAGACGGAGTCTCGCTCTGTCGCCCAGGTCGGACTGCGGACTGCAGTGGCGCAACCTCGGCTCACTGCAAGCTCCGCTTCCCGGGTTCACGCCATTCTCCTGCCTCAGCCTCCCGAGTAGCTGGGACTACAGGCGCCCGCCACCGCGCCCGGCTAATTTTTTGTATTTTTAGTAGAGACGGGGTTTCACCTTGTTAGCCAGGATGGTCTCGATCTCCTGACCTCATGATCCACCCGCCTCGGCCTCCCAAAGTGCTGGGATTACAGGCGTGAGCCACCGCGCCCGGCCAATTCCTTCTTTCTTTTCTTTATTTTTGAGACGGAGTCTCGCTCTGTCGCCCAGGCTGGAGTGCAGTGGTGCGATCTCGGCTCACTGCAACCTCCACCTCCCGGTTTCAAGTGATTCTCTTGCCTCAGCCTCTGAAGTAGCTGGGATTACAGACGTGCACCATCACGCCCAGCTAATTTTTGTATTTTTGGTAGAGATGGGGTTTTGCCATGTTGGCCAGGCTGGTCTTGAACTCCTGAGCTCAAGTGATCCACCCGCCTCAGCCTCCCAAAGTGCTGGAATTACAAGCATGAGCCACCAAGACTAGCTCTCTCTAAGTTCTTTCACTCTATAAAAGTTATTGGAAGCCGGGCGCAGTGGCTCACACCTATAACCCCAGCACTTTGGGAGGCCGAGGCGGGCGGATCACGAGGTCAGGAGATTGAGGCTATCCTGGCTAACACGGTGAAACCCCGCCTCTACTAAAAATACAAAAAAAAGTTAGCTGGGCATGGTGGCGGGCGCCACTTGGGAGGCTGCGGCAGGAGAATGGCGTGAACCTGGGAGGCAGAGGTTGCAGTGAGCCGAGATCGCGCCACCGCACTTCAGTGTGGGTGACAGAGCGAGACTCCGTCTCAAAAAAAAAAAAGGCCTGGATTACGGTGGCTCACACCTGTAATCCCAGCACTTTGAGAGGCCGAAGCAGGTGAATCACCTGAGGTCAGGAGTTCAACACCAGCCTAGCCAATGTGGTGAAACTCTGCCCATGTTAAAAATATAAAAATTAGCTGGGCATGGTGGCGGGTGCCTGTAGTCCCAGCCACTTGGGAGGCTGAGGCAGGAGAATTGCTTGAACCCAGGAGGCGGAGGTTGCAGTGAGCTGAGATCGTGCCATTGCTCCAGCCTGGGTGACAAGAGCAAAAAACTCCATCTCAAAAAAAAAAATTATTGGAGATTCACCAGGTTTGTTCCATGTTTCAATAGGTCATTCCTTTTCTTATAGTTGTAAGGTAAGATGTACATATCATAGAACCAACCTCTTCAAAGTGTGCAATTCAGTGGTTTTTAGTACATTCACAAGATTGTGCAGACATCAACACTATCTAATTCAAGAAGCTTTATTTTGGGCCGGGTGTGGTGGCCATGTCTGTATTCCCAACACTTTGGGAGGCACAGCCGGGTGGATCACCTGAGGTCAGGAGTTCCGGACCAGCCTGGCCAACATGATGAAATCCCGTTTCTACTAGAAATACATAATATAGCCGGGCGCGGTGGCAGGCGCCTGTAATCCCAGTTACTCGGAAGGCTGAGGCAGGTGAATCGCTTGAACCTGGGAGGCAGAGGTTGCAGTGAGCCAAGTTCACACCACTGCACTCCAGGCTGGACAGAGTCAGACTCCTGTCTCAAAAAAAAAAACCTTTATTCCTTTATTTCATTACCTCTAAAGGAAACCCCATAGCCATTACCAGTCACTATTCCACCCATCCCCTAGCCTTTAGCTCCTAAAAACCACGAATGTATTTTCTGTCTCTATGAAGTTGCCTATCTTGGTTTTTCATATAAATTAATCATAAAAATATGTGGCCTATTGTGTCTGGCTTATTTCATATAGCATAATATTTTCAAGGTTCATCCATGTTGTACCACACGTATAAGTACAGTACTTCTTTTTTTCTCTTCTTTTCTTTTTTTTTTTTTTTTTGAGATAAGGTTTTGCTCTGTCACCCAGGCTGGAATGCAGTGGCCCGATCTCAGCTCATTGCAACCTCCACCTCCTAGGCTCAAGCGATCTTCCTGCCATAGCCTCCTGAGTAGGTGGGACTACAGGCATGCACCACCATGGCCAGCTACTTTTTTGTAGAGATGGGGTCTCACTATATTGCCTGGCCAACATGGCGAAACTCTGTGTGTACTAAAAATACAATAATTAGTGGGGCGTGGTGGCACATGCCTGTAATTCCAGCTACGTAGGAGGCAGAGGCACAAGAATCGCTTGAACCCAGGAGGCTGAGGTTGTAGTGAGCTGAGATCACACCACTGCACTCCAGCCTGGGTAACAGAGTGAGACTCTGTCTCAAAAAAAACTTTGTCTAGTAATTCCAACATCTGAGCTTCCTCAGTGGAAGTTTTTATTTACCGGTTTTTTTCTTCTTTTTTTCTTTCCTGTGTATGGGCTATGCTTTCTAGTTTATTTATTTTTTGAGATGGAGCCTCCCTCTGTCACCCAGGCTGGAGTGCAGTGGCATGATCTTGCCTCACTGCAGCTTCCGCCTCCTGAGTTCAAGTGATTCTGCCACCTCAGCCTCTTGAGTAGCTGGGATTACAGGCGTGCGCCACCACGCCCAGCTAATTTTTGTATTTTTAGTAGAGACAGAGTTTCACCATGTTGGCCAGGCTGGTCTCGAACTCCTGACCTCAGGTGATCCACCCACCTTGGCCTCCCAAAGTGCTGAGATTACAAGCGTGAGCCACTGTGTCTGGCCTACTTTCTAGTTTCTTTGCATTTTTTAATCTGGACATTTTAAATAATGTGGCAACTCTGAAATTCAGATTGTCTCCTTCCCAGGGTTTGTTGTGGCTGCTGTTTGTTTTTATTATCACTGCTGTTTAGTGACTTCTTTTTGTTTGTTTGTTTGTTTCTGAGATAAGGTCTCCCTCTTGTTGTCTAGGCTGGATTGTAGTGCATGATCATAGCTTACTGCACCTCAAACTCCTGGGTTCAAGCCATCTTCCCATGTCAGCCTCCCAAAGGCATGAGCTACTATGAGCCTGTTTAGCAACTTTTCTGAACTAATTCTATAAAGTGTGTATTCTTTGTTGTGTGTGGCCACTGAAGGCCCTGCTTCATTAGCTTACTGACCAGATAACGGTTAGGCAAAGGTTCCCTTAAATGCCTTGAACCATTACTTCTTCCAGCATTTGCCTAATGTGTGTCCATGTATGTTGGAGAATACCTAGAACACTCCCTCAGGTAGTTCACAACTGTGCCTTAGCCTTCACTTTTTCCTTGCCCAAAGCCTGAAGGTCCCCCACAAATAAGAGCTTAAGGCCTTCTTGGTTCTCTTCGTTGTTGTTGTTGTTGAGACGGAGTTTTGCTCTTGTTGCCCAGGCTGGAGTGCAATGGTGTGATGTCAGCTCACTGCAACCTCCATCTCCAGGATTCAAGCGATTCTCCTGCCTCAGCCTCCCGAGTACCTGGTATTACAGGCACACGCCACCACGCCCAGCTAACTTTTTTTGTATTTTTAGTAGAGACAGGATTTCACCACATTGGCCAGGCTGGTCTCAAACTCCTGACCTCAAGTGATCCACCCGCCTCACCCTCCGAAAGTGCTGGGATTACAGGCATGAGCCACCACACCCGGCCTTTTCTTGGTTCTTTCTTGGGCATGCTCACAGCCCTATGCATGGGCATGCATATGGCATTCCAGATATCCAGCAGTGTGTCAGAACTTTTCATAGACATCTCATTCCCCAGCTTTTCCTTTCATGCTTTTTGGTCTGTTGCTTGTTTACTCCAGCTCTTATCACCATCTCAACCAGCTATGATGTTAAACAACTGCCACTGATTTTTTGTGTTTTTAAAAATTTTGAGACTGGGTCTCGCTCTGTTGCCCAGATTGGAGTGCAGTGGCACAATCATGGCTCACTGAAGCCTCAACCTCCGGCTAAAACAATCTCAGCAACTGCTCAAGCAGTCTTCCCACCTTGGCCTCCCAAAGTGCTCAGATTACAGGCGTGAGCCACCGCACCTGTCCTTGAAATGCTTTTTCCTTTGACTTTCTGGAATCTTCTCTTGGCTCTGCTCCTGCCTCGATGGCTTCTCCTATTCAGTCTTGCTAGTTCCTCCTGGTTCCCCTGAGCCCTATATCTTAGCAATGTCCCACGTCTTAGTCCTAGAACCTCTTCTTTATTTACATCACTTGCTAGGTGATCTCTTTCATTTCATTTTATTTATTTATTTATTTGATATGGTCTTGCTCTGTTGTCCAAGCTGGACCAAAGTGGCACAATCTCGACTCACTGCAACCTCCACCTCCCGGGTTCAAGTGATTCTCCTGCCTCAGCCTCCCGAGTAGCTGGGATTACAGGCATGTGCCACCATACCCAGCTAATTTTTTTTCTTTTTTGAGACGCAGTTTTGCTCTTGTTGCCCAGGCTGGAGTGCAATGGTGCGATATCAGCTCACTGCAAACCTCTGCCTCCCGGGTTGAAGAGATTCTCGTGCCTCAGCCTCCCAAGTAGCTGGGATTACAGGCATGCACCACCATGCCCGGCTAATTTTGTATTTTTAGTAAAGACGGGCTTTCACCATGTCGTCCAGGCTGGTCTTGAACTCCTGACCTTAGGTGATCTGCCTGCCTTGGCCTCCTAAAGTGCTGGGATTACAGGTGTAGGCCACCATGCCCAGCCTTCTTTATCTTTAAAAAAAAAAAACAAAAAACAAAAAAACAAAAACAGTATACTGATGGCTCCTAAATTTGCACTGAGAAAATAAAACTAGGCTGGGAGCGGTGGCTTATGCCTGTAATCCCAGCACTTTGGGAGGCAGAGACAGGAGGATCCAGACCCTGTCTCTAAAAAAGAAAAAAAGGAGGCTGGGCACAGTGGCTCACGCCTGTAATCCCAGCATTTTGGGAGGCCAAGGCGGGCAGATCATTTGAGATCAGGAGTTCCAGACCAGCCTGGCCGACACAGTGAAACCCCATCTCTACTAAAAATACAAAAACTAGCCCTCGTGGTGGTGCACGCCTGTAATCCCCACTACTCAGGAGGCTGAAGCGGAAGAATCACTTGAACCCAGGAGACGGAGGCTGCAGTGAGCGGAGATTGTGCCACTGCACTCCAGCCTGGGCGACAGAGCAAGACTCCGCCTCGGGGAAAAAAAAAAGAGAAAAGACAAATAGCCCAAGGGCAGTCTGAGCTATGTAAAGTATGCAAAATTTATCAGTCCCAGAGAGAAAGGAGCATCTCAGCTCAGTCACATCCTCCACCCACCCACCCATGCCCAGGGGCAGTTGTTTAAAGAGATGTTGGGCCAGGCACGGTGGTTCATGCCTGTAATCCCAGCACTTTGGGAGGCCCAGGTGGGTGGATCACTTGAGGTCAGGAGTTCGAGACCAACCTGACCAACATGGTGAAACCCCGTCTCTACTAAAAATACAAAAATTAGCCGGGCATGGTGGCACGCACCTGTAATCCCAGCTACTCAGGAGGCTGAGGCAGGAGAATCGCTTGAACCCAGGAGGCAGAGGTTGAAGTGAGCCGAGATCACGCCATTGCACTCCAACCTGAGCAACAAGAGTGAAACTCCATCTCAAATAACCTTCTCTTGGGGTCTGGATTGGGACCCCTTTGTGGTAATAAAGGAGGGACACTAATATTAAAGCTGGCTCAACTGGGTCTGAGCAGAGTAATTTTTACCTTAGATATTTGTGTTTTGGGTGTGCACTTTCAGTTTACATTGGAAGCTGTCTCCCCAATTAAAAAAAATCATGTTTTGAGGAAGATTTTCTCTGAGATATAGATACAATTAATTTGAACAAGTCTGGAATACCTAAACTTTCATCCAACTTTCCACAGATTACTAGGTCATTGGAATATTGTCCATTTTATTTATGTATTTATTTTTAGAGACAGAGTCTCACTCTTTGTCACCCAGGCTGAAGTGCAATGGCCCCATCATGGCTCACAAGCAATCCTCCCACCTCAGCCTCCTGAGTAGCTGGGACTAGAGGCACACGCCATCACTCCCAGCTAACTTTTAAAATTATTTGTAGAGACAGGGTTTCACCATGTTTCCCAGGCTCTTCTCCAACTCCTGGGCTCAAGCAATCTGCTCACCTTCCGCCTCCCAAAGTGCTGGGATTACAGGCATGAGCCACTGCACCCAGCCTCCTGCTTCTTTTTATGCCTGGTAATCTTTGTTTGGATAACAGACATTGTCAACTTTACCTTTTTAGGAGCTGGGTCTTTTTTAATTCTTATCAATCTTTGTTATTCCTAAGGATCTTTTAGGGTCTTCTTTTATGATGTGTAAAGTGAGCCTGGAGCAATACTAAGTCTAGGGCTAGTTACTCCCCACAACTGAGACAAGACATTCCTGTGTACTCTATGCCCTGTGAATTATGAGTTTTCCAGTCTGGTTGGTGGGTGCAGGCACTATTTTCAGAAGCTCCATGTGAGTGTCAGGACCTGTTCCCTCCAATCCATTTGGATGGTTCTTTTCCTGGCCTTAGGTAGCTGCCTCATATGCATGTGTTGATAAGCACTCCGCTAAATACTGAAGGGGGACCCTCTGCAGATCTCTGTGATTCTCTGTGCTCCTCTCTGCTGACATTCTGTCCTTTTAACTCCAGCTGCCCTTGTCTCTCTGGACCACCTCAACTTAGGGAGTCCACCAGGCGCTGCCTCAGTTTCCCGTTCCAGTGCCATAGCATGGAAGCTCTCCAGGCAGTGTGCTGGGACAGTTGTAGTGCTCACGTTGTTTCCCATCTTTCAGGGATCACTGTCCTTTGGTGCCTGATGTCTAATGTCTTAAAAATCATTGTTTCAGCCGGGCGCGGTGGCTCACACCTGTAATCTCAGCACTTTAGGAGGCCGAGGCGGGCAGATTACCTGAGGTCAGGAGTTCAAGACCAGCCCGGCCTACATGGTGAAACCCCATCTCTACTAAAAATATAAAAATTAGCCAGGCATGATGGCAGGTGCCCGTAACCCCAGCTACTCAGGAGGCTGAGGCAGGAGAATCACTTGAACCTGGGAGGCAGAGGTTGCAGTGAGCAGAGATCTTGCCATTGTGAGATTGTGCCTGGGCAACAGAGTGAGACTCCGTCAAAAAAAAAAAAAATCATTGTTTCATGTATTTTGGTTTTTTTGTGGGGGGCAAAGTTGGTTGTTTCCTGTGAGAGGACAAAGTTGGTCCCTGTTATTCCACTTTGACTGAGAGTGCATGACACCTTTTTTCTTGTAGAGACAGGGACTTGCCCAGACTGGTCTCAAACTCCTAGCCTCAAGGAATCCTCCCACCTCAGCTTCCCAAAAGTGCTGAGATTACAGGCATGAGCCACCATGCCCAGCCCATGATAACTTTTGACAGTGCGACCAACAGAATTTGCCAATGAAAATGGAGGGGAATCAGCTGGGCATGGTGGCTCATGCCTGTAATCCCAGCACTTTGGAAGGTCAAGGCAGGTGGATCACCTGAGGTCAGGAGTTCGAGACCAGCCTGACCAAGATGGTGAAACCCCGTCTCTACTAAAAATACAAAAATTAGCTGAGTGTGGTGGTGGGCACCTGTAATCCCAGCTACTTGAGAGGCTGAGGCAGGCAAATCGTTTGAACCCAGAAGGCGGAGGTTGCAATGAGTTGAGACCACACCATTGCACTCCAGCCTGGGCGACAGAGCAAGGCTCTATCAAAAAAAAAAAAAAAAGAAAAAAGAAAAAGAAAATGGAGGGGAATTAAGCATGATATATCTGCTCTTTGACTCAAGTAACAAAATGTATTTTAATTTTTATTCTTTTTTTTTTTTTTTTTTTTTAGACAGAGTGTCGCTCTGTCACCCAGGCTGGAGTGCAGTGGTGCAATCTCAGCTCACTGCAACCTCCGCCTCCCGGGTTCAAGCGATTCTCCCGCCTCAGCCTCCTGAGTAGCTATGATTAGAGGTGTGCACCACCACACCCAGCTAATTTTTGTATTTTTAGTAGAGATGGGGTTTCACCGTGTTGGCCAGGCTGGTCTCAACTCCTGACCTCAAGTGATCCGCCCACCTCGCCCTCCCAAAGTGCTGGGATTACAGGCGTGAGCCACCACGCCTGGCCACAAACTGTATTGTGATGCCATTGGCTGAGATGAAGGAGACAGTGGGGGAGCATCTGAGCAAAGGAAATAGAACAAATCTGTTTGGATGGATAAGCAGTATGTGACACCCACATGAATGTCAAACAGGTCATTACAGTACGTTTGAGTCTGGTGTTCCAGAGAAAGGTCTAAGCTGAAGGCCTAGAGGATCTTCCAAATATTTGCAATAATTAAGGCTACAGGAGAAGAGGAAGTCACTTAGGAAGAGAGGATCAGACAGGATTATACCCAAGGATATTCTAATATTTGGAAGTTTGATACAAGTGGAGGAGTAGCCAGAGATGGAGAAAAAAAAAAAAAAAAAAAAAACGAGAGGCCGGGCGTGGTAGCTCAAGCCTGTAATCCCAGCACTTTGGGAGGCCGAGATGGGTGGATCACGAGGTCAGGAGTTCCAGACCAGCCTGGCCAATATGGTGAAACCTCATCTCTACTAAAAATACAAAAATTAGGCTGGGCGCGGTGGCTCACGCCTGTAATCCCAGCACTTTGGGAGGCCAAGGCGGGCGGATCACGAGGTCAGGAGTTCGAGACCAGCCTGACCAACATGGTGAAACCCCGTCTCTACTAAAAATACAAAAATTAGCCGGGCGTGGTGGTGCATGCCTATAATCCCAGCTACTTGGGAGCCTGAGGCAGGAGAATCGCTTGAACCCGGGAGGCGGAGGTTGCAGTTAACCGAGATCGCCCCACTGCACTCCAGCTTGGATGACAGAGCGAGACTCCGTCTCAAAAAAAAAAAAAAAAATTAGCTGGGCGTGGTGGTGCATGCCTGTAATCTCAGTTACTCAGGAGGCTAAGGCAGGAGAATCACTTGAACCCAGGAAGCAGAGGTTGCAGTGAGCCGAGATCGTGCCACTGCAGTCCAGCCTAGGTGACAGAGTGAGACTCCATCTTAAAAAAAAAGAAAGAAAGAAAAAGAAAAACCAAGAGAGTGAGAGGAAGAAATTGTGGGTTTCACTAGAAAGTCACAGGAGAGGGCAGAGAAGTGATTGCTGGTTTGGCAAGATTATTATTCATCAGTGGTCTGGTTAAGAGCAGTCCCAAAGACACAGGAGTGACAAACACCAAATTGAATTGAGTTGAATATGGTCTGGGACATGAGGAAGTGGAGTCTGAAGAAAGCCAGATGATTGGCCTTGTTGAGGAGCACAGTAATGGAATCATGCCAAGGGGAGTATATAGGGCCAAAATTCACAAGTAAATATATACATGGGAATTGACGACACAGTATCTGAAACAACCTAGGCAGCCATCAGTTGGGGAAGGGCTGAACAATGCTACATAATATCATGAACCAGTTAAAAAGGATGAGTTAAAAAGATGTTCTTATATATTAATATATGAAAAAACAGAAGCATCAAAACAATACTTCAAAAAAAGTAAAGGGGGGATTTCATCAATGTGAAACCCTGATTGTATTAAAAGTATGAGATTTCTCTGTATTTTTTCTTTAATATTCAGTCTTCATAGACTGTCAAAAATTGCCAATGCCGACTATATTGCAAGTCTTCGGGGCGGGGTATTGGGAAGTTTCCAATTAGCAATATCCACACCTTGGCTAAACCTCATTGGCTATGATACTGCCACTGCAAAAAGCATATTTCTTTTTTTTCAAGAATATTCTTTTTTTTTTTTTTTTTTTGGAGACAGGGTTTCCCTCTGTTGCCCAGGCTGGAGTGCAGTGGCGCGATCTTGGCTCACTGCAACCTCTGCCTTCTGGGTTCCAATGATTCTCCTGCCTCAGCCTCCCAAGTAGGGGACTTACAGGTGCCCGCCACCACGCCCGGCTAATTTTTTGTATTTTAGTAGAGAGGAGGTTTCACCGTGTTACCCAGGGTGGTCTCAAACCCCTGAGCTCAGGCAATCCACCTGCCTCGGCCTCCCAAATTGCTGGGATTACAGGCATGCACCACCATGCCCAGCCCTTTTTTTTTGAGACGGGAATTTCGCTCGTCTCCCAGGCTGGAGTGCAATGGCAGGATCTGGGCTTGCTGCAACCTCCGCCTCCTAGGTTTAAGTGGTTCTCCTGCCTCAGCCTCCCCAGTAGCTAGGATTACAGGCGCGTGTCACCACGCCCGGCTTTTTTTTTTTTTTTCGAGACAGAGTCTCACTCTATTACCCAGGCTGGAGTGCAGTGGTGCGATCTCTGCTCACTGCAACCTCCTCCTCCTGGCTTCAAGTGATTCTCCTGCCTCAGCCTCCCGAGTAGCTGGGACTACAGGCACGCACCACCATGCCTGGCTAACTTTTTGTATTTTTAGTAGAGAGGGGGTTTCACCATGCTGGCCAGGCTGATCTCGAACTCCTGACCTCATGATCTGCCTGCTTCGGCCTCCCAAAGTGCTGGGATTACAGGCGTGAGCCACCGCGCCCAGCCTATTTATTATTTCTTAATGTAAAGTTTAATTAAAAATCCTTCCAGCCGGGCGCAGTGGCTCACGCCTGTAATCCCAACACTTTGGGGGGCCGAGGCAGGCGGATCACCTGAGGTCAGGAGTTCAAGACCAGACTGATCAACAGGGAGAAACCCGGTCTCTACTAAAAATACAAAATTAGCTGGGCGTGGTGGCACATGCCTGTAATCCCAGCTACTTGGGAGGCTGGGGAGGCTGAGGCAGAAGAATCCCTTGAACCCGGGAGGCGGAGGTTGTGGTGAGCCAAGATCGCGCTAATTGCACTCCAGCCTGGGCAAAAAGAGCCAAACTCTGTTAATCAAAAAAAAAAAAAAAAAAAAAAATTCCTTCCAGTATGCATATAATTTGGGGCCTTTTTTTAAAAGCTTTATCATAGGTAGGACCTCTTTTTTTTTTTTTTTTTAACCCAAAGCATTCATACCTTTTACTATCAAAAAGCTATTTTGTATTTTGTAAAAATAAAAGCAGAGGCCGGGCGTGGTAGCTTAAGCCTGTAATCCCAGCACTTTGGGAGGCCGAGGTGGGTGGATAACCTGAGGTCAAGAGTTCGAGACCAGCCTGACCAACATGGTGAAACCCCGTCTCTACTAAAAATACAAAAATTAGATGGGCGTGGTGGCGCACGCCTGCAGTCCCAGCTACTCCGGAGGCTGAGGCAGGATAACCGTTTGAACCCGGGAGGCGGAGGTTGCAGTGAGCCGAGATCGCGCCACTGCACTCCAGCCTGGGAGACAGAGCGAGACTCTGTCTCAGAAAACAAAACTAAACAAAACACAAAAGACAAAACTCAGAGCTGGCGGGGTTGGGGGGACAGGGTGGGGAGAAAGAAAGCGAAATCTGTTCCTTGGCTTCCCGGAGCCAAGGAGGTTTCTCCACTTTCAAGGTCTCCAGGTCCGCCCCCGCCTGTAACCCCCAGCGCCGCCCCTCTGGAAGCCTGGGAGGACTGTGTGTTGCGAACCGGGGCGGCTACTCTCGGCCGCCGCGGAGGTCCGCGTCTTGTTAGCAGGGAAGGTTTACTCCCCCATTGTGGGTGACCAAGGGGCTGAGGGCTTGGCCGGTTTCGCTTTGCTGGGGGCAAGGCACGCTCTCTCTCCCCACCCTTCCGGGTTCCCTCAGACAGTCTCGGCCTTGAGGAACCCCCTTCGCCTCCGGTCCCCCAGCCAACCTTCCTCCGCTCCCCGCGCCCTCCCCGGAGAACCCCACTGTCACTCGCGATGCTCCGAAGACCCGGGAACTAGGCGAGGAAGGCGGTGGCCGCCTTTTTCCAGCTGGGGTGAGTCATTTCCTGCGACAGGCTCCCTCCCCCGGAAGTAGGGCCTGATGTAAACACCCGAGCCGGGCTCCAAGGCCCGGGAGGTCAGAAAACCGGGCCGCGGGCGGCACCGACAGCTGGGGCCCGGGTCAGGGACACGCGGAGGTCAGGCCGGTGAAGGCGGCAGGAAGCTGGAGCACGATCCCAGGGTTGGTTGGGTCTGGGGGAGGCTGGAAGTCTTTCGAGTAGGGGTCTAAGGCAGAGGTCTTGAGTGGGTGCTGGCGTTGGAAGGAGCATGCGGCTGGTCTTGGGAGAGGGGCGAGGCATCCCGGACAGAGTCTTGGAATGGAGGTGCAAAAAAGGGGTGTTGAAAGTTGGAGCTGTCCAGAGAATAACTCTAAGGCAGAGCTGTCCAAAGAAAGAGCATGAGGCATTCCAGTGGAGGGTGTAACTGAAAGAAAGGAAGGAGATTTGGACTCTTGGAGGATGGGGGAGGGAGTATGTCTGGCCAGAGTTATTGGGGAGTTGAGGATTTGAAGGGAAGTTGGGGGCTCTATGGCAGTAATCTTAGTAGGGGACTGCGCAGGCATCTTAGGGGTTGAGGTTCTCCTAGGTAGGAGTTTTGGGTGGTTTGTTTTGGGCAAGGGTCTTAGAAGGCAAGGGTGCCCTGGGGCGGGGTCTTGGATAGGGGTCTAGAGGGGGAATCTTAGGAGGATGGGGGGGGTTCCTGGGGTTGGGTCCAGGCCAGGTTATGTTGTAGTCAAGGACAGCAGAACACAAGGAAGGAGATGTCCCAGGGGTGGAAAATTTAGAGTGCTAGGGGGAATCCTAGGGTAGAGTCCCCAGGGCATAAGCCAATCTAAGGGAATGTCTAGGCTGGCCCTGAAGGGTAGTTACCAAGGCATGAGAAGGGGTCATCCCAAGGTAGGCATCCTGAAGGAGTTTGGGGAAGCCGGTTGAGGGGGAAAGGTGTGAGAGGACTCTGGGGTGGTCAAATAGGTTGGGGTACAGTTAGAAGGGTATGAGCAGAGGAGTTCCTGGGGATGGCAGACCAAGCATAGCAGTCCCAGGGCCAAGTCAGGGAGGTACAAGAAGTGCATCTCCTAGCCCACTTTTGTCTATTTATTGAGAGAGTCCGGTGCTAGGTCAGGTTTGAAGATGAGAAATGGGTTGGGAGTGGTTCCAGGCCATGTCTGGCATTGGGATCAAGATTGGCTGGCGGTGGGGAGGAGATATCACGGGGGCACCCCCTATCACATTACTTCCTGACAAGTCAGTGAGGGCCAGCATGTAAAGAGGAGGTGTGGGGTCCACGTCAGTGTGGGCCTGGAGCTTGCCAAACCTGAAAGAAGGAGGGTTCCTGGCCATGTTGTTTGGGATCTTGGGAGCTTAGAGCAGAGACCCTGGGACTCTCTGTTTTTATCTTTTTCTTCCCCCCGAGACGGAGTCTCGCTCTGTCACCCAGGCTGGAATGCAATGGCTCGATTTCGGCTCACTGCCATCTCAGCCTCTCGGGTTCAAGCAATTCTCCTGCCTCAGCCTCCTGAGTAGCTGGGATTATAGGTGCCCCCCACCACACCCGGCTAACTTTTGTATTTTTATTAGAGACGGGATTTCACCATGTTAGCCAGGCTGATCTCAAACTCCTGACCTCAGGTGATCCACCCGCCTTGGCCTCCCAAAGTGCTGGGATTACAGGCATAAGCCACCACGCCTGGCCTGTTTTTATCTTTTTTGCAGTCACTCCAGAGTCAGTAGTTAGCAGAGTAGGAGGAGGAAATCAGGTGAGGCAGAACTTGGAGGGGAGATTCCAGGACTCTTCTCATCTTTATCCCATTTGTATGCAGAGGAACAATCCTGCACCATGACTCAACAGCCACTTCGAGGAGTGACCAGCCTGCGTTTCAACCAAGACCAAAGTGAGAGAGGATTGGGCCTGTACCCTTGTGGGAGGAAGCGAGGAAAAGAGGGGTCAGAAGTGGGCCATGGGCCCCCAGCTTCCTACCTGGGCATTCTTTAAGGCAGTCTGGATTCCTTCCATCCCCCAGGCTGCTTTTGCTGCGCCATGGAGACAGGTGTGCGCATCTACAACGTGGAGCCCTTGATGGAGAAGGGGCATCTGGGTGAGCTGTTGGCAGGGGAGGGGCAATGGGCAGAAGAGCTGGGCTGGGCGTTGGCTCCCACCTCCACTGACACCCTGGTCCCTGTCCAGACCACGAGCAGGTGGGCAGCATGGGCTTGGTGGAGATGCTGCACCGCTCCAACCTTCTGGCCTTGGTGGGCGGTGGTAGTAGTCCCAAGTTCTCAGAGATCTCAGGTAAGTGCCCTCATCCTGCCCTTTGGCCCAGATTTCTCGGATTCCTGGCCTCCCACAGGCACCCCAAGGTACTGGCAGATGAAGACGTCAGAGTACTTCAGAGTCACACAGAGAGGAGGCCTACAGCTTGGAAGTCATGGATCTTATAGCTTGAGAAGCTTGGTGCTTTGTTTTCATTTTAAAAATTCTGATTGAGTGCCTCCTGTGTGCCATGCCCTAGAGCACTTACTGTGAGCCTGGAACTGCCCTAAGCACTTTACGTTTATTAACTCATTTAATCCTCACAGTAACTCTATGGGGTAGGAAGGATCATTATCCCCATCTTTACCGATGAGGAAACTGAGGCCCAGTGCAGTTAAGTGACTCATCCAAGGTCACACAAGCAATAGGTTTTAAAATCTTGGAGCCGTCTTCCCAATACCCCCTTGGCTTGAGCCTCAAGTGCCATCTTACTTTAAGGGTTTTTCTTGATGATCCCATCTGGACAAGGCAGGAGTTGCCCTAGGTGAGTCACAGAGCCCTAGGATTCCTCACGGAAATCTCCAGGGTGCATGGACTAGGACCCTGGAGGCAGAAATAGTTACCGAGGGGAAGTTACAGGCCTGAGTGTGAGTCCCTGTTTGGTTGCTGATGAGCTTTGAGGTCCTTGGCCAGACACTCAACCACTTTGAACCTCAGTTTCCTCATCTGTAGATGAGTGTAACAGTCTAGAACACTCCTCTCAGGGATCATATCCACAAGTGCTCGTGCTGTGCGAGGATCTCACTGGTTGTTTATTGAAAGGCTAAGCAAGTAGGTTGAGGTCCCTGGGAAGCAGGGGTGGATCCTGTGTCACCAGGGCTGCCCCTTACCCTAAACCTTGGCCCCGACAACCCACCCACCTGCCCAGCAGTGCTGATCTGGGACGATGCCCGGGAGGGCAAGGACTCCAAGGAGAAGCTGGTGCTGGAGTTCACCTTCACCAAGCCAGTGCTTTCTGTGCGCATGCGCCATGACAAGTGAGCCTGAGGAGGACCGGGGTGGGAGGTAGGAGGTCCCCACAGTAAGTGAGAGGGATAGTCCTCCCTGGGCATCCCGCCACCCCCTCACGGCCATCCTGTGTTGTGTGATACCCACAGGATCGTGATCGTGCTGAAGAACCGCATCTATGTGTACTCCTTCCCCGACAATCCCCGAAAGCTGTTTGAGTTTGATACCCGGGACAACCCCAAGGGTGAGAGGGCTCAGATACACAGGTGTAAGGGCATGAAACAGTGGATGGGGCAGAGGGGCAGAGATGAGGAAAGAAAGGAAGGGGCACTCACACACAGAGAAATGGGGAAAGAGGCAGGGAGATGCTCACACTCATAGCCTCTCCATCTTTCCAGCCCTCAGCCAGTTCTCCCCACCTCCGGACCTGCCCCACCCCTGGGTACCCCAGTGGCAGAGCAAAAACACCTCGTGAGGACATGGGTGGGTGTGTCAGGGATCCCTGAGCTTCTGGGGCTGTGATAGCAGCTTACTAGATTCCACAGCTGCAGAGCAAGGAATGGAATCTGCCTAGCTGGCGGGGCGTGCAGCTGAGCTGAGCCCCCTCAGGGTTCTTCGGGTTAAGCTTATCGTGGAGGGTTGAAGTCTGGTCCTCATCCAGCTCTGTCCATTCTGAGATGCTGCCTCCTCTTCAGCCGCCCACCCCACCCCCCATCTTCACACCCTAGGGCTCTGTGACCTCTGCCCCAGCCTGGAGAAGCAACTGCTAGTGTTCCCGGGACACAAGTGTGGGAGTCTGCAACTTGTGGTGAGCCGTCCAGTGGACAAGGGTGGGTAGGTTGGTGGACTGGCTTCCTTGTGGACTCTTGGCCCCTTCCCTCCATACCACCCCAACCTCAGACTCCTCCCTCCTACCCCAGGACCTGGCGAGCACAAAGCCTGGCACCTCGTCTGCTCCATTCACGATCAATGCACATCAGAGTGACATAGCCTGTGTGTCTCTAAACCAGCCAGGCACTGTAGTGGCCTCAGCCTCCCAGAAGGGTACCCTTATTCGCCTCTTTGACACACAATCCAAGGAGAAACTGGTGGAGCTGCGCCGAGGCACTGACCCTGCCACCCTCTACTGGTGAGCACAGGGTATGCATGGTGGGCTGGTGACCCCATACCACATGACATGTGGGCATCACTGCTGATCTGTCTTCTAGCATTAACTTCAGCCACGACTCCTCCTTCCTCTGCGCTTCCAGTGATAAGGGTACTGTCCATATCTTTGCTCTCAAGGATACCCGCCTCAACCGCCGCTCCGCGTGAGTACCCCCTCCCCACCCTACCGTGTCCCTGTCCCCCTGCCCATTTACCATACCTGGGCTTAGCCAGTGCTGCCTGCAGGCTGGCTCGCGTGGGCAAGGTGGGGCCTATGATTGGGCAGTACGTGGACTCTCAGTGGAGCCTGGCGAGCTTCACTGTGCCTGCTGAGTCAGCTTGCATCTGCGCCTTCGGTCGCAATACTTCCAAGAACGTCAACTCTGTCATTGGTGAGTGGGAACAGCCCCTTGGTTGGGGGTACTGCATGGGGCAAAGGCCTGCAGGTTGGACCTGAAAGGATTTTAGGGCCATGTGAGGCTCAGCTTCATCATCAGTAAGGGGGACAGCACTGGGCAAAGGCCTGGAGGCAGACCCTAGGTCCTGAGATGCCTGAGAGGACTGGAGCCTGTGGCTGTGGCAGCCTCTGACCTTTTACCACCCCCCCTCCCCCAGCCATCTGCGTAGATGGGACCTTCCACAAATATGTCTTCACTCCTGATGGAAACTGCAACAGAGAGGCTTTCGACGTGTACCTTGACATCTGTGATGATGATGACTTTTAAGGACCCTGGGGGCTGTGCTAGGGACCTGCAGTGGCAGAACTGCAGAGCTGAGCCTTGGCAGTGGGGCGTGCTTGGAAGCCACCAGCCAGCAAGCATTAATGGGGCTGGTGCCCACTTTCCACTCAGCAGAGCTATGTCTAAATAAAGAGCTCACTTCCCCCCAGCACTTCTTGATGACTGTGTGCCCCAAGGGCCAGGCCAGAGACCCAGGAAGGCAGCGACCCCTTGGGATCCCTAACCTGGAGGAAATTGCCAGGGACCCAGAGGGAGTGCCCTAATCCAACCTGGGGATTTTTTAAAAGCTTCCTAGGAAGAGATGATCTCCGATGTGATGAATACGAATAAAAGGCCCTTAATGGCATTTACGGCTTGACCTCAGGGGCGGGGCATGGAGTTTCCTGGAGAAATGTGACCCTCTTGGGCGCTGACAGGAAGGAGGTGGAATCCAACTCGGATCCTTGTGACAGTCCCTCCTTTCTTATCTGTCTGGCTACTTTGTGCTTGAGCCGCTGGCACCGCCCGGAGCAGCCCCTGCGGCGCCCCGCGCGGGGGTGGATGGCAGTTTTAAGGGTTGGGAGCATCTCGCTTCGTGGCAAAGGCTTGATTTCCCGGCAGCCTTTGCTGCTTTCCTGAGCGGCGTGTTAGTTGCTTTTCCGGTCACGTGCATCGCCGCCCCTGCGCAATCCACCTAGGAGGTTAGGAAAAAGCTGCCCAGCCCAGACTCCATTTCCCGGTGTGCCCCGCGGTGGCGAGGGGCGTAACGGTTGTTGTAGTCCGGCCCCCTCCTGGCTGGTCCAGCCACATTAACCGGCAGGATGTCGGAGGTGCGGCTGCCACCGCTACGCGCCCTGGACGACTTTGTTCTGGGGTCGGCGCGTCTGGCGGCTCCGGATCCATGCGACCCGCAGCGATGGTGCCACCGCGTCATCAACAACCTCCTCTACTACCAAACCAACTACCTTCTCTGCTTCGGCATCGGCCTCGCTCTCGCCGGGTGAGGGAGGGAGGCGCCGGTTGGCCAGGGACGTCTGCAGAGCGTGGGGGTAGACCCACAGGTCTTTGAGGACCAGGACGGGGAACCTGAGGGGGGTGCAAGGCCGGGAAGGGCGAAGTCAGTAGAGATGGACGGCCTGAGGGGCTTGGAAGGGGGGCCTTGAAGGAGGTGGAGCCTAGTTATAAGGAGGGCCTCAGGGAGATGGAGCCTGGCTGATGAGGAGGGCCTGCGGGGGATGGGGGTCTGCAAGGAAGATATGGGGAGGATGGAGACAAGTGTGGGACTGAAGGGGAAAGTGGGCTGGAAGGTGAACCGGAAAAAAAGGAGGGCCCGAAAGGGGGACATGAGAGTACTTGAGGGGCGTAGGGGGGGTGTGATGTGAATGATGGGGCCAGATTGAGGCCGACCCTGGAGTACTTAGGGCAGAGACCGGGAAATAGACGGTAAAGTTGGAGGGTTTGGAAGATGTATTTATTGGGGATCCGGTCTTGGAGGGGAGCCTGGCTATGATTGGAAGGCGCCAGGGGCAGGTACCTGTTGGGGAACTTGGGCCCAGGAGGAGGATCCATGGTTGGAAAGCCTGAGACCAGAGAGGGATGGAGAATCTGGAGGAAGGACTTGAGCAGTGCTGAAAGTTCAGAGTGGGGCTGACGACCTGGAAGAGGTCCTAGCAATGATGGAGGGAGGAATCTATAGGGAAATGGGAGCCTGGAGGGCGGTTCTATAAGGACCCTAGGCCTGGGGAGAGGGGAACGTGTGAAGACAGAAGGCCTGAAAGAGGGATTTGCAGGGGCTGGTGTTAAAGGGGGAGCTTGCGGGCAGGCTGATGAGGGGCCCTACGGGGGCAGAGTCGGAAGGAAAGTCCAGGGAAGTGTTGGGAGCCCGGGGGTGTGGGGAGTGTCTAGCAGGATGGGAGGGCCTGAAGCGGGGACCTGAGGAAGACAGGACAGTGGAATTGACAAGGAGGAAAGGAGGGGTCTACAAGGGTGAGTCGGGAGCCCTGGCAGATGGGCCTGCTGGAGATAGGGCTGGTGGGAGGATGTGCCAGGCTGGAGTGTCCGGAGACGGGAGACCCTGGCTCTTGGGGCCCAGGGTGGGTGGTGGTCCGGAGGCCGTCTCTCCGCCCGGCCGGCTAGCTTGGTTCCCTTGTACCCGCAGGTACGTGCGGCCACTTCATACGCTCCTGAGCGCGCTGGTAGTGGCGGTGGCCCTCGGCGTGCTGGTGTGGGCAGCTGAGACCCGCGCAGCTGTGCGCCGCTGCCGCCGCAGCCACCCTGCAGCCTGCCTGGCCGCAGTGCTTGCCGTCGGCCTCCTGGTGCTCTGGGTCGCGGGCGGCGCTTGCACCTTCCTGTTCAGCATCGCCGGGCCGGTGCTTCGTGAGTCTCCACTACCCCGAGATAGCCAGGAAAGCAGCCAGAGCATGCTTAAGGCACCAGGCCAGCCCTGCCGGTCCCCGGGTTGAGAGGGGGCTGGGAAACCCGAGGGCCTCGCCACGCCCCCGCTAAAAGCGCCTTCCCGGGCTTCGTTCCCCCTTCTGGGAACACCCCTTTTATTATCGCCTTTCCTATCTCACTCTTGGTGTTAAGTGCCTTCCACTGGCCACGTCCCCGTTACCGGGCGTCTTCCCTGGCCATGCCCACGTTGCCAAGCCAATTACTCGGCCACGCTTTCAGTATCTGAGGCGTCCTGGCTGCTCACCACTCCATTGGCCTGCCTGCGCGCCAATTCCCTTCGGTGGGCCCCGGTTGGCTGCAGGCTGAGGTCTATTCCACTGACCACCCCTCTCGGTGCCGCCCACAGTGATCCTGGTGCACGCCTCGTTGCGCCTGCGCAACCTTAAGAACAAGATTGAGAACAAGATCGAGAGCATTGGTCTCAAGCGGACGCCAATGGGCCTGCTACTAGAGGCACTGGGACAAGAGCAGGAGGCTGGATCCTAGGCCCCTGGGATCTGTACCCAGGACCTGGAGAATACCACCCCACCCCCAGCCCATAATTGGGACCCAGAGCCCTTTCCCAGCACTTAAAACAGGAGCCTAGAGCCCCCTGCCCAAACAAAACAGGACATCTGTGACCGCCCTACCCCCACGCCAGCCCCAAACTAAGATATCCCTCACACCCAGCCCCCATTACCTAGGGACAAGAGTCTTCCCCAGCCTTGAACCCAGGACCAAGAGCCACCTACATCCAGCCCCAAAACTGGCTTCAGGCCAGAGCATCCATGGCCAATTTCAAATTGTGAACCCAGAGACACTCCCATCCACCCTTCTCCATGCTCATCCCCAAACTGGGGCCTGGGGCAAGGCACTCTCAAATCTTGAACCCTGGACCAAAGCTTTTCCAGACCCCACCCTACCTTCCAACCCAGGTCAAGACATTGCCAAATCTTGAACTCAGAACCCAAGTGTTCCATGCCCCTGTGTGGATGGAGTCGGGTATCCTGACTGTTGGACCCCTGGTCCAGGTGATCCCGACCCTCACCAGTCCCATTTGCCTCCCTCCAGCTCTGCTTAGGCATTTTGCCCCTCACCCCAATGTTCCACACCATCGACAACCAAGGGGTGAGGTGGGGACAGGCCTCAGCAGGGAATGGGGCGTATATGTTAGTGTTGCTGCAACAATAAAGCCTGTTGCATCTCTCATGCCAATTTGAGCCTCCTGGGTAAAGTCCTTGTACATTTCAAAGGACAGAAGTGGCCTACTTTTCAATTCTGCTAGACTCTTCCTGAATATGTGGGCTGAAGAGGTGATCTCTGAGGCCCTTCCTTGAACTTATGACCTCTGGATCAGCATTAAAGCACAGGGAAGGACAGGTGCAGTGGCTCACGCCTGTAATTCCAACACTTTGGGAGGCTGAGACTAGAGGATCACTTGAGGCTAGGAGTTTGAGACCAACCTGGGCAATATAGCAAGACTCTTATTGCTACAAAAAAATTAAAATTTAGCTGGGCATGGTGGTGTGCTTCTGTAGTCCCAGCTACTTGGGAGGCTGTGGCAGGATGGCCAGAGCCTAAGAGGTAGAGGCTGCAGTGAGCTGTGATTGTGCCACTGCACTCCAACCTGGGCAACAGTGAGAACCTGTCTCAAAAAGCTGGGCATGGTAGCTCACGCCTGCAATCCCAGCACTTTGGGAGGCTGAGGCAGGAGGACTGCTCAAGCCTAGGAGTCCGAGACTAACCTGGGCAACATAATGAGACCCCCATCTCTACTTTTTTTTTTTTTTTTGAGACAGTCTTGCTCTGTCGCCCTGGCTGGAGTGCAGTGGCATGATCTCGGCTCACTGCAATCTCTGCCTCCCGGGTTCAAGCGATTCTCCTGCCTCAACCTCCCGAGTAGCTGGGATTACAGGCACGTGCCACTACGCCCGGCTAATTTTTTTTGTATTTTTAGTAGAGACGGGGCTTTACTGTTAGCCAGGATGGTCTTGATCTCCTGACCTCGTGAGCTGCCCACCTTGGCCTCCCAAAGTGCTAGGATTACAGGCGTGAGCCACTGCGTACCCGGCCTACAATTTTTTTTTCTTTTTTAATTAGCGGGTATGGTGGTGCACAACTGTAGTTTCAGCTATTCAGGCGGCTGAGGTGGGAAGATTGTGAGTCCAGGAGGTCAAGGCTGCAGTGAGCCGTTATCGCGCCACTACATTTCAGCCTGGGCAACAGAGTGAGACATTGTCTCAAAAAAATAAAAATTTTTAAAAAATGTATAGGGAGGTTAAGGACAGAGTCTTTGTTATCACCATTTATATTACCAAGAGTTATTGTTTGAGGTTGGCTAGAAATTTGAGTGCAGACAGGCAAAGAAGTTGCCCCACATCACAAAGCAAGTAAAGTCAAAACAGATGACACTATCACAGGCTATTCCCAAGGTATGTTTTTTCCTGCAAAAATATATTATCTGGTCTTGACTAGAGGTGTGGGTCCTCAAGGTGAGGCAGACAGAGCAGCAACACATGGGTTCAGTTTACACATTTATTATACAAATCCCCTTCCAGTGTGGGTAATGTCTTGGGTCCAGATCCACTGGTATAAAAAGAAAAGCTTAACGCCAGGAAAAGGGGGTAGGGGAACCCCCAGCTCCGAAAATCACAGACAGGTATCATAGAAAACACAACTTGTGTGGGTTTGCTTAAAAAGTGGTGGATTGGGGCTGGGTGCAGTGGCTCACGGCTGTAATCCCAGCACTTTGGGAGGCCAAGGCGGGCAGATCACGAGGTCAAGAGTTCAAGACCAGCCTGGCCAATATGGTGAAACCTTGTCTCTACTAAGAATACAAAAATTAGCCGGGCATGGTGGCGTGTGCCTGTAATCCCAGCTACTCGGGAGGGTGAGGCAGGAGAACCCAGGAGGCAGAGGTTGCAGTGAGCTGAGATTGCGCCGCTGCACTCCAGCCTGGTGACAGAGCAAGACTCCGTCTCGAGAAAAAAAAAAGGGTGGAAGGAAAGCCAAGGAAGGTGTGAGTGGTGAGTGGCCCGTGGCCCGTAGGCAGACCTCACCTGAGGATTTCACTGGCATCTACCGGGTGCCCCTCCTGTGGGGCCTCCTGACTGGGGGTGGTCAGGGCAGAGGCCATGGGCACAGAGGGGGTTGGGCTCTTTCAGGCAGACCTCCCCTGAGGATTTCACTGGCATCTACCGGGTGCCCCTCCTGTGGGGCCTCCTGACTGGGGGTGGTCAGGGCAGAGGCCATGGGCACAGAGGGGGTTGGGCTCTTTCAGGCATCCCACCCAGACTGCAGTCCTTCCAAGTGTGGGCAGAGAGCCCACTGCCCCAACTGCCCTGGCGATGCGTGGCAGGGATTTCTGTTCACACCGGAGTCTCCTGGCTGCCCTAAATGGCCCTGAGACCCGATATGGTCCATTTTATGGAGGGGGTTCCTGAATGGAACCTGGTTGGGCATGGGAACAGGAATGAACCCAACCAGATGAGATCACAGTTTCCCTTTTGTAAAACGCCTAGTGTTGGAGGAAGACAGTGAATACCTAAGTCACAACTGTAAACATAAATGGAGGAAGGGGCTTGGGGTCCCCATGACATCATCCCCCCTCTTTTAAGCTAGCTGAGGGCCCCCAGTCCCCAGCACAGTGTGAGAGAAGAAGCAGGGTGTCAGACACCTTCCTGGGCCTACGGGGAGCCAGGGGCCTTGGAAGATTAGGTTGGCGCACTCTGCTCAGGACTGAGAGCAACCACACCCCAGGGCCCAGCGAGGTCAGCTGTGTGCTCCCCAGATTGGAATCGTGCCCAGGCCAACAAGGGACATATCAGAAGGGGTCAGACCAGTGTCCCCGGGGTCTGGGTGTCAGAACTGGAGGACTGCTCCCCCTCTAGCGTCAGGTCACTTAAACGAGCGCTCAGCTCCGGGGGATACAGGAAGTCCGCGTAGTATCTTTAGAAGGGGTAGCAGGAATCCGGAGGACAGGGCGGGGAAGACAAGAAGAAGAAAAGACAGACAAGACACAGAAAAAGAAAGGAAAAGAGGCTCGTTAAAGAGGTGGAGGCAGGCACAGGACAGCACTTTCAGGCTCTGGGGCATGGAGAAAAAAGGAAGAAAACAGCAAGGGGCATGAGATGTCCCTTCCTCCCGGCACCCTGGCTTCAAGGCTCATCTTCAGCCTATAACTTGATAAAGAATTGCTGCTACCAGTGCCCAAGATCCCCTCCACCAGGACCCCATGGACTAATGCAGGTCATGTGCAGTAGAGTGACCCTGTGCCATCACAGCAGCTAGTTTCCTCATGGTCCAATTCATTAGCTATCATGACTAGCCACTCCCTGGCCTGGATATCTTCGCCATCTGCCTTACGAGACCCCTACCCATCAGTAAAAGCACCCCCCATACCTGCCAGAGACAGGGGGCGCCGTGAAACTCCTCGAGTGTGGGAGTGGCGCCTGGCTGGGGGCCCCGTACAGCGCCTGGCCCACCTCATAGCAGCGGGCATGGAGGAAGGGTGGGTGTGGCGGGCCCACGGAAGGGAGCACAGGCCGGCGCTGGGGCCCCGCAGCCAGTCCCGAGTTCCGGATGTACCAGTCCCGCAGCCCCTCCAGAGCCAGGTTCTTGTGGCCACTGCGTTCACCAGCCGAGGGGATACGGGTGGGTGGGGGCATCCACAGCAGAGGGTTTGGATGCACCTCAGGGCCTTCGGCAGCCTCTGGGGGCAGGCCACAGGGCTTAGTGCGGGTGGCACGGGTGTGGGGGTCCTTGGTGCGGAGGAGGGGGCTGTTGCTGTCAGCTGCATACACAGGTGGTGGGCCGGGGAGCATGGTGAGGAGCCCATCCCGGCGGGAGAGGGGTCCTGGGACCTCAGCTGCAGGCGGCAGCTCCCCCCAGCCTGTTCCACCGCCACTGCGGGGCAGGCCCCGGTCCAAGGAATAGTCCAAGAGGAAGTCTCCACACACAGGTGGGAGCCGGGGGGCACCTCGGGAGGCAGGGGCAGCTGAGCTAGGCCGGGCGGCCCGGGGAGGGTCTGGGGGGCCTGCTGTGCGGGAGGAGAAGGCAGGGGTTGGTTGGGGGCGCTCATACAGCACCTCACTGCTCTTGCAGACTGGGGGGCCAGAGGCAGAGGGAGCCAGAGGGGCAGGCGGGGAGCCAGCTCCCCCACCAGCGGCCCGGTCCACCAGCAGGGCCTCAGAACTGTTGCTGCGGCGGGTGCGAGCTACGAAGAGGGAGGCGCGATCGGAGGCAGGGTCCGCCCGGGGGAAGCCCATCTGGGAGTCCTGGCTGCCGGACCACTGACGAGAATGAAGGCCTTCAGGTCTGGGGTGAGAGGCGAGGGTCATGGGAATAGGGTCAGAAAAATCAGGCAGAAGGCGTGCAGTGCCCTCCCTACCCCAGCCCTTTCTAAGCCTTCACTTTCACATCTCCAAATGGGCCCAAGGTTGGAAGCTGTGTGTATAAAGGTGGCAGGTAGTGACATGTAAAGGGCAGCTGAGGTTCTATCCTAGGCTAGGCGGTCAGGGGTAGAAATGCGTGGGGGAGGCCTGGCACTGTTAGCTCCAAGGGAGGTGTAAATCTGTGTAGGGACTCAGAGGAAAGGCTAGCAGAGTAGATGCCGGGCAGGGGGCTGTTCCTAATCCAGCTGACCCCTCCCCCTGCTAAGGCCGTTCTCATGGCTCGCACGGCCTCCAGGATTAAGTCCTAGGCCTTAGGGCTCACATGTAAAACCCTGCCTGAATTCTCTATCCGACCATACGTATGAACCACCCAAAGCTACCATCCCAACAGCCACCGTTCACAGAATGCAAGCCCCACAAGGAAGGGGACTTGGTTTTGTTCAGAGCCTGGGGAAAGTAGGCACTCTGTTTAAGAAGCAGAAGAGGACAGTGGTTAAAAGCATGGACTCTAGAGTAAAACTTGCCTGGGCTCAAACTCCAGGACTTCAGTTTACTAACAAGTTACTTAACCTTTCTGTGCCTCACTTGCCTCATCTATAAAATGGGAATAACAATAGCACCCACCTCACAGGGATCTGATTATGATTAAATGAGTTGATGCCACGTAAAACACTAATTCCTAGCAGATGGCAGGCACTCAGTATATGTTAACCAGAACTTATTATGTCCATGTCTTTCAAAGGCAGATATTATTATTTCCATTTCACAAATGAGGAGACTGACTCCTACCCCATTATCCACCGAGATGCCTGCTCACCTTTAATGCCCAGCCTCCCATGTCCCACACCTTTTGTTTTTTTGTTTGTTTTGAGACGGAGTTTCGCTCTTGTCGCCCAGGCTGGAGTGCAATGGCACGATGTTGATCTCAGCTCACTGCAACCTCCGCCTCCCGGGTTCAAGCGATTCTCCTGCCTCAGCCTCCGAAGTAGCTGGGATTACAGGCATGCCCCACCATGCCCAGCTAATTTTTGTATTTTTAGTAGAGACAGGGTTTCACCATGTTGGTCAGGCTGGTCTTGAACCCCTGACCTCAAGTAACCCGCCCGCCTCGGCCTCCGAAAGTGCTGGGATTACAAGCGTGAGCCACCGCGCCCAGCCATCCCACCTTTTGATAATGTTGTCCTCAAGCTTCCAGTGAGAACTAATGGTTCCCTCCCCTCTGATCCTCCAGCCCACCCTCAGATTCCCCTTACTTGCAGAGCTGGGGGCCAGCGCCCCGGGTGAGGACAGGGGTGGCAGGCACACTTCGCCCCTCAAAACTGGAGGCACTCCTGGGCAGCGAGCGTGTGGGGCTAGACAGAGACAGGCAGGCCTAGGTTAGAGACTGTACCCACCAGCAGACCCTCTGCCAGCCCAGGCTTGCTATCCCATTCCCAGCTCCTGCGGAGGGGAGGAGGGGCTCATTCTCACCTGGTGGGGCTGGCCACAGAGTTCCGCCGGCTCTTCAGATCCCCATAAAGATCTGATGGAGGTGGTTTCCATGGGGTTCGCCGCTCAGGGCTCCCCCCAGATACTGCCCGCAGCTGGTCCCAAGCCTTGGGTGGTGAGGGGCGCTCGGCCAGAGAGAAGCAGCCATGGGGCTCCTCTGAGTGGAAGAGAGCAAGTGGGATAGAATTCAATGAGGGGGGCCCAGAGGGGGCAGGACAGGCTGGGGGGCAAGGCCATGGGGAGGGGCAAAGTGCTGGGACAGGTTAAGCAGGCTGAGGAGGAACTAAGGCTGACAAGTAGGTTCTGGGGCTGTGGGGCTGGGGTGGGGTGAGGCTAAGAAGATGGGGGACCCATAGGAAGATGGAGCATGGCTAAGGAGAAGCTGAAGCAGCACAGGAGGGGCTGGGCATCAAAGGATGGGCTGATCATGCAGGATGTGGTCGGATGAATAAAGGGGATGGGCTAAAGGGACGTAGGAGTCGGGGGCAGGTTTGGGGGATAGGAGTCCTCACCGTTGTCATGGCTGGCCCCAGACTCTGAGAGGGAGCTGCTCTCTGAGTGCAGAACTACGTCCTCTACAGGTGAGAGGGGGAGAAGTGGGCCTCTCACTCCCAGGCCTGGGTGCTGCCCCCTTACACCACTGGGTGGGCACCTCTACTTGGGCCACCTTCTGGCCAGTTTCCGCCTCATCCTGTTCCTGTCCCAAGAATCTGCTTTTACCAGAGCCCAAGACCACCCCAGTTTGGTTCCTGACTGTCCTGGCAGATATTCATCAGTCCCCCACAGTTTGTCCTTTCCGGTAAGCCAGTTTGTCACAACTCTTCTCACGGGTTGGGCCACTTGAGTTGTGCCTACCTCCCGGTTTTCACCGGCCAGTCACCCATCCCAGCCCTACCACGTCCATTTGCCAGTGTCCACTCTCCCACCCTCACCAGGGGATGCTCACCTTGGCTGAGCTGAGCAAGACGCATGCCCAGGCAGACTCCCTGGGTGGTGATCACTGACCCCGTGGACAGTGGCAGTGGCTGGGGCAGCGGGAGCACTGGGAGGCCAAGGCGGGCCCGGACATCCCTGAGCTGCTCCTCTAGCTCATGCAGCCTCCTCAGTGCATCTGCCTGGACCTGGCGCCGGCGCCGGCGCTGCTCGGTGCTCAGATCAGGGGCCAAGGCCAGGCGGCGGGCGGCCGCCGCGATCTGCTGTTGCACTGACACCTCGCGTTCCAGGGCCTCAAGAGCCAGCTCCTGTTGGGCCCACCCAAATGTTGGAAATGGCCAGGAACAGGGACCTGGCGGGGCCAAACCCAGTAGAGGCTGGCCTGCACTTCCTGCAGCCTATTCAGACCTATTCACCCCGGGGAGGGGGCGTGTCAGGGCCTCTCTTGGTGAAGGGCTGGGTCTGTTCATCTTCCTTAGGGTTGGAGGCCTGTCCTGACAGTTAGGGACCAGCATCCTCCCTCATCACAGGAAACTAACTCCAGAAGCCCTTTTCCTTCTCATCTTAGCCTCTCCCTCACCTGGCCACAAGCCCCCTCCCCACACCTTCCTCCTGGCTACTCCTCTGTACCTGTCCCCTCTTCCCACCCTCTTGCTCTCCACACCCATCTGCTCACCTCAGCAGGGCACAAGGAGTGGTGTGCTTGGTTGGGGTGCGGTGGAGGGTAGGCGCGGGCTGTGGGGGGCCGCCGGCGGACCAACTGGGGCCGTTCACCAGGCTCTAGTGGGCACTCAGGGGGCAGCTGGCCAGTCAGCTCCTGGTGGGAGGCAGGGGTCAGAGACTACCAAGGGTTAGTTGGAAGGATGGGGTGAAGCATTAATGATCCCAGAAGCTACAGAAGTCCTACCAGGAGCCTGGCCCTGCTCAGCAACCACGCACGATACTCCCCTCCCTCCTACCAGTATCTCCACTAGGCAGGTGTGCCCAAACCTCAGTGGCCCAAACCCCTGGGGTGGTGGGCATGGGAGGCAGGGAGACCTGCTTTGGAATCCAGAATTGTTTTGTTTTTATAAAGGTGATACCATCGAGATCCTAAGTATTATATAACTCACTTCAGGGGCTGTGGCTGCGTGGTCTGAGCTGTAGTATTATTTCCGGCACACTGTGGGCATTCACAGTAAGAGGGGTAAACTGAAACTACAGATCAGCCTGTGCCAGTTCAGGTCAGACTGTGCTGCCAAATTTTGGACAGAACCTGTTTTCTGAGGTTTGTTGGATTTGAAATTGTCAACAGTGGGCCTGTATTACCATATTTTTTTTTTTTGAGGTGGAGTTTTGCTCTTGTTGCCCAGGCTGGAGTGCAATGGCGCAATCTCAGCTCACCGCAACCTCCACCTCCAGGGTTTAAGCGATTCTCCTGCCTCAGCCTCCCAAGTTGCTAGGATCACCACACCCAGCTAATTTTGCTTTTTTTTTTTTTTTTTGAGACAGAGTCTTGCTCTGTCGCCCAGGCTGGAGTGCAGTGGCGCAATCTGGGCTCACTGCAAGCTCCGCCTCCCGGGTTCATGCCATTCTCCTGCCTCAGCCTCCCGAGTAGCTGGAACTATAGGTGCCCGCCACCACGCCTGACTAATTTTTTGTATTTTTAGTAGAGACGGGGTTACACCGTGTTAGCCAGGATGGTCTCGATCTCCTGACATCGTGTTCCGCCCACCTCGGCCTCCCAAAGTGCTGGGATTACAGGCGTGAGCCACCGCGCCCAGCCTAATTTTGCATTTTTAGTAGAGACGGGATTTCTCCATGTTGGTCAGGCTGGTCTGGAACTCCCGACCTCAGGTGATCCACCTGCCTCGGCCTCCCAAAGTGCTGGGATTACAGGCGTGAGCCACAGCGCCCAGCCTATTTCATTCATTCTAACACATCTAAGCTGAGCTTTGAGGAGAAAGTAGGTGACAGGGAATCTACAGCCAAGACAAGTGGTTGAGGAATTGCCACCCAAGTCTGTCTACCTAGGGGCCCCAGCTCCTCACCTCCTCCCAACCTCCCCGCCTGATACCCCTAGGGCCAGGCCCTCACCGCCTCCTGGAGACACACTTTGCGGAGCTCCTGAAGTTTCAGGCTCAGGGCCTCCTGCAGGGTCCGCTGCCGGTCAAGCAGCCCCCGCAGACGCTCTGACTTCACCTGGGGGGCAGCCTCTCCGAACAGGGCAGCTGGACACAGAGGGAGCAAAGATCAGTGGGACAGCCAGGGCATTCTGGAGCAGCTGTGGGGCAAGGGACCAACTCTTCCCGAGCAAGCAGGTGGTGATTCAGAGCAGGGGAGGAGGCAGCAGGAGGGGAAGCAGCCACCGACCTGGGGCATTGAAGGTAGGAGAGCTGATCAGCTGACCTTTGACTTCCATCTTGGTGCTGTCGAGAGGCCGTGGCTGATGGCTGGACAAAGTCTGGCAGTGACACAAAGGAGCCGTTAAGGAAGCACATCCCATGATACCCCAACCCCCAGCCCTTCCCAGCTTCCCATGCCACAGCGGGGAATAAGGGGTAACCTGGGCCCCACGTGCCTGCTTGACCTGCCCTTTCAGAATCCGTGTGGATGTCTGGACCCACTTGGCCCTGGTACCTTGGTTCCCTTCGCATTGAGTGAGAGCACAGCAAGTGGGGAGCTGGGCGGACTTACAACGCCTCCTCAGAGGCCCATGGGTCACAGCCACGAGTCTTGCCTGGGGAAGGAGAATTAATGGGACAGATTCAACCAACTATAACAACAATGGACACGCAGTCAACACCTGGGTGCCTGCAACAGTTACCTATGATGCCACACTCAATCTTCAGAGCCACCCGGAAAGATTCGTATCCCCATTTTAGAGATGAGGAAAGGAAGGCACAGAGGTGAAATAACTGGCCCATAGCCACAGACATAAACCAGGCCCACCCCTCTGGTCCTACACTCTCGCTCATGAGAACCGCTCTAACTCCACCAACTTCCTCATAAGCTCCCTGGTCCCTCAGGCCTCAGGGCCTTTGCCCAGGCTGTGGATGCTGCCTGAAGTGCTTTCTTCAACCTCTCACCACCCCAGCCCCTGCATCACACTTATCATTCTAGAACTTAATTATCACTTCCACAGTTATATCCTCTCACAAACGGTTGTCCAACAAGAGATTGTGCCTCCTGGAACATCGACGAGGACAGGAAACATTATCTGTCCCATTTTCAGCAGCATCACCAGCACCCTGAACATGGCTGTACACACAAGTGCTCAATGAATGGGTGCCAGCTGAATGAATAAAAGATAGAGTAAGTAAATGAGGAGGCGGTGGAGCCAGGGTTCAAGCTCAGATCTGTGGGTCTGTGCTTGTCCCAACTCCATTCTGTAGCTCTAGTGTAGCAAGGAGAATGTTCACTTGACCCAGGGTCCCTCCAGCCCCTCTTGCCATGACAGCCTGTCCTGAGCCTAGTGTAGGGAAGTCCTCCTGCTGGGATTTGTGAGAAGCAAAGTCCACAGCTGCAAATAACGAACCACCTGCCTCCTGCCTCCTTCTCTGCCCCCGATGGCTCAGCTGACCATGGAACCTGCCTTGGCTGGCCACCCCTCCTCTGGAGTTTGCTCCCTTCCTTCCACATCATGCTCAGTCCCCAGCTGGGCAGCTGAGTGACATCACCTCCCACCACCTGGCCTAACCTAGGTGGCAGGTGACTGGGAGGGCTTTATGGGGCCACAGAGCTCCATTATCACCTACCTTGAAGTCGGCAGCTTGTCATGACATGTTAGCCTGGTGTGAGGAAGACCCAGCCAACCAAGGAGGCATGGGTTCAAGCCCCTTCCCCATCTGTGTATTGTGGGGTGAGGCCAAGCTGCTTGTAAGGTGTCATGTTTCTCTGCAGTCCTCCTGCCTGCCCCATAGGGCCTGTACCCCTCTCTTGAAGCAGTGGTGCCCTGCCTTCAACAGCAGGGGTGGGGATCAGTCCCTAAAGCCTTTTGACAAACCCAGGCCCCACATCCCCACTCATCTAAGGTCTGACACTTCCCAGCATGGCAGGGGTTCCTCCACATCCCAGATCACTGGGGCTCCAACTTTCCCAGCCCCCATTTAGGCCCAAGGAACTCTCACAGGGTTCCCTGGAACCTTCCTTTACCCCCACAGGAACCCAACTCCATCCACGGTCCCCCTTGCCAGCATTGGTCCCAATCCAATCCCAATTCCATGCTGGGCTGCTTCGATTCTTTTTTTTTTTTTTTTTTTTTTTTTTTTGGAGATAGGGCCTGGCTCTGTCACTTAGGCTGGAATGCAGTGGTGGCACGATCTTGGCTCACTGCAGCCTCCACTTCCCAGGTTCAAGCAATTCTCCCACTTCAGCCTCCAAAGTAGCTGGGATTACAGGTGCACGCCACCATGCCTGGCTACTTTTGTATTTTTAGTAGAAATTGGGTTTCACCATGTTGGCCAGGCTGGTCTCGAACTCCTGACCTCAGGTGATCCACCCGCCTCGGCCTCCCAAAGTGCTGGGATTACATGCGTGAGGCACTGCACCCAGCCAATCCTTTCTTCTCTAATTTCTCAGAGCGTCCTGGAAGTCCAGACAGGGTCCACACAGGAACCCCAACTCCTCCCTATCAGCCCGACCTCGGGGGGACATAGTTAGAGTATGAGTCATGGGGTCACTGGGCAGGCTAGACACAGTCAACGCCCCACACCCCCACACCCAGTTCCTAAGCTTCTGCCTCCGCTCACCTGCCCTCTGCATACTTGCCTTGGGGCCTGGAGCTGCCTCATCCCCGCCCAGATGGCGAGAAAGGGATCCCAGCAAACCCCTCCCCAGCACACCCCCACACCAACCCCAGGTCTCCCCCTACCAGTGACCCCATGGCCCCCATCCTGTCCCAGGGACCAGCTGCAGCGGGAGAGCAGTAGAGGGCACCCCCCACACCCAGAGGCGGGCCCGGCAGGTTTTTCAGGTCTGCCATTCTGACACCACAGCCGAGAAAGAAATTCCTGGCTGTAATAACTGTTTACAACCAAGATACCTCACCTGGGTGGCACCCCAACAGTTGGGGGGTCATTTCCACATCCTGCCACTATTAGAGCAAATACAAAATCTCAATGTCTGGGCCATTACCCTCCCCAGAGCCCCTGCTTCCTCCACTGCAGTGAACAAATCAGGCATAGGCAGGCAGGTGCCTGAGTAATGGTTTCTTAGTAGCCCAGTCTGGTCTTTCTTGGAGAGCTGGGCCCTGGGTTGGGGGAGGACAGAGGCTACTCCTGGCGGGGAGGAAAGGAAGCAGGGATAGGGTGGAGAAGGGGGGACTCATACTTCTCTTTTCCCCGATCCCTCCTCGTCCATTTCCGGCCGGGAATCGGCTTGGTGCCAGGAAAGGAAATTGGTGTTTTGGGCTTTGCCCCTGTCCTCAGGCCCTCCATTCTCACTGCCCCCCTACCCCCCCACCACCACCCTGCCCTGCATTGTTGGTGTGCCTCTCCCACAGACCTAGCTCTCTACCGAAGGGAACTTCAGTACACCCTGCCCCAGCTCCCCAATGCCCTTATCCCCCTCGCACCCTGGGCCCACTGCTCCCAGGTGCTCACCAATGCCAGAGAGTGCTGTGGGGTAGCCTCAGATACCTCAAAAATAGTTGTCTCGACCAGGCCCTGGCTCCGGCTGGTAGTGGCAGTCAGCAGCAGTGGCAGATGCCTTGGCCACCTCCCACTAGGTAATGGCCCAGCCTACCTGGCCAGGAACTGGGCCGGCCCACACCTTTTAACCCTTGCCTGTCTGCCACCAGGACTAGGGTCACCCCTGGGGGCAGTTTCAGGGCCAGGTCCACTCAGGGTGCTCAGCATGTCTAAGAAGACAGCCTGGGCCAGGCAGGGTAGCTGGTGCCTGTAATCTCAGCACTTTGGGAGGCTGAGGTGGGAGGATTGCTTGAAGCCAAGAGTTCAAGGCCAGACTGTGCAACATAATGAGACCCCCATCTCTACAAAAATTTTTTTTAAAACTGGCCAGGCATGGAGGCCTGTGCCTCCTCACCCCGTACACTTAGCAGAAAACTGGGAAGAAGGGCTGAGAGTGGTGGGAGTAGCAGCTGCCTCTCCTACTGCCCAAATTCCCAGAGGATTAGACGCTGCCCACCCAAGGGGCAACTTGGATCTGGGCCATAGAGGTGTGGGGAGCTGTAAAGTACATGGGAGGCTTCGGGTGTAAACTGAGTTTTTGTGTCTTGGCACTAAGCATCACATTCTGAGGCCCCTACCCTTTCCTCCCAGGGCAAGGCAGTGGTAGAAGGCCTTGGGGCAATTCCCACCCTCACTGGGGAATAATAGTTTCCCAAGTTGGGGACAGAGGAAGTCAACCTTTCTAAGGAGAGGTCAGGTCTCAAGATCCTTCTGTGGCTCCAGAAGAAATAATCTCAATAAATCAAGCACAACTTACACCCTACAAAACACTTATGGGTTTTGATCCCTCTTGGTTCCTACAAATGTAGCAGGATGGCACAGACCCAGCCTCCTCACAGCCATTTTATAGATGCAGAAGCTGAGGCCTGGAAAGGTGAAGAGGCCTGATTCAGATCACAGTGGCAGAAGAGCAGGTGAAATCAGAATTTCCGGGGGCTGGGTCCTGGCTGGGAGGCAGACAGAGGCTACTCCTGCAAGTGGGAAGGAGAAGTAGGGAAGGGGGCTCATGCTTCTTCACATCCATGCTGGGTCTCTCTTCTTCAGAGAGTCAGGCTTCATGCCAGAGAAGGAAATGAGAGCTTTGAGTCCTTACGACGTACTGTCCCTGCCTCCCCTCACCCCGCCCACCACCACCACCATCACCACCACCACCATCACCACTACCACCTGAGCTCTGGGCCAGTCCCGGCACACAGCACACATCCTGTGCTCCATTCAGGACCATCTGCTCTGTGACCCAGGGCCCAAGCCCTACCCAGACCCCTGCAGCAGCCCACACCATGACCTGAAGTGAGAAAAGCTGCAGATGGGCTGAGCCTAGAGAGGAGCTCACTCTGAATCAGCAATGCCCCAGACTCATACTATTAAGGCCTCCCGCCATCCCTGCCCACCTTTCTTCCTGGGTGTGAGATTTCCAGCATGGAACACAAAGGCCCCTTTCATCGCCCTCCCCACTTCACTGCCTGGGGCGGGCAGTGGTAAGGTGGGCATTGGGGAGTGTCCTCTCGGCCACAGCCTCTCCCACCTCTTATGGGCCACCAAAGATGTTGGGAAGTGAGACAGTAATAAAATCAGAGCCAAGAGGGATGAGAATCTGGCTGGCAATGTAGATTGAGTCTCAAAGCTTAGGTCTCCTCATCTGTAAAATGGGTAAAAGGTGGTTACAGAGACAATGGAGGCCCCAAATAACTTTGAAAGGCATTTCAAAGTGCAAGGAAACACACCATGTCATTAATGACTCTTACTAACAACAATTAATACACTCACACAGAGGTGGGCTGTTGTGGGGGTAACTGGGGGAGAGCAGGTAACTGGACCTCCTGGGCCAGGCAGACAAATGGGGCAGTCACTAACACACATCATTGCCCTGGTCCATGACTTTTAATAGCCTCGAAGAGGACCCAACCTCTAAGCCCTACCCCAGCTGGGCCCTGGGCCTCACGTGACCCTGCTGTCACTAGTAAATGGTGAGTCTGGGATTCAACCCAGCTCTGCCACTTACTAGCTGTGTGACTGCTTGAACAAGTCACTTAACCTCTCTGTGCCTCTCTGTCAATTGGGGACGATGATAACAGTATGTACCTCACGGGGCTATTGTGAGCATTAAATCAGTTAATACATTTAAAGCTTGTGCAGAACAGTGCCTGGTAAGAGCTCAGTGTATGTTGGCTGTCACAGTTACAAGTATTCTTCCCCACAGGAAGTCAGGAATCAAGTAGATACATTCAGACACATTTTTTCCAGACAGAGCTGGTGTCCTTCAGTCTCACTTGATACATTTGAAACAGTTGTTTTTCCTCAGATAACTTGTCTGAACTCTTGCTATCCAAAATCAGAGACTAAATGTATTCAGACGCAATTTTTTTTTTTTTTTTTTTTTTTTGAGACGGAGTCTCACCCTGTCACCCAGGCTGGAGTGCAGTGGCATGATCTCGGCTCACTGCAACCTCCACCACCCGGGTTCAAGCAGTTCCCTGCTTCAGCCTCCCGAGTAGCTGGGATTACAGGTGCGTGCCACCACACCCAGCTAATTTTTGTATTTTTAGTAGAGACGGGGTTTCACCATCTTGGCCAGGGTGGGCTCGAACTCCTGACCTCGTGATCCACCCGCCTCAGCCTCCCAAAGTGCTGGGATTACAGGCGTGAGCCACCGCGCCCGGCCTCAGATGCATTTTTGAGACAGAACTGGTATCCCTCAGCTTCCAAATCCCACTTGCTATCTAGACACGGTACCCTCCCTGCTCACCAAATGAGACATATTTGAAACAGAGCTGTTTCCCTCATGATCCAACCTCTCCTTTCTCAACATCAAAAATGCAGGAACCAAATACATTCAGAGAAATTGTCTGAACTCTCACCATCCAAATGCAAGAACTGAATGGATTCAGAAACATTTTTGAGATACGACTGGTATCCCTCATTCTTGAACTTTCCTTACCCTCCAAACAAAATGCAGGAACCATTTACATAACAGGGTACCCTCACTATCCCAACTCTTGTCCCTGGAGCTCAGGAAAGTTCATAGATTTGGATACATTTTTTAGTTAGTCATTATTCTTCATTATCTCAATTTTCCCTACTCACTATGTAAGATGTGAAAACAAAATACCTTCAAATAACTTGGTAGGTTTCACTGTCTGAACTTCGGGCACTCTCCCTCTCAGAATTCAGGTACCAAATAGATTGGGAAAGTGAGGAATGCTTGTTTTGTTATCAATAGGTTTGGATAGATTTTCAGGATAAGATAGGTCTGGCATCTTGTTATTCAAACTCACTAGTCTCTATGAGAAATGCAGGAACAAAACCCAATTGAGTAACACATTACCCTCTAGCTATCCAAGTTCTCCCCATCATCCTCAGAATCAAGGAGATTCGGACAATGAGGGGAACACTGCATTATTGTTGTTACTGTTACCACTGGATAGGCCTGATTCTTAAATCCAGTGACTGCCTGGCCTTCTCCCCCAAGACAAGCCCCACAGAGGTGGAGTGGACTTAGCACCAAGATTTTTATTGCTTACTGCTGAGAGAAGGAGGATGAATCCTTGACCCCATCCCTCCTCTATACCAAGTCCCGAAGCCTTGGCCTAGAATAGACTTCTTCTTTTTCAGTCCAGGAAAGCAGGGATCATGCACCCAGAATCAAACATGGCCTAGAAGATTCATACATACCCCTGGGTCCCCCATCTCTTCATATTTTCTTAACTCTTCCCCCCAACATGAGGCAGTCCCCAACACAGCAAGACTGGAAACATGACCCAGACCTCTCAGACTCCCAGAGAGTCACTGAATAATTTAGGGTATTCTTTCACACTTGCAGAGGGCAGGGGCGTAGGAACAGTTGCATGCCCTCCTGGGGCAGGAAGAGAAATGTAAGCTCTATGTAAGATCACTAGGGTGGGGATAGGGGAGATCACACACAAAAACCCCCATCAGCCACGCAGGGCACATAGGGCTGCTTGCTCTTGCTAAGAGAAGCATTTGGGATGTACTTCGGAGGTCCTGGGAACAGCAGAATCTTCAAGTTCCGGGCACAGTATAATGGGACCCCTGTCCTCGGCTCAGAAGGGATGGCAAGTGGATATTAGGAAGGAAGAAGATCTGAACAGGGTGGAGGGGCATGGTAAGGGGAAGAACACCCTGGGGCTGGGATGGGAAGGGACAGAACAGGAAGGAGTGTAGGGGACAAGATAGAGCCAGAGTTATCACAGGATGGAGGTCAAGAGGCAGGATGGGGAATGAGCCAGAACACTGGCCAGGGGATGGGATAAGGTGGGGTTCAGGACAAGGGTCAGAGAAAAAGTACAAGAAAGAGACAAAACAGCAGGGCAGGGGTCAGGATTAACATAGAACAGCAGTCAGAAGACATGACTAGGAAAGGCTAAGCCAGTGGTCAAAGGAGGGGACAGGGAAAAGGGCAGGTTCAGGATGGAGGTCAGGAACAGGAAAAGACCAGGACACAATGAGGATAGGAATGAGTATGGTGATGGGACAAGAAAAGAGGGAAAAACGGGGCAGAGTCAGGGGCAGGGACAAGGCAGGAGACGAAGGTGGTGAGCCAGGATGCAGATCACGAGTATATAGGAGAGGATATCACATAGGGTGCAGAGAAAGGACAGAAGTTAGAGGGCAGGAATCAGGACAGAACTACACCAGATTGTGGTTAGGGGGACAGGACATGACTGGAAGAGGTTTGGAGACTGGATAAGAGTTTAGGGAACAGACAGGTCAAGCGTCAGGACAGAAACTGGGGTCAGTGTTGGGCATTAGGATAGGGCAAGATGTTTCAGAGATGAGACGGGGTCAGGCAAGGATCAGGGTCAGGTCAAAGATCCCCAGGACATAACTGGATGGGGTTTGGGGTCAGGACTGGATTTAGGGGGACAAAACAGGGGTTGAGGACCATACCAGGCCAGAATATGGTTAGGTCAGGGCTCGGATGGAAGGTCCTGAGGCCAAGGCCAGCAGGGGTTGAGGTTTAAAAAAGATGTAGTCAGGTCGTAAGGGGTCAGGGCTGAGGCCACGGGGTCAGAGGTCGCGGGTGCGCGCGCAGGTACGCCCCGTCGGCGTTTCCGGGCCTTCACCCCACCCTGTCCCCTCCCTTCCTCCGCAGGCGGGGCTGGTTACTCACCAAGGGTCCCCGCGCCGCAGTAGGCGGGGTCGGTGTCGGTCGGCCGGCCGGGGCAGTGGACGCGCCCCTCCCTCACTGCGCCCTGCTCGTCCCCGGGCGCGCGCCTGCTCCTCTTCGGCGCCCTGCCCGTGGGCCGTGTTCGGCTGCGCTACCGTTAGCCGTGGGGGCCAGACGGGGGTCGCGGGGAGGGTAGGAGGGGAGCGCCGGCCCGGCCGCGGGCGATGGACCCCCGCCCCCACCTCTAACTCGGGTCTGTCCGCTTCCAGCGGCACGGCCACCTCCGCCGCTCAGCCTAGCCTAGAGGGTGGGGGGACCGGGGGGCGGGGCACGAGACCACAGCAGTGGCGGAGACTAAGTGCGCAAGCGCCGGCTCGGGTCTTCGATTTTTCTTGCCCTGGGAGCGCCAGGAGCGAACAAGCTGGGAGCGCGTGCGCACACGCTTTCTCGAGGGCGGCGGAGCCCTCCCTCGCCGAAGCCACGCCCCTCAGGGAGCCTACTGGCGCCCCTCACCCCAAGTCGTCCCCCAGGGACCCTCAAGCAGTACCCCAAGCTGCTCTCTGTAAGCTCTCCCCACACCTGTAAACCCCAGCTACCCTCCCTGTTGTTCCTCAAATGCACTCCAAACCAACCTCCATTATCCTCCAAATTATATCCCCAAACTACTGTCTGTTGATTCCAAGCGGTACCTCCAGTCCACCCTCTATGGACACCCAAGCTGTGGCAGTAAACTACCTTACACTACCCCCAGTTTGCTCCATCAAACCATCTGCAATCAGCCCTGAAACCATTACCCTCCAAACAGCATGTCCAAATCACCTGCTATCTACTTCCAATGTGCACCCGTAACACCCTCCATTGACCCCAAACTCCTCTCCATGTACCCTCCAAACCATACTCCATTGACCCAAAATGGCTCTCCAGGAGCCCCCAACACCAGCCCAAACATTCCTAATTACCCTCAACGTGGGCCTCACCTGCACCACAAAATAATTCCAACAGTCACCCACACTACCTCCAAACCATGTTCCATGGACCCCTCTTACCCAGCCACCTTTCATTGACCTCCCCTCGTATCCCCACAAAATTACCTTCCAACAGCCCCTATCACTGTGCCATATAACCCAACTATACTTTCTGTGGTCTTTCAACTGCATTTCAAGCCACCCTCCAGCACCATCTACACCTCTAACCCACACTCCACTGACCCAAACTGCACCTCAAACACTCTCCAACAGTCCTCAACTGTACCTCCGAATAGCCACCAACCATCCTGCTGTAGTTACCCAATTGGGCTCCCAAATCATACTCCAGTGGCCCCAAATGTGTCCCCTAAGCCCTCCAAAGACTTACTTGCACCCTGGATCATACTTAAGTGACCTAAATTACAAAGCACTCTCAGTGATTTTTTTCTTAAAACAACTTAACCGGGATATAATTTACGTACCAGGCCGGGAACAGTGGCTCACACTTGTAATCCCGGCACTTTGGGAGGCCAAGGCGAGTGGATCACTTGAGGCCAAGAGTTCAAGACCAGCCTGGCCAACATGGTGAAACCCCGTCTCTACTAAAAATACAAAAAAGTAGCTGGGCATGATGGCTCACACCTGTAATCCCAGCTACTCAGGAGGCTGAGGCAGGAGAATCGCTTAAACCCAGGAGGTGGAGGTTGCAGTGAGCCAAGATAGTGCCACTGCACTCTAACCTGGGCAACAGAGTGAGACTCCATCTCAAAAAATAATAATGATAATTATGTACCATAAAAGTCATCCACGATTAAGTGTGCAATGCAACAACTTTAGTAAATTTACCTAAGTGAGGCACAGTGGCTCACACTTGTAATCCTAGCACTTTGAGAGGCCAAGGTGGGCAGATCACCTGAGGTCAGGAGTTCAGGACCAGCCTGGCCAACATGGTGAAACCCCATCTCTACTAAAAATACAAAAATTAGCCAGGCGTGGTGGCAGGCACCTGTAATCCCAGCTACTCAGGGGGCTGAGGCAGGAGAATAGCTTGAACCTGGAAGGCGGAGGTTGCAGTGAGCTGAGATCATGCCACTGCACTCCAGCCTGGGCGACAGAGCAAGACTCTGTCTCAAAAAAAAAAAAAAAGAAAAGAAAAAAAAAAGAAAAAAATATTTACCAAAGTGTGCAACAATCGCTATAGCCCAGTTTTAGAGCATTTCCATTACCCCAAAAAAATCCCTCATGACTGAATGCCATTCCCATTCCCAACCATAGGCAACCACAAATCTACTTTCTGTCTCTATAAATTTGCCTTTCTTGGACATTTCATAAAAATGCAATATGTGGATTTTTTGTGTCTCACATCTTTCATTTAGCTTGATGTTTTTGAGGTTCATCCGTGTGGTAGCATGTAACAGTGGTTTGTTCCTTTTATTGCTGAACAGTAGTCTATCCAATGATCTTTAACTTCTCTCCAAATTACCCACCAATAGCTCCTCAACCACAACTCAAAACACCCCTCTGACATCCAGACTTCAAAACAGACCCCCAAACTGCACACTGGACCATACCTACCAGCCCTCAACTGTACCCCAGACCACTCTATAATCCCCAAATATCATCACTAAACTTCCCTCCCGAGCCTCATCTTCACCCCTAAAGCACCTTCCAGCAGTCTGCTCTACATCCTCAAACTGCCCTTTATCAACTCCCAAGAATATCCCCAAAATGCCTTTTCAGTAATACCCAAACCTAACTAAACTACTCTCCAACAATTCCAAACCCCACCCCTAAAATTCCCCTTCCAACAGCCCCAGCCATGACTCTACCCACTAACTACCTTCCTTTGGTCCCAGAACTGCAGACCCAGACTGTAACCTCAAACCACTCTTCACTGACCGCCATGCCCAACCTTGTCTTTTTTTTTTTTTTTTTTTTTTTTTGGAGATGCAGTTTGGCTGTTGTTGCCCAGGCTGGAGTGCAATGGTGAGATCTCTGCTCACTGCAACCTTCGCCTCCTGGGTTCAAGCGATTCTCCTGCCTCAGCCCCACGAGTAGCTGGGATTACAGGCATGTGTCACCACGCCCGGCTAATTTTGTATTTTTAGTAAAGACGGGGTTTCTCCATGTTGGTCAGGCTGGTCTCGAACTCCCGACCTCAGGTGATCTGCCCGCCTCAGCCTCCCCAAGTGCTAGGATTACAGGTGTGAGCCACTGCGCCCAGCCCCAACCTTGTCTTAAATTATGAGCAACTACACCCACAAAACATCTTTCAATTTTTCCCAACAATACCACCCAAACCACCCTCCAAGAACTCCCAACTACACCCTAAACTGCCCTCTAATAGCACCCAATGCTACCTGTAAACATTTCCCCTTTACCTCCCCACAGTCTCCCAACTATACCTCCCATCCACCCTCCAATGACCCCCCAAATCCCACCTCAATTTTCCCTTTGATGGCTCCAACTGCACCCAAATGCTTTCCAACAGCCTCTAATTATACTCTCAAACTGCCCTTGGTAACCCCCAACGTAGCCCTAAGTCCTTCCAGTGACCCCCAACTCTTCCCCAAAGCCATCTGTAGTTCTTCCCTGTGGCTGTTGTAACCAATTACTGCAAACTTGGTGGCTTAAAAAAACAAAGAGGGCCGGGCAGGATGGCCCACACCTGTAATCCCAACACTTTGGGAGGCCAAGGTGGGCAGATTAAGAGATCAAGAGATGGAGACCATCCTGGCCAACATGGTGAAACCCCGTCTTTACTAAAAATACAAAATTAGCCGGGCATGGTGGCACATGCCTGTAATCCCAGCTATTCGTGGGGCTGAGGCAGGAGAATCGCTTGAACCTGGGAGGCGGAGGTTGCAGTGAGCCGAGATCTCGCCACTGCACTCCAGCCTGGCGACAGAGCAAGACTCCGTCTCAAAAAAAACAAAAAAAGAAAAAAAGAAAAGAAAAGAAGAAGAAACAAAAACAGAAATTTGCGGTGGCTCACCCTTGTAATACCACCACTTTGGGAGGCCCAGGCTGGCGGATCACTTGAGGCCAGGAGTTTGAGACCAGCCTGGACAACATGGCCAGATCCCGTCTCTACTAAAAAAATTTAACAAAAATTAGCCAGGCATGGTGTAGTCCCAGCTACTAGGGAGGCCGAGGTGGGAGCATCGCTTGAACCTGGGAGGTGGAGGTTGCAGTGAGCCAAGATCATGCCACTGCACTCCAGCCAGGGCAATAGAGCGAGACTCCATCTCTAAATAAATAAATAAATAAATAGCTACCTCTCTTAAAAACAAACAAAAAACAGAAATGTATTCTTTCACAGTTTTAAGGGCCAGAAGTCTAAAATCAGTTGCACTGGGCCAAAATTAAGGTGTCACCAGAGCTGCACTCCCTCTGGAGGCTATAAGGCAGGGATCTCCAACCCCTGGGCCAAGGACAAGTACCAGTCAGTGGCCTGTTAGGAGCCTGAGTGGCAGGCAAGCAAGCATTAACACCTGAGCTCCAGCTTCTGTCACAGCAGCAGCGGCATTAGATTCTCATAGGAGAGCAAACCCTATTGTGAACTGTGCATGCAAGGGATCCAGGTTACATGCTTACAAGATTCTCCTTATGAAAATCTAACTAATGCCTGATCATCTGAGGTGGAACAGTTTCATTCCGAAACCATCCCCCACCACACTCCATGGAAAAATTGTCTTTAGGCCAGGTGAGGTGGCTCACACATGTAATGCCAGCAATTTGGAAGGCCGAGGCAGGTGGATCACCTGAAGTCAGGAATTCCAGACCAGCCTGGCCAACATGGCGAAACCCCGTCTCTACTAAAAATACAAAAATTAATCAGGCATGGTGGCGGGCGCCTGTAGTCCCAGCTACTTGGGAGGCTGAGGCAGGAGAACCGCTTGAACCCAGGAGGCAGAGGTTGCAGTGAGCCAAGACTGCACCATTGCACTCCAGCCTGGGTGACAGAGCGAGATTCCATCTGAAACAAACAAACAAACAAACAAACAAAAAGGACTATCTGTTGCCTCTTCAGGCATTCTTTGGCTTTTGGCAGTCATATCACTACAGTCTGCCTCCGTGGTCAAATTGCCTCCTCCTTTTCTGTCAGTCGAATTTGCTTCTGCCTACCTCTTATAAGAACATTTAGGATTACAGTTAGGGTCTACCAGCTAATCCAGAACAATCTCCTCATCCCAAAATCCTTAACTTAATCACACCTGCAAAGTCCTTTTGTCACATAAAGTAGCATTCAAAGGTTCCAGGGAATTAACCAGGCATGCTGTCACACATCTGTAGTCCCAGCTACTCGGGAGGCTGAGGCGGGAGGGCTGCTTGAGTCCAGGAGATGGAGGCTGCAGTGAGCCGTGATCATGCCACTGCACTCCAGCCTGGGTGACAGAGTGAGACCTTGACTCAAAAAACAAACAAAAAAAATGGGTGAGGGGGCAGGCGCCGTGCCTCATGCCTGTAATCCCAGCACTTTGGGAGGCGGAGGCAGGCAGATTGCTTGAGGTCAGGAGTTCAAGGCTAGCCTGGCCAACATGGTGAAACTCTGTCACTACTAAAAATACAAAAATTAATGGGGCATGGTGCAGCATGCCTGTAATCCCAGCTACTTGGGAGGCTGAGGCAAGAGATTCGCTTGAACCAGGAAGACGAAGTTGCAGTGAGCTGAGATCACACCACTGCACTCCAGCCTGGGTGACAGAGCAAGACTCTTTAAAAATAAAGAGTTCCTTGGCCGGATGCGGTGGCTCACACCTGTAATACCAGCACTTTGGGAGGCCGAGGCGGGCAGATCACGAGGTCAGGAGATCAAGACCATCCTGGCTAACACGGTGAAACCCCGTCTCTCCTAAAAATACAAAAAATTAGCCGGGCGTGGTGGCGGGTGCCTGCCTGTAGTCCCAGCTACTCGAGAGTCTGAGGGAGGAGAATGGCTTGAACCCAGGAGCCGGAGGTTGCAGTGAACCAAGATCACACCACTGCACTCCAGCCTGGGTGACAGAGTGAGACTTTGTCTAAAAAAAATTAATTAATTAAAAAAAAATTCCAGGGATTAGGACATAGGACATAAATATATTGGCAGGGGTGGAGGGGATTATTCAGCCTACCACAACATCTTATGACAGTTAACATCTGTTCCTTAAACCACCTTACAGAAGGCCGAACTCTATCTCTAAAAACCCATCTTCCTATATTCCCTCCAACTGTACCCCAAACCATCCTCCACCCATTAACCGTATTCCCAATCCACCCTCCCAATAGCTCCCACCTGCATTCTTAAACTGTCTTATTGAAGCCCCATTCCTCCCAAAGACCTTCAAATGATCCTTCAATTGCCTGCAAACTGTCCTGTTGTAGAACCCAAACTCACCCCCAAGCCACCTTCAATCACCACTCATATCTATCCCTAAATACCCCCAACTTCACCATCCAGCTGCCCTCCCACTTCGCTCCACATGTCCCCTTCACAGCACCTTGAAGTTGTCTTGCAGTGAAACCCCAGATAAGGTTGCAGTGAGCCGAGATCGCACCACTGCACTCCAGCCTGGATGACAGAGCGAAACCCTGTCTCCAAAAAAAAAGAAAGAAAGAAAGAAAGGAACTCCAACTATATGGCAGGGGTGCAAGTATTGAGAAAGTTGAGAATGAGATATTGATAGAAACTAGGGCCGGGCATGTGGCTCATGCCTTTAATCCCAGCGCTATGGGAGGCCGAGGCGGGCGGATCACTTGAGGTCAGGAGTTTGAAACCAGCCTGGCCAACATGGGGAAACCCTGTCTCTACTAAAAATACAAAAAAAATTAGCTGGCCGCGGTGGCGGGCACCTGTAATCCCAGTTACTTGGGAGGCTGAGGCAGGAGAATCGCCTGAACCCAGGAGGCAGAGGCTGCAGTGAGCCGAGATAGTGCCACTGCACCTCAGCCTGGGTGACAGAGCGAGATTCCATCTCAAAAAAAAAAAAAAAAGAGAGAGAGAAAAAGAAAAAAGAAGTCCGGGTGCAGTGGCTCACGCCTGTAATCCCAGCACTTTGGGAGGCCGAGGCAGGCGGATCACGAGGTCAGGAGATCGAGACCATCCTGGCTAACATGGTGAAACCCCGTCTCTACTAAACATACAAAAAAATTAGCCGGGCATAGTAGCGGGTGCCTGTAGTCCCAGCTACTGGGGAGGCTGAGGCAGGAGAATGGCGTGAACCCGGGAGGCGGAGCTTGCAGTGAGCCGAGATCGTGCCACTGCACTCCAGCCTGGGCAAGAGCGAGACTCTGTCTCAAAAAAAAAAGAAAAAGAAAAGAGAGAGAGAAACCCAGAAAGATGCAGGGTAGGCATATCATGCAGGGTGTCATGGGATATCACTTGTCATGGAGACATTTGAGATGCGTGTGTGAAGCTGGTGTTTGTAGGATTGGGATGTGTGACAAGATAATTACTCTGTGGCTCTACTGCTATAAATATTTGTTGCCAGTCTGTTGTAAGTCTTTTAACTTTGTAGCATCTTTCATCAGACAGTATGTAGTTTTATTTATTGATTAATTGATACAGAGTCTCATTCTGTCGTCCAGGCTGGAGGGTAGTGGTACAAACACGGCTCACTGCAACTTCAAACTTTCCAGGCTCAAGCGATCCTCCTGCCTCAGCCTCCCAAGTAGTTGGGACCACAGGTGTGCACCACCATACCTGGCTAATTTTTCTTTTCTTTTCTTTTCTTTTTTTTTCTTTTTTTCTGAGACAGAGTCTCACTTTGTCCCCAGGCTGGAGTGCAGTGGTGCAATCTCGGCTCACTGCAACCTCCGCCTCCTGGGTTCAAGAGATTCTCCTGCCTCGGCCTCCCAAGTAGCTGGGACTACAGGCCAGGCGCGTGCCACCATGCCCAGCTAATTTTTGTATTTTTAGTAGAGACGGGGTTTCACCATGTTGGCCAGGATGGCCTCAATCCCTTGACTTTGTGATCCTCCCGCCTCAGCCTCCCAAAGTGCTGGGATTACAGGCGTGAGCCACCATGCCCGGCCTAATTTTTTAAAAGTTTTTTTGTACAGACGGGGTCTCCCTATGTTTCCCAGACTAGTCTCAAACTCCCGGGCTCAAGCAATTCTCCCACCTTGGCCTCCCAAAGTGTTGGGATTACAGGTGGGAACCACCCCGCCAGACCCTCCTCTTTCTTCTTTTGTAAAATTAGCCATTCTTACATGTTTGTTTTTGTTTTTTTTGAGACGGAGTCTAGCTCTGTCTCCCAAGCTGGAGTGCAGTGGCACGATCTTGGCTCACTGCAACCTCCACCTCCCGGGTTCAAGCGATTCTTGTGCCTCAGCCTCCCTAGTAGCTGGGATTACAGGCGCACGCCACCATGCCTGGCTAATTTTTTTGTATTTTTAGTAGAGACAGGGTTTTGCCACGTTGGCCAGGCTGGTCTTGAACTTCTGACCTCAAGTGATCCACCTGCCTCGGCCTCTCAAAGTGCTGGGATTACAGGCGTGAGCCACCGCACTGGGCCATTGTTTTTGTTTTTGAGACAGAGTCTCACTCTGTCGCCCCAGGCTGGAGTGCAGTGGCGTGATCTCGGCTCACTGCAACCTCCGCCTGTCGGGTTCAAGCTATTCTCCTGCCTCAGCCTCCCGAGTAGCTGGGACTACAGGCCAGGCGCAGACCACCACGCCCGGCTAATTTTTGTATTTTTGTAGAGACGAGGTTTTGCCATGTTGGCCAGGCTGGTATCGAACTTCTGGCCTCAAGCGACCCACCAACCTTGGCCTCCCAAACTGCTGGATTACAGGTGTGAGCCACCGTGCCCGGCCCATTCTTACATGTTTAAGGCATCATAGGAATTTTAACATTGGATCTACAAGTTCCGTTTTAGAGTTTTGATTGGTACAATTGGTAATGTATTCTTTTTTCTTTTTTTTTTTTTTTTGAGACTGAGTCTCACTCTGTCACCCAGGCTGCAGTGCAGTGACACTATCTTGGTTCACTGCAACCTCTGCTTCCCGGTTCAAGGGATTCTCCTGCCTCAGCCTCCCGAGTAGTTGGGATTACAGGCGCCCGCCACCACGCCCGGCTAATTTTTTGTATTTTTAGTAGAGACGGGGTTTCACCGTGTTGGCCAGGCTGGTCTCAAACTCCTGACCTCAGGTGATCCACCCGCCTCGGCCTCCCAAAGTGCTGGGATTACAGGCATGAGCCACCGCGCCCGGCCAGAAGTCATCTTTATTATGTAGAGGTTTCCCCCTTGTACGAGATGGTTGTGTGTGAGTATGGATGAGTTTACGAAAGCAACTGACAGACCTGTGAAATAATGATGCCAATACAGGAAGGTCCAAGGTAAATGAAAGCCCGGTGAAATTCCTGGAGGCGCAACTCAGGGTGGGGTCTTGGGATGTCAGGAAAGAGGAAGGGAAGGCTGTAGGTCTGGGTGTTTTGTGAGCTATTTGCACCTGAGGATATATGAGTGAGACCCTCCGCCTTGTGCGAGCCGGCTTGCATGCGTCTGGCATACAGAAGCGCTCAGTGAATGTTGAATAAGTGAACAAATGAGTGAATCAACTAATTTTGGGAAGCTTCTTGTATGCCAAACAACCTGCTAGCACTTTTCATACATTATCTTTAATCCTCAGAACAACCCTGCCAGACAGGTATTTTGACCCCCATTTAACAGGCCAGGAAAGCTGAGGCTGGGAGAGGGGAGGTCCCCTTCCCTATTCAAACCTGGATCTTTGTGATTCCAGAAGTCGTCATTCACCGAAGGGACCAGATTCATTCACCCGTCAAGAATTTATTAAGCACATATTGCGCAGCGCAATGAACATAGTACAACCGCTCTCGATGGCATGGAACAGGCGGAATACTCCCGGAAGACCAGCTGGGCGGCTGGACTGCGGACAGCGAAAGGGGGGGGTTTCTGGCCCGCACCTTCAGGGAATGTAGCTGCCTCTGCCTCATAGTTATGGCTTTGGCTGAGAGAGCACAGCCAGATCGAGGTTGGAGCGCGGTCTAGGGCTCAGATATTACAAATATTGGCCGAAAGAGGGCGCGGTTCCGCAGCTAAAAGCTTGGCCAGGAGACCCTCCGTGCGCCGACTGGCCATCGATGCGCAGGCGCAGAGGACCCAAGGAGCGGCTTAATATTACCTTGCAGAGGGATAATTTGAGAAGAGAGGGCGTGGCTCCGAAAGCGACGCAAACATAGAGGCGTGGTTCAACCAAATCAACCCTCGCCTATTTGTCGCTGCCCCTGAGGGCGTGGTCTGGGTGCTGCTTCTCGGAATGAGGGCGGGCCGAATCGCGTTTTTCCTCCGCGTCGGAGGCGTCGCTTAGGGTGGGCCCTCGAATCGCCGTTCAGCGATTGGCCGCCTCGCTAATGGGTCGTGGCCAGACGGGCCATCCATCCCCAGTGCGGTCACTTCCTGTGGAGTTTCCCCATCCCTGGGAGGAGGGAGGAGGGGGAAGAAGACGAGGGGGAGGAGGGCGGTCGTCCGGGGTTAGGTTGAGGGGGGGCGTCGGTCCGTTCTGGGCGGGGGATGACTCACAGCCCATCCCATCTCCCCGACGCCGCCCGCCCGCGCAGTGCTAGCTCCATGGCTTAGCGGAGGAGGCGGCGGTGGCGAGCTGGGGGGAGGGGGGACTCTTATTTTGTTAGGGGGACCGGGCCGAGGCCCGACCGGCCTGGCAGGGCTCGCCCGGGGCCGGGCGTCATGTCTCATGCGGCCGAACCAGCTCGGGATGGCGTAGAGGCCAGCGCGGAGGGCCCTCGAGCCGTGTTCGTGCTGTTGGAGGAGCGCAGGCCGGCCGACTCGGCTCAGCTGCTCAGGTGCGGGGCCGCCTGGGGCTGGGAGTGCCGACTGGGGCTCCCAGGGGCCTGATCTCGGGGGCAGTGGGGGCCCCGGACTGGGATTGGAGGCCCTCGGCCTAGCCTTGGAGGACGTCGGGGCGCCCGTCTTGGGGGGGCACCTAAGGAATCCGGCAGTGGCCTGCTTGGATTGTGGCTTTATTAAAGGAGTCGTGGGAGTGCATTAAGCGGGGTCTGGGTCAGGTTTGGGGAGCCCTTGACTGCGTCTAGAGGGGCCTATTCTGGAGTATCCAGAAACTGGTCTGAGATAGCTGAACTTGGTAGACAGGGTCTCTGATTAGAGGCTGAATTCGGGGATTTTCAGTCGGACATGAGGGGAATGAATTTGAGGGGACACTGTCAGGTGAGGCACTGGTTTTAAGGGAATCCTAGAATCTTTTTTCCCTCAGTGTGGGAGAAGGGGTCCTGAGGGACAGAAGTGCTGTCTTGGGAGCTTGGTGCCTCTCAGTGACTGGTTGCTGTGTTTGGGGATAACATGAATCTGGAGGGATTTGGAGGTATCTCAGATATGCTGCCTGGGACCAGCCTTGTGAGTGCGTGTGAATGAACAAGAGAAGCAACATTCAGCAAGACTTGACCAGAATAATCCTTTCCCCTCTGCCCGCCTACCCAGCTGGGGCAGATCCCAAGGATAGTGGAAAAGCCCTCTTCCCACACCTGTTAAGGGCCTGAATGGAAGATAGACAGCCAGGCAGAGGGCGATGATGTTACCTCTTAGCTCAGAGGCCTCAGACCTTGTTTGGGAACCCAGAGGAGGCTCTTGTTCATGCTGCTACTCGCTCTAGCCTCTCAGCCCTTCCCACTCCCTAGCCCCACACCCCTTTTCTTTTTATCTTCTTTTCGATCTCCGAGCTCCTGGGGGTAATCTTGAATCTGTCCATAGAGCTGGAACGAGTACAGATTGCACCATCCCTGCCTGGGTGGATCCCCTCTGGCCTCTTCTCATCCTTACTTTCATCAATGGGCTTTGGAGCCCCAGCCCTCCCTGCTCACCCCAGTGCCCATCTCTTCCAACTTCTGTGCAATGGGTGTGTGAGCCCTGGGTGGGGGGGGGTCTTTGCCTCCTTTGTGCCTGGGATTGTGCTGAGCTCAGTGGCTCGCCCGAGCTTCCTCTTCCCAACTTCCTGGGTGGTTTTAGGGCTCCATCTGAGGGTGAGGAGAGGAAGGAAGACAGATCCTTGGGGAGGGGAGAGGATTCTTGTCAAGTGAAGTCACCAGCAATCTCTCAGCATTCTAAATGTTTAGCTAAATTGAAGGATGCATATTCATCCACGTGTGTGTTAACTGTCCCTTGCTCTCTGGGGCTGAGCAGAGCCTTTCTGTATATCGATTCACCATCTTCTAATTCCTCTGTAACAACCTAGATCATCGCAGTAGTGGACATAGTTAAAGGGATGGGTGTATATGGCTTCTTATTTTGTGCGCCAGTGGGTGTTAGTGTTGGGGGTGTGTGTGTGTTTTGATCTATCCAAAAAAACAGGAGAAGGCTGGGCAGGCTCCTCCGGTAAGAAAAGAATGCTTGTATAAAGTGGATCAACCACCCAAATTCTCCCTCTTGTAAATCCAGTCTGTTGGAGCGAGGGGAGCCTTTGATATTTCTATTTTATATTTAGGCATGTGTTGGCATCCCATGAACTCTGGCTGGGGCTGGGAGAAACTCATTTGTGAAATGGTAGATCTTTACGTCAAGTGAATTATTTCCAGTTCTCTTTGTGATGCATTCAGTTTGTGTTACAAGGGACTGTTATGCTGAGGGATGCCCCTACTTGCTCTGTGTGTGTGTGTGTGTACACACATATACCTGGGCTCACATTCAGCTGTAAAGAAAATAGCAGGGGGTTGGCCGGGCGCAGTGGCTCACACCTGTAATCCCAGCACTTTGGGAGGCCGAGGCAAGCGGATCTTGAGGTCAGGAGATCGAGACCATCCTGGCTAATACGGTGAAACCCCGTCTCTACTAAAAATACAAAAATTAGCCGGACGTGGTGGCGTGTGCCTGTAATCCCAGCTACTCGGGAGGCTGAGGCGTGAGAATCACTTGAACCCAGGAGGCAGAGCTTGCAGTGAGCTGAGATCGCACCACTGTACTCCAGCCTGGTGACAGAGCGATACTCTGTCTCAAAAAAAAAAAAAAAGTAGGGGGTATGGGGGCTGGGAGAACTCTGAATAGGAAGTCAGGAATCCTTCTATAAAGTGAATTGTTATTCCTAAATTCTGTTTTCCTCAAACCCAGGTTGTTACAGTGTGGGGGTTGGGATGCAGGCGTTCTTATTATTCTGACTCCTAAGGGACTATGAGTAACACAGTGGGGAAGGGAAAGGGGGATGGGGGAAGGAGGTGGGAATTCATGGTGGTGTGGTACCCAGCAAGGTGGCCAAATATGAGGGGCTTGTACCCTCCTCTTCGTTCTCCCCCCCTCTCTCTCTCTTTCTCTGTCTCAGGGGAGGGCTGGGGAATAAGGTCCTTCATTCAATCACTGACCACCACTCCACCTCCCCCTCAGCCTGAACTCTTTGCTTCCGGAATCCGGGATTGTTGCTGACATAGAATTAGAAAACGTCCTTGATCCTGACAGCTTCTACGAGCTCAAAAGCCAACCCTTACCCCTTCGCTCAAGGTATGTATGACTTGTCTATCTGATTCCCCTCCCAATTCCTCAGCCCTCCTCTCCCCTCTTGATGGGCAGAGGCCCTCAGTACCAGCCCAACCCATTCTTTCACCAGCCTGCGTTTTCTAGGTGGTAAAATTAGGGACCAGAAAGAGCATGTCACACAGGAAAGTAGGTGGCCAAGCTAGGATTCCAGTATCTCTGTCAAGACCTCCCCTGCCTGCCCCCAGCCCACCTGCACACCCATTCATATGCAAGTGTTTCAGCCTCAGGTGTTCCAGCCGGCCTGGAGTGCTCAGAGATAGGGCGTGGCCTGCTTAAACTCATGTCCCCGGGTGGGCGGGGACATGCCTCTAGCCCCAACTCAGTCCCTTCCCACACTACCAACTCACCCACCCTCAGCCCTTGAGGAGCCCCTGCTGGTCTCTTCTTTCCCCAAGCTTGGAAGTCTAAATGTGCTGAGTCATCGGCCCGGGCTCTGAGAGAGGGGAGGGGAGGGGGAAGAGGGGCAGGAAGAGAGTATTGTGAAATCTCCGAGGTTTTCAAGACTGACTAGCTCCTGGGACCAGAGGCCCAGGCAGGGGAAGAAGAGGAACCTGGGGCTTCTCCTATCACCTGACGCCCACCCCCAGGAGCTCAGAGAGCTTCTCTAGCCTCACATTGGGCTTAGGAGCCCTCTGTATCCACATTCTGCTGCCAAAGCCTCAATTCTGCTTCTTCTGCTCTCCTGTAAATAGGACAAACCCCCCCTTGCAGAGCTGAACAATAGCATCTCCACTTAATATGTGAACAGGCTCAAATCTAGGCTTCACCATAAGGACCAAAGGCTAAAACTCCCCCACCAGACTGACCTCCAGTGTGTCCCCCATCAGACTGTGACCCCTGAGAGCCATCACCAAGCCTGGTTCCTGTGTCTCTGCTTCTACATTGTGGCCTCGGAAGGCAGAGAACAGGCCTGGTTCCTGTGTCTGCTCCGTCACGCTAAGACCCTTTAGGCTTGGGATGAGACTTTTAGCTTACCTAAAATATGGCCCCATATTTCCCATTCCACAGCCTCCCAATATCACTGCAGGCCACACCAGCCACCCCAGCTACACTCTCTGCATCGTCTTCTGCAGGGGGCTCCAGGACCCCTGCCATGTCGTCATCTTCTTCATCGAGGGTCTTGCTGCGGCAGCAGCTAATGCGGGCCCAGGCGCAGGAGCAGGAGAGGCGTGAGCGTCGGGAACAGGCCGCCGCGGCTCCCTTCCCCAGTCCTGCACCTGCCTCTCCTGCCATCTCTGTGGTTGGCGTCTCTGCTGGGGGCCACACATTGAGCCGTCCACCCCCTGCTCAGGTGCCCAGGGAGGTGCTCAAGGTAAGGTGAGATCCAGAGGCCCTGGGAGGGGGCTCCTGGTGACTGAGGAGTGATCCTAGGAGCTAGGGATGGCCTCGATGCACTGGTGATTTGGGGGCAAGGTCTTAGGGGCTCTAAGGAAGGTCCCTGGTACTGTTTAAATTATCTGTGTTCATGTCTCATGTGTTTTGGGTTTCTGAGATGATCTTGTGAAATTGCGAGGAGTTCGTGGGGGCCATGAGGATGTCTTGGTGGACCATGGAGGCTCATGAGTGCCCCAAGTGGGCCCTGGCTTTGTAGGAAGAGCTTCATGTGTGTGGGATACATTAGTTCTTTGGCCATTAGGGGGTCTTGGGAAGCATTGTATGGTTCCCAGGTCTATTAGGTGGTGTCAGAGACTAGGTGGGGAATCTTGGGGACTGTGACAGGGTTTTCCAGAAACTACGAGGGATCCTGTCAGTCATGGGTGGATCTTGGCAGCTGTGAAGGATTTCTGAGAAAGAGAGTTTGGGTCCTGGGGGAGACTCGCTAATATTTTTGGGGTGTTCTCAGATTCTGGGCCCAGCTTGTCTGCGTGAGTCTAGGCACCAATGAGTTAGGAGGGTCAGGCTGGGGCTCAGAATTCACCCCTTTGAGTCCTGTTCTGCCTTGTCCCCTCTCTTTCCTTGTCTACCTTATTTCACAGGTGCAGACCCATCTGGAGAACCCAACGCGCTACCACCTGCAGCAGGCGCGCCGGCAGCAGGTGAAACAGTACCTGTCCACCACACTCGGGCCCAAGCTGGCTTCCCAGGCCCTCACCCCACCGCCGGGGCCCGCAAGTGCCCAGCCACTGCCTGCCCCTGAGGCTGCCCACACTACCGGCCCCACAGGCAGTGCGCCCAACAGCCCCATGGCGCTGCTCACCATCGGGTCCAGCTCAGAGAAGGAGGTAAGAGGCTACAGCCAAACCTCCTCCCACATTCCCCTCCCAAATTCTTCTAAACCTGTATAATATTTACTTCTTCCCCTAGATTGATGATGTCATTGATGAGATCATCAGCCTGGAGTCCAGTTACAATGATGAAATGCTCAGCTATCTGCCCGGAGGCACCACAGGACTGCAGCTCCCCAGCACGGTGAGGCCCTGAGATGGGAGGTTGGTCTGAAAATTAGGGCATTTCTGTATCACCAAGACCATACTCAGTCTGGCTGTGTGTATAGGAGACCCTTGCCTTGATTGTGCTAAGATAGAGAGGGAGGCCTTATGACGAGAACAGGGTATGTCAACAATGCCTTTGGACCTTGTTGGACTGTGTTGAGAGGTGGACCATGTAGACTGTGAGAGATACAGGTGGGGAGTTCACTGAGACAGTAGGGCATATCAAAGTGCTTGGGCTTTGCTGTGAGAAGTACCAAGAGATGATAATCTTTTTTTTTTTTTTTTTTCGAGACGGAGTCTCGCTCTGTCACCCAGGCTAGAGTGCAGTGGCGCGGTCTCAGCTCACTGCAACCTCTGCCTCCCAGGTCCAAGCGATTCTCCTACCTCAGCCTCCTGAGTAGCTGGGATTATAGGCACGTGCCACCATACCAAGCTAATTTTTCTATTTTTAGTAGAGACGGGGTTTCATCACGTTGGTCAGGCGGGTCTTGAACTCCTGACTTCGTGATCTGCCTGCCTCGGCCTCCCAAAGTACTGGGATTACAGGCGTGAGCCACCACACCCGGCCGAGATGAGCATCTTATAGCAACTTGAATGTACCAAGGGATTCAGGTCATCGGGACATATACACCAGACCATGTAATGATTGGAGCATTTTGTTTTATTTTATTTTTACCTTTTTTTTCTTTTAAGACAGAGTCTCACTCTGTCACCCTGGCTGGAGTGCAGCGGTGCGATCTTGGCTCACTGCAGCCTCTGGGTTCAAGCGATTTTCGTGCCTCAGCCTCTCACGTAGCTGGGATTACAGGTGTACGCCACTACGCTTGGCTAATTTTTGTATTTTTAGTAGAGACCGGGTTTCACCCTGTGAGCCAGGCTGGTCTTGAACTCCTGACTTCAAGTGATCCACCTGCCTTGGCCTCCCAAAGTGCTGGAATTACAGGTGTGAGCCACCACGCCTGGCCTTGAAGCATAACAAAAGTTTTCAAACTTGCTGTGGGTTATAACAAGTAGTTGGATCTCGTAGTGATTGGAATATACCAAGTGAACTGTGCCAGGAGGCAGAGTCCTTCTAGTCAGTAGATAAAACTTTCTAGAGCAAGGGATATACCATTGTAACATTCTGGTTTTGAACACTCCAAGAGTCTCATAACTTGCTTTATTATATTTATTTATTTATTTTTTGAGACAAAGTCTTGCTCTGTCACCCAGGCTGGAGCGCAATGGTGCTATCTCGGCTCACTGGAACCTCCGCCTACCAAGTTCAAGCGATTCTCTTGCCTCAGCCTCCTGAGTAACTGGGACTACAGGCGCGTGCCCCCATGCCCGGCTAATTTTTGTATTTTTAGTAGAGACGGGGTTTCACCGTGTTACCCAGGTTATCTCAATCTCCTGACTTTGTGATCTGCCTGCCTCGGCCTCCCAAAGTGCTGGGATTACAGGCATGAGCCACCATGCCTGGCCTAACTTGCTTTATTTATTTATTTATTTATTTTTTATTGAATTTTTTTTTTTTTTTTGAGATGGAGTTTCACTCTCCTTGTCCAGGCTGGAATGCAATGTGCGATCTCTGCTCATTGCACCCTCTGCCTCCTGGGTTCAAGCAATTCTCCTGCCTCAGCCTCCCAAGTAGCCGAGATTACAGGTGCCCGCCAGCACGCCTGGCTAATTTTTGTATTTTAGTAGAGACGGGGTTTCACTATGTTGGTCAGGCTGGTCTCGAACTCCTGACCTCAGGTGATCCACCTGCCTCGGCCTCCCAAAGTTCTCGGATTACAGGTTTGAGCCACCGCGCCCGGCCTATTTATTTATTTTTGAGACAGGATCTTGCTCTGTCACCCAGGCTGGAGTGCAGTGGTGTAATCCTGGCTCACTGCAGCCTCCACCTTCCGGGCTCAAGTGATCCTCCCACCTCAGCCTCCCAAGTAACTGGGACCATAGGCTTGTGTCACCATGCCTGGCTAATTTTTTGCATTTTTAGTAGAGACAGGGTCTCACTGTGTTGCCCAGGCTGGTCTCGAACTCCTGAGCTCAAGCCATCTGCCCACCTCGGCCTCCCAAAGTGCTGGGATTACAGACATAGCCACCATGCCTGGTCTCATAACTTGCTTTAGAGCATACCAAGTGGCTGTAGTTTTGCTTTTTTCCAACTTATCAATAGGATGGAAGCATGTATAAAAATGGGACTAATTTATCAGAACTTTTTATTGATTTGGACACAACTAGAGAATGGGACCTTATATCCACCAGACTGGAAGTGGGTTCAAGAGATTAAAGCTCAGCCAGGCACGGTGGCTCACACCTGTAATCCCAGCACTTTGGGAGGCTGAGGCGGGCAGATCACAAGGTCAGGAGATCCAGACCATCCTGGCTAACACAGTGAAACCCCGTCTCTACTAAAAATACGAAAAAATTAGCTGGGCGTGGTGGCGGGTGCCTGTAGTCCCAGCTACTCGGGAGGCTGAGGCAGGAGAATGGCGTGAACCCGGGAGGCAGAGCTTGCAGTGAGCCGAGATTGCGCCACTGCCCTCCAGCCTGGGTGACAGAACGATACTCCGTCTCCAAAAAAAAAAAAAAAAAAAAAAAAAGAGATTAAAACTCATGAAGAAGTGGGATTTGGATATACTTTATTTTATTTGTATTTATTTATTTATTTATTTATTTTGAGATAGAGTCTTGCTCTGTTGCCCAGGCTGGAGTGCAGTGGTGTGATCTTGGCTCACTGCAACCTCTACCTCCTGGGTTCAAGCAACTCTCCTGTTTCAGCCTCTCAAGTAGCTGGGACTACAAGTGCAGGCCACCATGCTCGGCTAATTTTTTTTGTTGTTTTGTATTTTTAGTAGAGACAGAGTTTCACCATGTTGGCCAGGCTGGTCACGAACTCCTGACCTCAAGTGATCCGCCCGCCTTGGCCTCCCAAAGTGCTGGGATTACAGGCGTGAGCCACTGCACCTGGCCCTGGGTATACTTAAGATTGACGTGCTCCTCTGGAGTATATCCAGGAAAGTGTGAAGGAGAGGAAAAAAAAAAAACTAGGCTGACATAAAGCAGTGCTAATTGAATAGTTGGATAAGAATCTCCTGAGAGAACAGAATGTGCAGGAAGATACTGGAGTCAGGACCTTGGTCCACAGCAGCAGGAGACCCTGATGTGGAAGATGGTACAACTTGATCAGAGTGGAAGATGGTACAACTTGATCAGAGTGAAAGACTGGAGATTAGGTTGGAATTCTCCAGAAGGCCAGATTTTGGATAGAATGTTGTCATGACAATTTACCAAGGTCGGAGAAGATTGGGTTGGAGTGTTCCAAGAATGCTGGATTGGAATGTTGTGCTGGGAGGAGCTAACGGACTGGAATGTCCCATCAGAGCCGACAAAGACCTGAGAAGGGTGGTTTTCCAGCATTTCTTCTCAGAGCCAGCCCCGGGGTTTGGGAAAGGGGCTTTAGAGGTCACTGAGGGATATGAGGGACTGGAGGAAGTGATAAGCAGGCCAGGCAGGCTCCAGTCTCCCAGCGAAGCAAGGTAGGTCCAGTTTGCTCTGTCCTCCCTGTTTGGTCGCCATGTGAATTTGCCTTGAAGGAGAAGCAAGGGTTCTGGTGCTGAGTCAGCCAGTCCTTGCATTAGAGGGTGCCCCATCTTTGGGATATGTGGAAGCTCAGGAACCTGGTTCTGAGGAGGAGCCAAGCCTGGGGTTTGTTCCCAACTGGTGGTTCTCTGCCCTCTCTGCCCCCAGCTGCCTGTGTCAGGGAATCTGCTTGATGTGTACAGTAGTCAAGGCGTGGCCACACCAGCCATCACTGTCAGCAACTCCTGCCCAGCTGAGCTGCCCAACATCAAACGGGAGATCTCTGGTAGGTGATAGGGTCTTGGCCCCATGGCCCTACACTTTACCCCAGGTGAGCCCTGTGCCTACCAGGTCTAGAGATGGGCCTGATTCTGAGGGGAATGGTTTGGACATATGGAAATGGAGGCTGTTTGTCCCCTTTCCCCCTATGGCTTGTGGTCTTGCTTTCACCCCACTTCAGTTCCTCTCGTCTTGGATTTAACAACCAGCCTATCACCATGGCTTAAAATAGTAAAAAGAAGGCACTTTTTAAAAAAGGCATTTCCCCTGCTTTTGGCTACCAAACCCTACCTTAGTATCTGCATGTGTTTCTTGCCTTCCTGTGCTCAGAGGCCCTGATCACTCCACTCTTTTCCAGAGACCGAGGCAAAGGCCCTTTTGAAGGAACGGCAGAAGAAAGACAATCACAACCTAAGTAAGCCAGAGAGCGTGTGCATTGCCCGGGTGCTGTGCAGGCCTGCCTCACCCCGAGTCCTGGCCCCCCATGGGGAACTCCTTCCCTGCAACAGCCTCCCAACTCCCTACTTTCTGTCTCTTCCATTTTTGGCTAATTGACAACTCTTTCTCCCACTCTTTCTTCCTCTCCTCCCCTCTCCAAAGTTGAGCGTCGCAGGCGATTCAACATTAACGACAGGATCAAGGAACTGGGCACTCTCATCCCTAAGTCCAGTGACCCGTGAGTCTGGGCTGGGACCCTCAGGCCAGCGGGAGGTGGGGCAGGCGTCCCATGCTACTAAAATTGTGCCTTGGTGGGCTCACCAGGCAGTCTCGGCCCAGGCATTTCTCCTCTGTCTGGTTCTTTCTCAGCCTGAGCAGGGTTGCAGACCCTCACTATGTCAGCACCTAAAATTTTAGGCACATAATGTTATGGTCTGTGTGCCCCATCTGGTCCCCGTAGGATATATGCACCTACTTTTCTGTTCACTTAGTACTTCCTTTTTTTTTTTCTTTTTTTTGAGATGGAGTCTCACGCTGTCACCCAGGCTGGAGTGCAGTGGTGCAATGGTACTTCCTTTATTTATTCAAGATTTATTTATTGGCCGGGTGTGGTGGCTCATGCCTGTAATCCCAGCACTTTGGGAGGCCAAGGCGGGGTCGATCACCTAAGGTCAGGAGTTTCAGACTAGCCTGGCCAACATGATGAAACCCCGTCTCTACTAAAAAATACAAAAATTAGCCAGGTGCAGTGGCTCACACTTGTAATCCTGGCACTTTGGGAGGCCAAGGCAGGCGGATCACGAGGTCAGGAGGTGAAGGCCAACATGGTGAAACCCTGTCTCCACTAAAAATAAAAAAAATTTAGCTGGGCGTGGTGGCACGCACCTGTAATCCCCGCTACTCGGGATGCTGAGGCAGGAGAATCACTTGAACCCGGGAGGTGGAGGTTGCAGTGAGCCAATATGGTGCCACTGCACTCCAGCCTGGGTGACAGAGCAAGACTTTGTCTCAAAAACAAAAAAAAAAAAAGATGGCCGGGTGCAGTGGCTCACGCCTGTAATCCCAGCACTTTGGGAGGCCGAGGCGGGTGGATCACAAGGTCAGGAGATTGAGACCATTCTGGCCAACATGGTGAAACCCCATTTCTATTAAAAATATAAAAATTAGCGGGGCGTGGTGGTGGGCACCTGTAATCCCAGCACTTGGGGAGGCCGAGACGGGTGGATCACCTGAGGTCAGGAGTTTGAGACCAGCCTGGCCAACATGGTGAAACCCCATCTCTACAAAAAATACAAAAAAAATTAGCTGGGCGTGGTGGCGTAGGCCTGTCATCTCAGCTACTCAGAAGGCTGAGGCAGGAGAATCGCTTGAACCTGAGAAGTGGAGGTTGTAGTGAGCCAAGATTGTGCCACTGCTCTCCAGCCTGGGTGACAGAGCGAGACTCCATCCCCCACCGCCCCGCAAAAAAAAAGGAAAAGAGAAAGATTTATTTTTTGAACCTCTGGTTTGTGCCAGGTACCATATTAGGCCCTAAAGATACCAGAGGGAACAAAACAGACCTCATGAAACTGATGTTTTAGTGGGGGCAGACAAATAGTAAATAAGTAAACATCCATGAGATCCATTATGATGAGTGTTATGAGAAGAATAAAGACTGGAAGGAAAATGGGAGAATGTTGGGGAGGGTTAGTTTGGGATAAGGAAGGTGAGGACAGGGCAGGCCCCAACTGACAAGGAAACGTTTGAATAAAGAGCCTAAGGAGGCAAGGCGGGGAGCCGCATGGGTGTCTGGGGGTAAGAGTATTCAAGGCAGAGGGCACGGCTGGGATTGATGCCCTGAGATGGGAGTGGTTTTCCATATTCTAGGAGCACTGAGAGACCAATGTGGCTGTAGTGAGATCAATCGGAGGGACATAGGGAAGAGAGGAATCCTAAGGGGTCAGGTCAGAGACGGCTTCCAGGGTTTGGAGTGTGATGGGGCACCATTGTAAGATTCCAGGCGGGAAGTTTTCCTCTGGATACTCCATACCTTTGAAAGACCCCAGCCTCAAGTTCTAAGCATGTGGTGGGAGGCTCCCACCTGGTGCAATCCCCGCCTCAGCTCCTGAGAAACTCCTCATGTGGCATTTCCTGCTTGCCTCCCACTTGGGCCCCACAGGGAGATGCGCTGGAACAAGGGCACCATCCTGAAGGCCTCTGTGGATTATATCCGCAAGCTGCAGAAGGAGCAGCAGCGCTCCAAAGACCTGGAGAGCCGGCAGCGATCCCTGGAGCAGGCCAACCGCAGCCTGCAGCTCCGAATTCAGGTTTGAAAAGAGGAGATGGTGGTGGGGGAAGAGGGGGAGAGCTTCCTGCAGGTGGAGGCAGAGAGAGAGCAGGCCAGGGTTTCCCTTCCTGGCATACTTGGGGGATCCCTGGGCTTCCCAGATCACACGATGATGATAGTGATAATGATAAATAATAATCATAATATTAACAAGGATAATAATATTGCTAATGTACATAGCATTTATCTTGTGCTCTGTACTGTGACAAGAGCTTTATATCCACTAACTTATTCAATCCTCAGAATTCTATGAGATAGGGGCCATTATTTTATTTATTTATTTATTTATTTTTGAGATGGAGTTTCGCTCGTTGCCCAGGCTGGAGTGCAATGGCGCAATCTCGGCTCACCGCAACCTCCGCCTCCCGGGTTCAAGCAATTCTCCTGTCTCAGCCTCCTGAGTAGCTAGGATTATAGGCATGCACCACCACACCCAGCTAATTTTTGTATTTTTAGTAGAGATGGGGTTTCTCCATGTTGGTCAAGCTGGTCTCGAACTCCTGACCTCAGGTGATCCACCTGCCTCGGCCTCCCAAAGTGATTACAGGCGTGAGCCACCGCGCCCAGCCTAGGGGCCATTATTATATACCCACTTTACAGTTTGCGACTCTGAAGCTTCAGAGATGTTAAGCACCTTGCCTAAAGTTTTGGAACTAGTGAGTAGCAGAAGCTGAATTCCAACCCAGGGAACCTACCCTTTTCAACCTTTATACTCCTCTGCCTCTGAGGGACTCTGAACCCTACTTATCCTGCACCCAACCCCTATTTTTTACAGGAACTAGAACTGCAGGCCCAGATCCATGGCCTGCCAGTACCTCCCACTCCAGGGCTGCTTTCCTTGGCCACGACTTCGGCTTCTGACAGCCTCAAGCCAGAGCAGCTGGACATTGAGGAGGAGGGCAGGCCAGGCGCAGCAACGTTCCATGTAGGGGGGGGACCTGCCCAGAATGCTCCCCATCAGCAGCCCCCTGCACCGCCCTCAGATGCCCTTCTGGACCTGCACTTTCCCAGCGACCACCTGGGGGACCTGGGAGACCCCTTCCACCTGGGGCTGGAGGACATTCTGATGGAGGAGGAGGAGGGGGTGGTGGGAGGACTGTCGGGGGGTGCCCTGTCCCCACTGCGGGCTGCCTCCGATCCCCTGCTCTCTTCAGTGTCCCCTGCTGTCTCCAAGGCCAGCAGCCGCCGCAGCAGCTTCAGCATGGAAGAGGAGTCCTGATCAGGCCTCACCCCTCCCCTGGGACTTTCCCACCCAGGAAAGGAGGACCAGTCAGGATGAGGCCCCGCCTTTTCCCCCACCCTCCCATGAGACTGCCCTGCCCAGGTATCCTGGGGGAAGAGGAGATGTGATCAGGCCCCACCCCTGTAATCAGGCAAGGAGGAGGAGTCAGATGAGGCCCTGCACCTTCCCCAAAGGAACCGCCCAGTGCAGGTATTTCAGAAGGAGAAGGCTGGAGAAGGACATGAGATCAGGGCCTGCCCCCTGGGGATCACAGCCTCACCCCTGCCCCTGTGGGACTCATCCTTGCCCAGGTGAGGGAAGGAGACAGGATGAGGTCTCGACCCTGTCCCCTAGGGACTGTCCTAGCCAGGTCTCCTGGGAAAGGGAGATGTCAGGATGTTGCTCCATCCTTTGTCTTGGAACCACCAGTCTAGTCCGTCCTGGCACAGAAGAGGAGTCAAGTAATGGAGGTCCCAGCCCTGGGGGTTTAAGCTCTGCCCCTTCCCCATGAACCCTGCCCTGCTCTGCCCAGGCAAGGAACAGAAGTGAGGATGAGACCCAGCCCCTTCCCCTGGGAACTCTCCTGGCCTTCTAGGAATGGAGGAGCCAGGCCCCACCCCTTCCCTATAGGAACAGCCCAGCACAGGTATTTCAGGTGTGAAAGAATCAGTAGGACCAGGCCACCGCTAGTGCTTGTGGAGATCACAGCCCCACCCTTGTCCCTCAGCAACATCCCATCTAAGCATTCCACACTGCAGGGAGGAGTGGTACTTAAGCTCCCCTGCCTTAACCTGGGACCAACCTGACCTAACCTAGGAGGGCTCTGAGCCAACCTTGCTCTTGGGGAAGGGGACAGATTATGAAATTTCATGGATGAATTTTCCAGACCTATATCTGGAGTGAGAGGCCCCCACCCTTGGGCAGAGTCCTGCCTTCTTCCTTGAGGGGCAGTTTGGGAAGGTGATGGGTATTAGTGGGGGACTGAGTTCAGGTTACCAGAACCAGTACCTCAGTATTCTTTTTCAACATGTAGGGCAAGAGGATGAAGGAAGGGGCTATCCTGGGACCTCCCCAGCCCAGGAAAAACTGGAAGCCTTCCCCCAGCAAGGCAGAAGCTTGGAGGAGGGTTGTAAAAGCATATTGTACCCCCTCATTTGTTTATCTGATTTTTTTATTGCTCCGCATACTGAGAATCTAGGCCACCCCAACCTCTGTTCCCCACCCAGTTCTTCATTTGGAGGAATCACCCCATTTCAGAGTTATCAAGAGACACTCCCCCCTCCATTCCCACCCCTCATACCTACACCCAAGGTTGTCAGCTTTGGATTGCTGGGGCCAGGCCCCATGGAGGGTATACTGAGGGGTCTATAGGTTTGTGATTAAAATAATAAAAGCTAGGCGTGTTTGATGCGCTTTTAACTTTGGCAAAGAGTCTCCTGTCCTTGTTTTACACTGTGCAGTGAACATAGCCCATGCAGGCCAAGAGGGATAAAAGTCCTTGGGAGAAACAGATTCCAGAAGGATGGATAAAAGAATTTAGAAAGGAAGAGGGCATGGAGGAAGACAATATGCAAACAAAAGACAGTATTTTTAAAGACCAATCACCAGGCACAATTTTAACTGCTGCAAGTGTTTCATCTAATTTATTTCTCTAAAGGGATGTTAGTCAGAACATGCTGCTTCTTACTTCCATTTGGTCTTTGAAGAAGCTGAGGAATAGAATTGAACTGTTCTGAAGATATGCAAGCCTGTAAATGGGTGAGGCGGTAAAACAGTAAAGTCAGGTGAGTGAGGGCTCGATTGAAAAATGCCACTGAGGGCAGAGGGGGAAAGAAGCTTTTCTTGCAAATCCACTTTTGAAACTGATAAAGAAGTCTATGAGGATATTTCCTGGCAGACAACAGAGGTATTTAAGATGGTGGAAAGGACAAAGACAAATATCTGAAAGGCAGAGGAACAAGCAACCAACTGAATTTTGGAACAGATGTTGAGATTTTGGGAGAATTTAAATGAACACAAGTATCTTCTTGAAGGCTGGGAAAAAGTATTTTCCCGCAATTTCTCAACCAGACACTGACTCCTAGAACAAGCATCAGGCCTGGTCCCTCCATTTCCCCCACCAGACTGTGACCTCTGAGGGCTGGAACTGGGCTTGGTCACCGTGACTACCCTAGACTGTGACCACCATACTTGTTATCTCTTTTTTTTTTTTTTGAGACAATCTCGCCCTGTCACCCAGGCTGGAGTGCAGTGGCATGATCTCGGCTCACTGCAACCTCTGCCTCCCAGGTTCAGGTAATTATCTTGTCTCAACCTCTCTAGTTGCGATTACAGGCATCTGCCACCACACCCAGCTAATTTTTTGTGTTTTTAGTAGAGACGGGGTTTCACCATGATGGCCAGGCTGGTTTCGAACTCCTGACCTCAAGTGATCTGCCTGCCTCGGCCTCCCAAAGTGCTGGGATTAGAGGTGTAAGCCACCACACCCGACCCTTGCTAGCTCTTTCTAACCTATCACACTGCTACCCCTCCAAGCCTGGTTGCTGAATCTCTGTAACCAGACTGATGGCTCCCTAATAACCTTTATTTTTTCTCCTCAACTTTGCTGTACTCTCTCTCTTTTTTTTTTTTTTTTTTTTTTGAAACGGAGTCTCACTCTATTGCCCAGACTGGAGTGCAGTGGCATGATCTCTGCTAACTGCAACCTCTGCCTCCCAGGTTCAAGCGATTCACGTGCCTCAGCCTCCCAAGTACCTGGGATTACAGACGCGCAACCACGCCCAGCTAATTTTTGTATTTTTAGTAGAGACAGGGTCTCACCATGTTGCCCAGGCTAGTCTCAAACTCCTGGCCTCAAGTGATATACCTGCCGTGGCCTCCCAAAGTGGGATTACAGGCATAAACCACCATACCTGGCCCTATACTCTCTTATTTTATTTTATTTTATTTTATTTTATTTATTTATTTATTTATTTTGAAACAGGGTTTCCCTCTGTCACCCAGGCTGGGGTGCAATGGCGCGATCTCAGCTCACTGCAACCTCCGCCTCCCGGGTTCAAGCGATTCTCCTGCCTCAGCCTCCTGAGTACCTGGGATTACAGGCATGTGCCACCACACCTGGCAAATTTTAGGTACTTTTCTTTTTTTTTATATGGAGTCTCGCTCTTTTGCCCAAGCTGGAGTGCAGTGGCACGGTCTCGGCTCACTGCAACCTCCACCTCCCAGGCTCAAGCAATTCTCCTGCCTCAGCCTCCCGAGTAGCTGGGATTACAGGCACCTGTCACCGCGCCTGGCTAATTTTTGTATTTTTATTAGAGACAGGATTTCACCATGTTGGTCAGGCTGGTCTCAAACTCCTGACCTCGTGATCGCCCACTTCGGCCTCCCAGAGTGCTGGAATTACAGGGGTGAGCTACTGTGCCCGGCCTTTTTTTTTTTTTTTTAAAGACAGAGTCTCGCTCTGTCGTCCAGGCTGGAGTGCAATGGTGCGATCTCGGCTCACTGCAACCTCTGCCTCCCAGGTTCAAGTGATTCTCCTGCCTCAGCCTTGCGAGTAGCTGGGATTACAGACATGTGCCACTACTGCTCAGCTAATTTTTGTATTTTTAGTAGAGATGGGGTTTCACCATGTTGGCCAGGCTGGTCTTGAACTCCTGACTTCAAATGATCCGCCTGCCTTGGCCTCCCAAATTGCTGGGATTACAGACATGAGCCACGGCCCCTGGCCCAATCTTTTGTACTTTTAGCAGAGACCAAGGTTTCACCATGTTGGTCAGGCTGGTCTCGCATTCGTGACCTCAGATGATTCGCCCGCCTCGGCCTCCCAAATTGTTGGGATTACAGGCATGAGCCACCGTGCCTGGCCTCTTCTTTATTTTTTAAACGTAACATGTAATGCCCAGAGGTTTTTTTTTGGGGGGGGAAGGGGGTACAGGGTCTCACTGTCACCCAGACTGGAGTGCAGTGGCATGATCTTGGCTCACCACAACTTCCAACTCCCAGGTTCAAGCGATTCTCCTGCCTCAGCCTCCCGAGTAGCTGGGATTACAGACACATGCCACTACTGCCCGGCTAATTTTTGTATTTTTAGTAGAGATGGGTTTTCACCATGTTGGCCAGGCTGGTTTTGAACTCCTGATCTCAAATGATCCAACTGCCTCGGCCTCCCAAAGTGCTGGGATTACAGGTGTGAGCCACTGCACCTGGCCTCCCAGAGGTGTGTTTTTTTGTTTTTGTTTTTGTTTTTGTTTGAGGCGAAGTCTCACTCTGTCGCCCAGGCTGGAGTGCAATGGTGGGATCTTGGCTCATTGCAACCTCCGGCTCCTGGGTTCAAGCCATTCTCCTGCCCTAGCCTCCCAAGTAGCTGGGACTACAGGCGCACACCACCACGCCCGGCTAATTTTTTTGTATTTTTAGTAGAGATGGGGTTTCACCACGTTAGCCAGGATGGTCTTGATCTCCTGACCTCGTGATCCACCCGCCTCAGCCTCCCAAAGTGCTGGGATTACAGGCGTGAGCCACCGTACCTGGCCTCCCAGAGGTTTTTTAACAGTTTTTCTGAAATAATTTTAGATTTACAGAAGAGTTGCATCACCATTAGTGAGCTTTCATACCTGTCACCCACCTCCCCCTAATGTTAACATTCTACGTAACCATGGCACATTTATCAGTGCTAAGAAAATAACATTGGGCCGGGCGTGGCGGCTCACGCCTGTAATCCCAGCACTTTGGCAGGCTGAGGCAGGCGGATCACAAGGTCAGGAGATCGAAACCGTCCTGGCTAACACGGTGAAACCCCGTCTCTACTAAAAATATAAAAAATTAGCTGGGTGTGGTGGCGAGCACCTGTAGTCCCAGCTACTCGGGAGGCTAAGGCAGGAGAATGGCATGAACCCAGGAGGCTGGCAGTGAGCCGAGATTGCGCCACTGCACTCCAGCCTGGGCGATAGAGCGAGACTCCATCTCAAAAAAAATAAAAAATAAAAAAAAAAATAAGATTGGTAGAGTACTATTAACTCAACTTCAGACTTTATTTGGATTTCACTGGCTTTTCCACTAACGTCTTTTCTGTGCTAGGATCCAAGTAAGTATGCCGTACTACTTATTCCTGTGAAACAAATGACCACAATCTTAGTGGCTCCAAACAATACACATAAATTATCTCTCAGGTTTTGCAAGTCAGGAATCCAGGCTGGGTTCAGCTGGGTCCTCAGCTTCAGCCTCTCTCACTAAGGCACAATCGAGGAAGGAGTTGGGCAGGATTGAGGACTTCTCTGAACGTGCGACCGGGGAAGGATCTGCTCTGTGCTCCCATATTTGTTGGCAGGATCCGGTTCTCTGCAGCCTGTTGGACAGAGGGCCCCAGTTCCTTGCTGGCTGTTAGCCAGAGGTGCCCACCATCCACACCATGTGTGCCTTTCCATGCAGTGGCTCACAGCATGGTAGTTTGCTTCATCCAAGCCAGCGAGAGAAAGAGTTGGCTAGCAAAACAGAGGTCACATCTCTTGTGATCTAATTATGGAAGTGATATCCCCTCAAGGTTGAGGCATTCTGTTACTTGCAAAGAAGTTACTAAAGGGGAGGGGATTACACAAGACCAAGAATATAGCAGGCAGGGAGCACTGGTTGAGGGCATCTCAGAAGGCACCTACCATAGATACTATGTTGTACTAAGTGGTCCTATCTTCTTGGTTTTTGCAGACGGTTTCTCAGTCTGTCTACTGAGAAGTCCTACAAATCATGCTATCCCAGAAACAATGAGCACATCTAGTGGCCAGATCTTGGTTTCTTTTTTGTTGTTGTTGTTGAGACAGAGTTTCACCCTTGTCACCCAGGCTGGAGTGCAATGGCGCAATCTTGGCTCACTGCAACCTCCGCCTCCTGGGTTCAAGCGATTCTCCTGCCTCAGCCTCCTGAGTAGCTGGGACTACAGGCGCTGCCCACCACGCCTGACTACTTTTTGTATTTTTAGTAGAGACAGGGTTTCGCCGTGTTGGCCAGGCTGGTCTTGAACTCCTGACCTCAGGTGATCTGCCCATCTTGGCCTCGCAAAGTGCTGGGATTACAGGTCTGAGCCACCGCGCCTGGCCTGGACCTTGGTTTCTAAATGCCATTCTCCAATAAAAGAAACCAGTGCTCCTGGAAAAATGGCTGATTTTCAGTCTGGGGTGGAGAGAAATACAAGATGAGCCTGGAGCATCCTGTAGTGACAGAAAGTAAGGAAATGCCTAAAACCAATGATGGAGGCTAGGCATGGTGGCTCACACCTGTAATCCCAGCACTTTGGGAGGCCAAGACGCATGGATCACCTGGGGTCAGGAGTTTCAGACCAGCCTGGCCAACATGGTGAAACCCCGTCTCTACTAAAAATACAAAAAATTAGCCGGGTGTGGTGGGGGGCACCTGTAATCCCAGCTACTCAGGAGGCTGAGGCAGGAGAATTGCTTGAACCTGGGAGGCAGAGGTTGCAGTGAGCCGAGATCATGCCATTGCACTCCAGCCTGGGCAACAAGAGCAAAACTCCATCTCAAAAAAAAAAAAAAAAAAACAAACAAACAAAAAAGCAATGATTGCAGCATGTCATAAGATACAGAAGCCAACCTGAAAGAACTCCTGGTCAGGTGCGGTGGCTCACGTCTGTAATCCCAGCACTTTGGGAGGCCAAGGTGGGCGGATCATGAGGTCAAGAGATCAAGACCATCCTGGCCAACATGGTGAAACCCCGCCTCTACTAAATATACACAAATTAGCTGGGTGTGGTGGCACGCGCCTGTAGTTCTAGCTACTCGGGAGGCTGAGGCAGGAGAATTGCTTCAACGTGGGAGGCGGAGGTTGCAGTGAGCCGAGATCTCGCCACTGCACTCCAGCCTGGCAACAGAGTGAGACTCCGTCTCGAAAAAAAAAAGAAAAACAACTCCCAATGGCCAAAGCTGGAACAATTTGAGCAAGAATAACAGAAAGGGTAATATTAGATTATAGTTCAAAAAATGAACATCCATGATTCCATACTTATTTATATAAGTGATATGATTGAATAAATAAATGCTGAGAGCCAGACGAGGTGGTGTGTGCCTGTAGTCCCAGATACTTGGGAGGCTGAGGCAGGAGAATGGCTTGAGCTCAAGAGTTTGAGGCTGTAATGCACCATGATCACTCCTGTGAATAGCCCCTGAACTCTAGCCTGGATGACACTGGGAGATGCTGTCTCTAATAAATACATGAATGGTGGAGAAGGGTCAACTCTTTCTTACACAAGAATTCCAAATAATAAATATAGAAGGAATGAGGGAAGTAGAAAATTCCCATTAGAATACCACAGTAATAATTGCTGCAGACAAGATCCATTAAATGCTAAAACTAGTGGGCAAAACTTTAAGGTGAAACACAGTTGCACATCCTTAAAGTATCACCTTCAGGCTGGGCACAGCAGCTCACGCCTGTAATCCCAACAAAAGGCTGAGGTGGGAGGATCGCTTAAGCTGAGGAGTTCCAGACCAGCCTAAGCAACATGGTGAAACCCCATGTCAAAAAATATATATTTTTTTAATTTTTATTTTTATTTTGAGACAGAGCCTCGCTCTGTTGCCCAGGCTGGAGTGCAGTGGCGCAATCTCAGCTCACTGCAACCTCCACCTCCTGGGTTCAAGCAGTTCTGCCTCAGCCTCTCGAGTAGCTGGGATTACAGGCACGTGCCACCACACCCGGCATGGGGTTTCACCATATTGGCCAGGCTGGTCTTGAACTCCTGACCTCAAGTGATCCACCCGCCTCAGCCTCCCAATGTGTTGGGATTACAGGCGTGAGCCACCGTGCTCAGCCAAAAAATATATTATTTTTAAAAAGTATAGGCCAGGCGCGGTGTCTCATGGCTATAATCCCAGCACTTTGGGAGGCTGAGGCAGGCGGATCACAAGGTCAGGAGATCAAGAACATCCTGGCTAACAAGGTGAAACCCCGTCTCTACTAAAAAAAATTTTTAAAAAATTAGCCGGGAGTGGTGGCAGGCGCCTGTAGTCCCAGCTACTCGGGAGGCTGAGGCAGGAGAATGGTGTGAACTCGGGAGGCGGAGCTTGCAGTGAGCAGAGATAGCGCCACTGCACTCCAGCCTGGGTGACAGAGCGAGACTCCGTCTCAAAAAAAAAAAATTATCACCTCCAAAATATGTATTAGATATCTTATTCTCATCCCCTCAAAAGGTGGAACCTAATTCCCCTCCTCCTCTTGAATGTGAGTTGGACTTAGAGACTTGCTTCTAATGAAGAGTATAGGCCAAGCGCAGTGGCTCACGCTTATAATCCCAGCACTTTAGGAGTCCGAGGAGGGCAGATCACTTGAGGTCAGGAGTTCAGGACCAGGCTGGCCAACACGGCGAAACCCCGTCTCTACTAAAAACACAAAAGTTAGCTAAGCGTGGTGGCACATGCCTGTAGTCCCAGCTACTTGGGAGGCTGAGACAGGAGAACTGCTTGAACCTGGGAGGCAGAGGTTGCAGTGAGCCAAGATCGCACCACTGCACTCCAGCCTTGGTGACAGAGCGAGACTCTGTCTCAAAAACAAAAAACAAAAAACAAAAAACGGCCGGGTGCAGTGGCTCACACCTGTAATCCCAGCACTTTGGGAGGCCGAGGCAGGCAGATCACAAGGTCAAGAGATCGAGACCATCCTGGCCAACATGGTAAAACCATGTCTCTAAGAAAAATACAAAAATTAGCTGGTGTGGTGGCATGCGCCTGTAGTCCCAGCTACTCGGGAGGCTGAAGCAGGAGAATCGAGCCAGGATGGTCTCAATCTCCTGACCTCATGATCCACCGGCTTGGGCCCCCCAAAGTGCTGGAATTATAGGCGTGAGCCATTGTGCCAGGCCGCCCAGCTAATTTTTGTATTTTTAGTAAAGATGGGGTTTCACCATGTTGGCCAGGCTGGTCTTGAACTCCTTACCTCAGGTGATCCACCCGCCTCGGCCTCCCAAAGTTCTAGGATTACAGGTGTGAGCCACCGTGCCTGGCACTGAATTCCTTCCTTCCTTCCTTCCTTCCTTCCTTCCTTCCTTCCTTCCTTCCTTCCTTCCTTCCTTCCCTTCTTTTTTTTTCTTTTTTCTTTCTTTTTTTTTTTTTGAGACAGTCTCGCTCTGTTGGCCAGGCTGGAGTGCAGTGGTACAATCTCGGCTCACTGCAACCTCCGTCTCCCAGGCTCAAGCAATTCTCCTGCCTCAGCCTCCCGAGTAGCTGGGATTACAGGCGTGTGCAACCACGCCCAGCTAATTTTTGTATTTTTAGTAGAGACGAGGTTTCACCATGTTCTCCATGGTGGTCTTGAACTCCTGACCTCAGGTAATCTGCCCGCCTCGGCCTCCCAAAGTGCTGGGATTACGGGCATGAACCACCGCGCCCGGCCGGGAGCTCTTTGAGACAAACAAACAAAAAAACAAAAAAAACTGATAAATAGTTCACTGTTATTACATTCTTTTTATTTAAAAAACTATTTTGTTCTACTTATCTTTCACCAAATTTGTCTGGAAACCTGGTGCATGATTTTCTGCATTTGTAATTATTGGTTTTCATTTTTTTTTTTTTTGAGACAGAGTCTCACTCTGTCACCCAGGCTGGAGTGCAATGGCTCGTTCTCGGCTCACTGCAACCTCCACCTCCTGGGTTCAAGCAATTCTCCCACCTCGGCCTCCTGAGTAGCTGGGATTACAGGCACCCACCATCATGCCCGGCTAATTTTTTGTATTTTTGTAGAGATGGGGTTTCACCATGTTGGGCAGGCTGGTCTCGAACTCCTGACCTCAGGAGATCCACCTGCCTTGGCCTCCCAAAGTGCTGGGATTACAGGTGTGAGCCACCGCGCCCAGCCCAATTTTCAACCAAGATGGAATAATGGGGACAGAATTTGCCCTCCTGCCTGAAACAAACAAAAATCCAGATGAATAAAATGGAAAAACAAATCTCACGATAGTGGACATCAGATTAGCTGAGTGTGGTGGCTAATCTGGAAGCCTCAGCTATTTGGAAGGCTGAGGCGGTAGGATTGCTTGAGCCCAGGAGGTCAAGGCTGCAGTGACCCGTGATTGCGCCACTGCACTCCATCCTGGGTGAGAGTGAGACCCTGTCTCAAAAACAGAACAACAACAAAAAGATACTGGACATTAGACAATGAAGGAAAGTGATCCCTGAGAGATGGGAAACAAACAAGGTAAGCATGATGGTTGCCCAGCTTACTGCCTGGAGATGGAGAAGGCCAATTCAGGATGAACCTTGAAAATACGCTAAGTGAAATTTGCCAGACACAGGACAAATATTGATTCCACTTATATGTGGTATTTAGAATAGGCAAGTTACTAGAGGAAGAAAGTAGAATAGAGGTTACCAGGGCCTTGGGGATGGGGAAAATGGAGAGTTATTGCTTAATGGGTACAGAGTTTCTGTTTGGGATGATGAAAAAGTTCTGGAAATAGACAGTGGCGTTGGTTACACAACACTGTGAATGTACTTAATGCTCCTGAATTGTACACTTACAGATGGTTAAAACGATAAATTTTATGTCATGCACATTTTACCTCAATTTTAAAAAAGGATAAAGGAGAATATTACAAACAAATTTATGCCCATACTTCTCACAACAAATTCCTTGCAAGACACAAAATACCAATGCCCACTCAGGAAGAAATAGATAACTTGACTAGCCCTATATATATTAAATAAATTGAATTTGTAGTAAAACACATTCCCCTGAAGGAAATTCCAGGCCCAGATGGCTTCCTTGGGGAACTGTACCATATATATATAGAAGAAATAATATGAATTCTGCACAAACTCTTCCAGAAAATTTAAGAGGAGGGGATACTTTCCAACTCATTCTATGAAACTAGCATTACTCTGATACAAAACCACAGAAAGTCATTACAAGAAAAGAAAGCTATATGTAACTATCCTTCATGAACACAGATGCAAAAGTTCTTAACATTTTAGTAAATCTTGTTTTTTTGCTTTTTTTTTTCTTCTTCTTTTGGAGACAGAGGCTCACTCTGCTGCCCAGGCTGAAGTGCAGTGGCGCAAACTTGGCTCACTGCAACCTCTGCCTCCTGGGTTCAAGCGATTCTCCTGCCTCAGCCTCCCTAGTAGCTGGGATTGCAGGCATATGCCACCACGCCCAGCTAATTTTTGTATTTTTAGTAGAGACGGGGTTTCACCATGTTGGCCAGGCTGGTCTTGAACTCCTGATCTCAGATGATCCACCCGCCTCTACCTCCAAAAGTGCTAGGATTACAGGCGTAAGCCACGTGCCCAGCCCATTTTAGTAAATCAAATCCAACAATATATACAAAAGAAAATACATCAAGATGAATTTGAATTTATTCCAAGAATGCAAGAAAAACCATCTCAAGAGATGCAAAGAAAAGCGTTTGACAAAATCCACCATCCATTCCTGATTTAAAAAAAACTCTTGGCCGGGTGCAGTGGCTCACGCCTGTAATCCCTGCACTTTGGGAGGCCAAGGCGGGTGGATCACCTGAGGTTAGGAGTTTGAGACCAGCCTAGCCAACATGATGAAACCCCACCTCTACTAAAAATACAAAAAATTAGCTGGACGTGGTGGCGTGCACCTGTAATCCCAGCTATTCAGGAGGATGAGGCAGGAGGATCACTTGAACCCGGGAGGTGGAGGTTGCAGTGAGCCTAGATCGGACCACTGCACTCCAGCCTGGGCAAGAAGAGCAAAACTCTGTCTCAGAAAAAAAACCAAAAACCAAAAACCAAAAAAACCTCTCAGAAAACTAGAAATGAAAGAAGGTAATATCTCCTCCATATGATAAAGAGCAATTACAAATAACCTATAGTAATGTCAAACTCAATGGTGAAAGACTGCCTTTCCTCCTAACATAACATTACAAACAGGCCAACATGTCCTTTTTTTTTTTTTTTTTTTTTTTTTTGAGACGGAGTCTCACTCTGTGGTGGCCCAGACTGGAGTGCAATGGCGCGATCTCAGCTCTCTGCCTCCCAGGTTCAAGTGATTCTCCTGCCTCAGCCTCCCAAATAGCTGGCATTACAGGCGCCCGTCACCATGCCCGACTAATTTTTGTATTTTCTTAGTAGAGATGGGGTTTCACCATGTTGGCCAGGCTGGTCTCGAATTCCCGACCTCAGGTGATCCACCCATCTCAGCCTCCCAAAGTGCTGGGATAACAGGCGTGAGCCACCGTGCCTGGCTCTTTTTTTTCTTTTTTTTTTTTCTTTTTGAGACAGGGTCTGGCTCTTGGCTCACTGCAACCTCCGTCTTCTGGGCTCAAGCATTCCTCCCACCTAAGCCTCCTGAGTAGCTGGGACTTACAGGCGCACGCAACCATGCCTTGCTAATTTTTGTATATTTTGTAGAGATGAGGTTTCACCATGTTGCCCGGGCTGGTTTCTAACTCCTGGCCTCAAGTGATCCACCTGCCTCAGCCTCCCAAAGTGCTGGGATTACTGGCGCGAGCCACTGCACCCAGCTAATTGTATTTCTATAAACTAGCAGTGACCCATAGGAAATTGAAACCTTAAAATAACATGTATGGGCTGGGCATGGTGGCTCACGCCTGTAATCCCAGCATTTTGGGAGGCCCAGGCAGATGGATCACTTGGGGTCGGGAGTTTGAGACCAGCCTGGCCAACACAGTGAAACCCCCATTTCCACTAAAAATGCAAAAATTAGGCCAGGAGGGGTGGCTCACACCTGTAATCCTAACACTTCGGGAGGCCAAGGCAGGTGGATCACCAGAGGTCAGGAGTTCAAGACCAGCCTGGCCAACATGGTGAAACCCCATCTCGCTTGAACCCCGGAGGAAGAGGTTGCAGTAAGCCAAGATGGCGTCACTGCACTCCAGCCAAGGCAACAGAACAAAACTCCATCTCAAAAAAAAAAAAAAAAAAAGGCCAAGTGCAGTGGCTCATGCCTGTAATCCTAGCACTTTGGGAGGCTGAGGTGGATGGATCACGAGATCAGGAGTTGGAGACCAGCCTGGTCAATATGGTGAAACCCTGTCTCTACTAAAAATAAAAAATAACTAGCCCGGTATGGTGGTGTGTGCCTGTAGTCCCAGCTATTCAGGAGGCAGAGGTGAGAGAATCGCTTGAACCTGGGAGGCAGAGGTTTCAGTGAGCCGAGATTGTGCCGCTGCACTCTAGCCTGGGCAATAGAGGGAGACTCTGTCTCAAAAAACAAACAAACGAAAAATTAGCCAGGCGTGGGGGCATGAGCCTGTGGTCCCAGCTACTCAGGAGGCTGAGGCAGGAGAATCCCTTGAATGCGGGAGGCAGAGGCTGCAGTGAGCCGAGATGGTGCCACTGTACTCCAGCCTGGGTGAGAGAGTGAGACTCTGTCTCAAAAAATAAAAGAAAAAAAATAAAAAAAGAAAGAAAGAAATTAAATAATTCCCAAATGAATAGACACACCATGTTTATGAAGCAGGAGACTCAATATTATTAAGATACCAGTTCTCCTGACGTTGATCTATAGAATCAATGTAATCCCAGTCAAATCCCAGCGGATATTTTTGTAGAATTGACAACCTGATTCTTTTTTTTTTTTTTTTTTTTTGAGACGGAGTTTCGCTCTTGTTGCCCAGGCTGGAGTGCAATGGCGCAATCTTGGCTCACTGCAACCTCTGCCTCCCAGGTTCAAGCAATTCTCCTGCCTCAGCCTCCCGAGTAGCTGGGATTACAGGCATGCACCACCACGCCCAGCTAATTTTGTATTTTTAGTAGAGACGGGGTTTCTCCACGTTGAGGCTGGTCTCGAACTCCTGACCTCAAGTGATCCGCCTGCCTCGGCCTCCCAAAGTGCTGGGATTACAGGCGTGAGCCACCGCACCCGGCCGACAACCTGGTTCTAAAAGTCATATGGAAATGTAAAAAAACTAAAACAACTTTGAAAAACAAGAACAAATTTGGAGGACCTGCACTTCCTGACTTCATGACTTATTATAAAGCTACAATAATCAAAATATTGTGGTATCTGTGTCAAGACAGCCAATTATATCAATGAAAGAGAACAGAAACCCCAGAAATAGACCCACACATATATGTTCAATTGATTTTTGAAAAAAGTGCTAAGTGCAGAATGGATATTCTTTTCAACAAATAATGTTGGAACAATTGGATAGCCATGTGCCCTCAATTTCTTTTTTTCTTTTTCTTTTTCTTTTTTTTTTTTTTTTTTTGTGGAAATGGAGTCTCGCTCTGTCGCCCAGGCTGGAGTGCAGTGGTGTGACTTCTGCTCACTGCTACCTCCACCTACCGGGTTCAAGCAATTCTTGTGCCTCTGCCTCCTGAGTAGCTGGGACTGCAGTCGCATGCCACCACGCCCAGCTAATTTTTGTATTTTTAGTAGAGATGGGGTTTCGCCATGTTGGCCAGGCTAGTCTCCAACATCTGGCCTCAAGCAATCCACCCGCCTCGGCCTCCCAAAGTGCTGGTATTACAGGATCCCTGAAGTTTTAACACTCATTGCCTCATAGGGGAGAGGATTGACTGAGAACAGCTGGGAAAGAACTGGGGTGATGTAAACATTCTTTTTTTTTTTTTTTTTGAGACAGAGTCTAGCTCTGTCGCCCAGGCTGGAGTGCAGTGACGCGATCTCAGCTTACTGCAACCTCCACCTCCTGGGTTCAAGCGATTCTCCTGCCTCAGCCTCCCGAGTAGCTGGGATTACAGGCACCCGCCAGCACACCCAGCTAATTTTTGTATTTTTAGTAGAGACGGTGTTTCAGTGTGTTGCCCAGGCTAGTCTTGAATTCCAGACCTCGTAATCTGCCCGCCTTGGACTCCCAAAGTGCTGGGATTACAAGTGTGAGCCCCCGCGCCCTGCTGATGTAAACATTCTATATCATGATAGGGGTAGGAGCTACTTGAGTGTATTCTTTTTTTTTTTTTTTTTTTAGAGACGGAGTCTCACTCTGTCACCCAGGCTGGAGTGCAGTGGCGCGATCTCGGCTCACTGCAAGCTCTGCCTCCCAGGTTCACGCCATTCTCCTGCCTCAGCCTCCCAAGTAGCTGGGACTATGGGCAGCCGCCACCACGCCCGGCTAATGTTTTGTATTTTTTTTTAGTAGAGATGGGGTTTCACCATGTTAGCCAGGATGGTCTCGATCTGACCTCGTGATCCGCCAGCCTCGGCCTCCCAAAGTGCTGGGATTACAGACGCGAACCACCACACCCGGCCAAGTGTATTCTTTATCAGGCTGCTGTGAATTTTGATTTGTGAATTTTACCACATGTAAATTTTACCTCAAAAATGCCTGTAAACAGGCTGGGCGCGGTGGCTCACGCCTGTAATCCCAGCACTTTGGGAGGCCGAGGCGGGCGGATCACGAGGTCAGGAGATCGAGACCATCCTGGCCAACACGGTGAAACCCCGTCTCTACTAAAAAAAATACAAAAAATTAGCCGGGCGTGGTGGCAGGCGCCTGTAGTCCCAGCTACTCGGGAGGCTGAGGCAGGAGAATGGCGTGAACCCAGGAGGCGGAGCTTGCAGTGAGCCGAGATTGCGCCACTGCACTCCAGCCAGCCTAGGCGACAGAGCAAGACTCTGTCTCAAAAAAAAAAAAAAAAAGAAAAAAAAAAGAAAAATGCCTGTAAACAATGGGTTGGGTATGCTGGCTCCCACCTGCAATCTGGGCACTTTGGGAGGCTGAGACAGGAGGATTGCTTCAGGCCAGGAGTTGGAGACAACCCTGGGGAACATAGTAAGGTCCCTGTCTCTACTATATATATATGTGTGTGTATATATATGTATGTGTGTGTATATATATATATGTATGTGTATATATAGTGTGTGTATATATATATACATATCTATCTATCTATCTATATATTTTTTGAGAGTCTGGCTCTTGTTGCCCAGGCTGGAGTGCAATGACGCAATCTTGGCTCACTGCAACCTCTGCCTCCTGGCTTCAAGCGATTCTCCTGCCTCAGCCTCCTGAGTAGCTGGGATTACAGGCGCCCGCCACCATGCCCAGCTAATTTCTGTATTTTAAGTAGAGATGGGGTTTCACCACGTTGGCCAGGCTGGTCTCGAACTCTTGACCTCAGGTGATCTGCCCACCTCAGCCTCCCAAAGTGCTGGGATTAAGGTGTGAGCCACCATGCCCGGCCTACAAATTTTTTTTTTTTTTGAGATGGAGTCTCACTCTGTCGCCCAGGCTGTAGTGCAGTGGTGCGATCTCGGCTCACTGCAACCTCCACCTCCCAGGTTCAAGCGATTCTCTTGCTTCAGCCTCCCAAGTAGCTGGGACTACAGGCACGTGCCACCAATCCCAGCTAATTTTTTGTGTTTTTAGTAGAGACGGGGTTTCACCGTGTTGGCCAGGATGGTCTCGATCTCCTGACCTCGTGATCCGCCCGCCTTGGCCTCCCAAAGTGCTGGGATTACAGGCGTGCGCCACCGCCCCCGGCCACAAAAAAATATTTTTTTTAAAATTAGCCAGGCGTGGTGGCATGTACCTGTAGTCCCCACTACATAAGAGGCTGAGGTGGGAGGATCGCTTGAGCCCAAGAGTTTGAGGCTGCGGTCAGCTGTGATCACACCACTGCACTCCAGCCTGGGTGACAAAGTGAGACCCTGTCTTAAAGAAAAAAAAAAAAAAGGTCTGGGAGGCTGAAGTATGAGAATTGCTTGAACCCAGGAGGTGGAAGTTGCAGTGAGCTGAGATCGTTCCACACTGCACTCCACCCTGGGTGACAGAGCAAGACGCTGTCTCTAAAAAAAATATATATATATATCTGTAAACAAATATTGTACTCTGGTAAGTAGATTTGCTTTTGTAGTGGTGTGGGTTAGGCAATTCTGAAAATTCCTTTGTGTAATCTAGGTTTGAGGAAACAAGTAATTAGGAATAATGGGAGTTAGATTACTTACTAAAAGAGTGACAAATATGGATGGGGAAAACAAAAGTTTACCCTGAAGTGTTGAATTGGAATTGGAGGTATCAGGATGATCTCATGGTTTTATATATAGACAGAGAAAGAGAGTTATGTTATAAAGAGAACTAGTGTGCATGTCTGTGTATGTGTCCCCTGTCTGTTCACTGAGAGGGCCTACAAACAGATATATCTCTAGCAATGAGCAATAAGCGCATCTAGGGTACAGATTTGGTTTCATTTTCATTTTTCTATTTTTCTTCTTTTTTTTTTTTTTTGAGATGAAGTCTCGCTCTGTCACCCAGGCTGGAGTGCAGTGGTGCGATCCCAGCTCACTGCAATCTCTGTCCCCCAGATTCAAGCAATTCTTGTGTCTCAGCGTCCCGAGCAGCTGGGACTACAGGTGTGTGCCACCGAGCCCGACTAATTTTTGTATCTTTAGTAGAGAGGGGGTTTCACCACGTTGCCCTGGCTGGTCTCAAACTCCTGGTCTCAAGTGATCCACCCACCTCGGCCTCCCAAAGTGTTGGGATTACAGGTGTGAGCCACCGCGCCCAGCCGGTTTTTCCATTTTAAATTATGTCTTGAAATAATTTCGGATTAATAGAATAGTTGCAGCTGGCCCGGTGGCTCATGCCTGTAATTCTAGCACTTTGGGAGGCTGAGGCAGGCTGATTGCTTGAGCTCAGGAGTTCAAGACCAGCCTAGGCAATATGGCAAAAACCATCTCTACAAAACATACAAAAATTAGTTGGGTGTGGTGGTGGGCGCATCTACAAAACATACAAAAATTAGTTGGGCCTGGTGGTAGGTGCCTGTGGTCCCAGTTACTCAGGAGGCTGAGGTGGGAGGATCACTTGAGCCCAGGAGGTCAAGGCTGTAATGAGCCGTGTTCATGCAACTACACTCTAGCCTGGGAGACTAGAGTTGAGACACTATCTCGAAAAGGCTGAAAGGCTGGATGCAGTGGCTCATGGCTGTAATCCCAGCACTTGGGAGACCGAGGCAGGTGGATCACCTGAGGTCGGGAGTTCAAGACCAGCCTGGCCAACGTGACAAAACCTCATCTCTACTAAAAATAAAAAAAAAAAATTTTAAATTAGCCAGGCTTGGTGGCAGGCACCTGTAATCCCAACTACTAGGGAGGCTGAGGTAGGAGAATCACTTGAACCCGGGAGGTGGAGGTTGCAGTGAGCTGAGATCACGCTATTGCACTCCATCCTGGGTGACAAGAGCAAAACTCCATCTCAAAAAAAAAAATAGCCAGGTGTGGTGGCGCATGTCTGTAATCCAGCTACTTGGGAGGCTGAGGCAGGAGAATAGTTTGAACTGGGGAGGTGGAGGTTGCAGTGAGAAGAGATCGCACCATTGCACTCCAGCCTGGGCAATGAGAGCCAAACTCCATCTCAAAAATAAATAAATTAATGAAAAGTCTGGGCACAGTGGATCACGCTTGTAATCCAAGCACTTTCGGAGGCTGAGGCAGGTGGATCACCTGAGGTCAGGAGTTGGAGACCAGCCTGACCAACATGGTGAAACCCCATCTCTACTAAAAATACAAAAATTAGCCAGGCATGATGGTGCATGCCTGTAATCCCAGCTATTTGGGAGGCTGAGGCAGGAGAATTGCTTGAACCCGGGAGGCAGAAGTGGCAGTGAGCTGAGATCTCGCCACTGTACTCCAGACTGGGCAATATGAGCAAAACTCTGTCTCAAAAAAAAAAAAAAAAAAAAAAAAGTTGGCTGGGCCTGGTGGCTCATGCCTGTAATCCCAGCACTTTGGGAGGCTGAGGTAGGCAGATCACTTGAGGTCAGGAGTTTGACACCATCGCCTGGCCAACATTGTGAAACCCCATCTCTATTTAAAATACGATAATTAAAACCCCATTGTCTCAGCCGAAAATCTCCTTAAGCTGATAAGCAACTTCAGCAAAGTCTCAGGATACAAAATCAATGTACAAAAATCACAAGCATTCTTATACACCAATAACAGACAGAGAGCCAAATCATGAGTGAACTCCCATTCACAATTGCTTCAAAGAGAATAAAATACTTAGGAATCCAACTTACAAGGGACGTGAAGGACCTCTTCAAGGAGAACTACAAACCACTGCTCAATGAAATAAAAGAGGATACAAAGAAATGGAAGAACATTCCATGCTCATGGGTAGGAAGAATCAATATTGTGAAAATGGCCATACTGCCCAAGGTAATTTATAGATTCAATGCCATCCCCATCAAGCTACCAATGACTTTCTTCACAGAATTGGAAAAAACTACTTTAAAGTTCATATGGAACCAAAAAAGAGCCTGCATTGTCAAGTCAATCCTAAGCCAAAAGAACAAAGCTGGAGGCATCATGCTACCTGACTTCAAACTATACTACAAGGCTACAGTAACCAAAACAGCATGGTACTGGTACCAAAACAGAGATATAGATCAATGGAACAGAACAGAGCCCTCAGAAATTACGCCACATATCTACAACTATCTGACCTTTGACAAATCTGAGAAAAACAAGCAATGGGGAAAGGATTCCCTATTTAATAAATGGTGCTGGGAAAACTGGCTAGCCATATGTAGAAAGCTGAAACTGGATCCCTTCCTTATACCTTATACAATAATTAATTCAAGATGGATTAAAGACTTAAACGTTAGACCTAAAACCATAAAAACCCTAGAAGAAAACCTAGGCATTACCATTCAGGACATAGGCATGGGCAAGGGCTTCATGTCTAAAACACCAAAAGCAATGGCAACAAAAGCCAAAATTGACAAATGGGATCTAATTAGACTAAAGAGCTTCTGCACAGCAAAAGAAACTACCATCAGAGTGAACAGGCAACCTACAAAATGGGAGAAAATTTTCGCAACCTACTCATCTGATAAAGGGCTAATATCCAGAATCTATAATGAACTCAAACAAATTTAGAAGAAAAAAACAAACAACCCCATTAAAAAGTGGGCAAAGGATATGAACAGACACTTCTCAAAAGAAGACATTTATGCAGCCAAAAGACACATGAAAAAATGCTCATCATCACTGGCCATCAGAGAAATGCAAACCAAAACCACAGTGAGATACCATCTCACATCAGTTAGAATGGCAATCATTAAAAAGTCAGGAAACAACAGGTGCTGGAGAGGATGTGGAGAAATAGGAACACTTTTACACTGTTGGTGGGACTGTAAACTAGTTCAACCATTGTGGAAGTCAGTGTGGCGATTCCTCAGGGATCTAGAACCAGAAATACCATTTGACCCAGCCATCCCATTACTGGGTATATACCCAAAGGACTATAAATCATGCTGCTATGAAGACACATGCACATGTATGTTTATTGCATCAGTATTCACAATAGCAAAGACTTGGAACCAACCCAAATGTCCAACAATGATAGACTGGATTAAGAAAATGTGGCACATATACACCATGGAATACTATGCAGCCATAAAAAATGATGAGTTCATGTCCTTTGTAGGGACATGGATGAAATTGGAAATCATCATTCTCAGTAAACTATCGCAAGGACAAAAAACCAAACACTGCATGTTCTCACTTATAGATGGGAATTGAACAATGAGAACACATGGACACAGGAAGGGGAACATCACACTCTGGGGACTGTTGTGGGGTGGGGGGAGGGGGGAGGGATAGCATTAGGAGATATACCTAATGCTAAATGACGAGTTAATGGGTGCAGCACACCAGCATGGCACATGTATACGTATGTAACTAACCGGCACATTGTGCACATGTACCCTAAAACTTAAAGTATAATAATAATAAAAAATAAATAAATAAATAAAATATAATAATTAGCCCATCGTGGTGGCGCCCACCTGTAATGCCAGCTACTCAGGAGACTGATGAAGGAGAATTGTTTGAACCCAGGAGGCGGAGGTTCCAGTGAGCTGAGGTTGCACCACTGCACTCCAGCCTGGATGACAGAGTGAGACCCTGTCTCAAAAAAAAAAAAAAAAAAAAAAAAAAAAAGGACACAGGTGGGATCCAGGAAATCCATGCACAGGCTTCTTTATGCTCTGTACCTCCCTTGAGCAACAGACTGAAATCCAGAGGACCAGGCACAGGCTTCCAAGAGTCGCCCTGTGGAGTCATACAAGACTCAATTTCTCCAGCAATGAGTTGTGACAACATGTGCAAAGTGTTGTCTACTGGGGAAGCTCATTAGAGACTCAGTGGCCAAGGCTTTTTAGTGGGGACTGGTCACATAGGTACTCTCTACCTAGCACATATCAGAATCCTAGACTCTGAGGGAATGCAGGTGTTCCGCATAAACCACATAGTTTCTACAAACAGTTTAGGCACAATAAACCACTCTTGTTTTTTGTTTTTTTGTTTTTTTTTGTTTTGTTTTTTGAGACAGAGTCTCGCTCTGTCGCCCAGGCTGGAGTAGAGTGGCATAATCTCTGCTGACTGCAACGTCCTCCTCCTGGGTTCAAGCAATTGTCCTACCTCGGCTTCCCCAGTAGCTGGGATTACAGGACACTGCAACGATGCCCAGCTAATTTTTGTATTTTTAGTAGATACAGGGTTTCACCATGTTGGTCAGGCTGGTCTCAAACCCCTGACCTCAAGTGATCCACCCGCCTCGGCCTCCCAAAGTGCTGGGATTACAGGCATGAGCGACTGTGCCCAGCCACAATGAACAACTCGTATCAGTGTAGCAAACTGTTTACTAGCCAAATTGGCAGATGCTAGTCAAGGGCTAACCTTGCAATCAGATCTTTCTAAGGATAATAGTCTCAGTCTCTTCTGTACAAAGACATTTAAGAGAAAGTCGTTCTCCAAAGACATTTAAGAGAAAGTCATTCTCTTTTTTTTTTTATTTGAGTCAAAGTCTCGCTCTGCCACCCAGGCTGGAGTGCAGTGTCGCGATCTTGGCTCACTACAACCTCCGCCTCCTGGGTTCATGCAATTCTCCTGCCTCAGCCTCCCAAGTAGCTGGGATTACAGGCGCCTGCCACCACGCCCGGCTAAATTTTGTATTTTTGGTAGAGACAGGTTTCGCCATGTTGGCCAGGCTGGTCTCAAACTCCTGACTGCAAGTGATCTTTGTTTTTTATGATGTTGATGTCTTGATGAGTTCTTTAGTTGGGGTTTGCCTAATAGCTTCTCATGATTCGATTCAGATTATGAATTTTTGGCAGAAATACCACAGAGGTGACTTGTGTCTTTCTCAGTGCATTACGTCGGAAAGCACATAATACCAATTTGTCCCTGTCCTGGTGACGCTAAAGGTGACTTGGTTAAGGTAGTGTTCTCCATTATAAAGTTACCCTAATCCTTGTTATAATTAAAAAGTAAGCCTGGGCAACATAGTGAGATCTCGTCTCTACAAAAAATTTAAAAATTAGCCCTCTGGGCCGGGTGTGGTGGCTCACGCCTGTAATTCCAGCACTTTGGGAGGCCGAGGCGGGGTGATCACCTGAGGTCAGGTCAGGGTTCAAGACCAGCCTGACAAACATAGTGAAACTCCGTCTCTACTCAAAATAGAAAAAATTAGCTGGGCATGGTGGCAGGCGCCTGTAATCACAGCTACTCAGGAGGCTGAGGCAGGAGAATCGCTTGAACCCACCACACCTGGCTAATTTTTGTATTTTTAGTAGAGACCGGGTTTCACCACGTTGGTCAGGCTGGTCTTGAACCCCTGACCTCAGGTGATCTGCCTGCCTTGGCCTCCCAAAGCGCTGGGATTACAGGCGTGAGCCACAGCACCCAGCCTTTTTTTTTTTTTTTTTTTTTTTTTTAATAGAGAGTCTTGCTCTGTCGCCCAGGCTGGAGTGCAGTGGCCCGACCTCGGCTCACTGCAACCTCTGCCTTCCAGGTTCAAGCGATTCTCCTTCTTCAGCCTTCCGAGTAGCTGAGATTACAGGTGCCCGCCATCATGCCCGGCTAATTTTTGTATTTTTAATAGAGACGGGGTTTCACCATGTTGGCCCGGCTGGTCTCGAACTTCTGACCTCAATTGATCCACCTGCCTCGGCCTCCCAAACCGCTGGGATTACAGGCGTGAGCCACTGCGCCTGGCCAATGATGCTTGCCTAAAACAATTATTACAGTAGTAGTTGCCAAATAGTTATTTTCTAATTCCATCATTCCTTGTACATTTATTAGTTGGCATTCCTCTGTGAGGAAGAGTTTTCCCTTCGCCTCCATTTATTTATTTAGATCACTTTGGACTCTTGTATTCTTTTTTAATTCAAATTCTTTCAATGTGTGGTTAAAACAAGATGTTCCAGGCTAATCTTGTACTTTCCTTGCCCCAGCCCTGCAATCAGCTATTTCTCTAAGGGGCCCTGGTTCCTGTTAGTGGAAAATGGTAATTAGGCAAGAGAAATCAATTACAGCCAGTGTGACTGATTGGAAAAGAATAAAGATATCCCTATTTTCAGATGATATGATTTTGTACCTGGTAAACCCTAGAGAATCAATGATAAAACACTCTAACAATAAAAGTATTCAGTAAAATGGAAGGATATAAAATTAACATAGAGAAATCAATGGCTTTTGTATATATCAACAATAACCAGTGAGAGGATATAAAGACGCATAGTGGCTCACATGTGTAGTCCCAGCTACTTGGGAAGTTGAAATGGGAGGATGGCTTGAGCCCAGGAGTTCACGGCTGTAGTGTGCCATGATCATGCCTATAAATAGCCAGTGCAGTCCAGCTGGGGCAACATAGTGAGATCCTGTCTCTACCGAAAAAAAAAAAAGAGATACAATGATAGAGAAAACCTCATTTACAATAGCATCCATAGCATCAAAGAAAATAATTAGGAAGAAATCTAACAAGAAATGTGAAAAAAATCTATGTGTGGAACACTTTAAAATGCTTCTGTCAAAACCCATTGATCTTTACGATATAAAAAAAGTTTGTTAATGTATGCAAAATTTTAAAAAAAGCAACCAGGAGGTCAGGGAATCCAGTATGGAATGGAGACTGTGACAACATAATTTATATATTACAAATGTAGGCAAGGGCCGGGCACGGTGGCTCACGCCTGTAATCCCAGCACTTTGGGAGGCTGAGGTGGGCAGATCCCTTGCAGCCAGGAGTTTGAGACCAACCTGGCCAACATGGTGAAACCTGTCTCACCAAAAATACAAAAATTAGACGGGCATGGTGTCACGTGCCCATAATCCCAGCAACTTGGGAGGCTGAGGTAGGAGAATCGCTAGAACCTGGGAGGCAGAGGTTGCAGTAAGCCAAGATCGGGCCACTGAACTCCAGAGCGAGACTTCATCTCAAAAAATCACACACATACAAAAAAAAACCAAAAGTAGGCCTAGTGTGGTGGCTCACCCCTGAAATCTTAGCACTTTGGAAGGCAGATGTGGGTGGATCACTTGAGCCCAGGAGTTTGAGACCAGCCTGGGCAACATAGTAAGACTTGGTTTCTACAAAAAATTAAAAAAAAATTAGCTGGGCATGGTAGCCTGTGCCTGTAGTCCCAGCTACTTGGGAGGCTGAGGTAGGAGGACTGGTTGAGCCCAGAAGGTCGAGGCTGAAGTGAGCCGAGATTGCACCACTGCACTCCAGTCTGGATGACAGAGCGAGACCCTGTCTCAAAAAAAAAAAAAAAAAGAAAAAGAAAAGGAAAAGGCCGTGTGTGGTAGCTTAGCTCACGTCTTTAATCCCAGCACTTTGGGAGGCCGAGGCGGGTGGATCACCTGAGGTCAGGAGATCGAGACCAGGCTGGCCAACATGGTGAAACCCCATTTCTACTAAAAATACAAACGTGGTGGTGGGTGCCTGTAATCCCAACTACTCGTGAGGCTGAGGCAGGAGAATCGCTTGAACCCGGGAGGCAGAGGTTGTGGTGAGCCAAGATCACGCCATTGCACTCCAGCCTGGGCGACAAGAGCAAAACTCCGTACACCCTCACCCAAAAAAGTTGTTAATATTCCTAATATGCAAAGAGGCCAGGTGCGGTTGTGCACACCTGTAACCCCAGCACTTTGAGAGGCAGAGGCGGGAGGATAACTTGAGGTCAGGAGTTTGAGACCAACCTGGCCAACATGGTGAAACCCCGTCTCTACTAAAAATACAAAAATTAGCTGGGCATGATGGTGGGTGCCTGTAGTCCCAACTACTTGGGAGGCTGAGGCAGGAGAATCTCTTGAACCCGGGAGGCAGAGATTGCAGTGAGCCGAGATTGCACCACTGCACTCCAACCTGGGCAACAGAGGGAGACTCTGTCTCAAAAGAAAAATAATAATTAAATTAAAAAAATAAAATAAGAACAGATATTAAAATGATTCTTGGTGGCATATGTCTGTAGTCCCAGCTACTTGGGGGGCTGAGGTGGGAGAATTGCTTGAGCCCAGGAAGTCAAGGCAGCAGTGAGCCCTGATTGTGCCACTACACTCCTGCGTGGGCGGTAGAGCAAGACCCTGTCTCAAAATAAAATAAAATGAAATAAAATAAGTTCGGGCACGGTGGCTCATGCCTGTAATCCCAGCACTTTGGGAGGCCGAGGCAGGTGGATCGCCTGAGGTCAGGAGTTCAAGACCAGCCTGACCAATGTGGTAAAACCCTGTCTCTACTAAAAATACAAAAATTAGTCGGGCATGGTGGCAGGCGCCTGTAATCCCACCTACTTGGGAGGCTGAGGCAGGAGAATTGCTTGAACCTGGGAGGCGGAGGTTGCAGTGAGCTGAGATCGCGCCAATGCACTCCAGCCTGGGCAACAAGAGTGAAACTCCGTCTCAAAAAAACAAATAAATAAAAATTAAAAATAAAATAAACATAGGACAAGGTGGTGAATCTCACTCATAATAAGAGAAACACAAATTAAAACTACACTAAGAGAATGGATAAACAAATTGTGGTATAGTCATACTATGGATTTTGTTTTGTTTTGTTTTGTTTTTGAGACAGAGTTTTCCCCTCTATCGCTAAGGCTGGAGTGCAGTGGCACGATCTCGGCTCACTGCACCCTCCACCTCTTGGGTTCAAGCGATTCTCATGCCTCAGCCTCCTGAGTAGCTGTGATTACAGGCGTGTACCATCACTCCTAGCTTATTTTTGTATTTTTAGTACAGATGTGGTTTCACCATGCTGGCTGGGCTGGTCTTGCACTCCTGACCTCAGGTGATACACCTGCCTCGGCCTCCCAAAGTGCTGGGATTACAGGCGTGAGCCACTGAGCCCGCCCGGCCCATACTATGGAATTTTACTAGTCAATAAAAAGAAAAAAAGATACTTATACACGAAACAACTTGGATGAATCTCAAAAGGATTATGATGAGTGAAAGAAGCCAGACAGAAAAGGATACATCCTGTCTCATTCTATTTGCATGAAACTCTGCAAGAGAAATGTAATCCAGTAACAGGAAGCCAATCATTGGTTACCTGGGATAGGGGGTGGGGTTTGGGATAGGATACAAAGAAATCAATGTTCCCTATCTTGCTTGTGATGGTGGTTACAAGGTTGTATACATTAGACAAAGCTCACTAAATTGTACCCTTAAAATGGGTGCATTTATGTATATAGACAGATCAATAGCGTTATCTTTCAATAAAGTCAATTAAATCAAGAAAGAAATCAAAGAGTCCTGGCTGGCAATACTTTTCTTTTTCTTTCTTTTCTTGGAGACAGAGTCTCGCTCTATCCCCCAGGCTGGAGTGTAGTGGTGCGATCTCGGCTCACCGCAACCTCTGCCTGGCGGGTTCAAGCGATTCTCGTGCCTCAGCCTTCCGAGTAGCTGGGATTACAGGCGCCCACCACCACACCCGGCCAATTTTTGTGTTTTTAGTAGAGATGGGGTTTCACCATGTTGGCCAGGTTAGTCTCGAACTCCTGACCGCAAGTGAACAGCCCTCCTTGGCCTCCCAAAGTGCTGGGATTACAGGCGTGAGCCACCGCGCCCGGCCCTGCTGGAAATATTTTTCCACAGCAGGGAAATCATTAAATTCTACGAAAATAAGAAGGCTGGGCGCGGTGGCTCACGCCTTAATCCCAGCACTCTGGGAGGCCGAGGCGGGCGGACTACCTGAGGTCGGGAGTTCGAGACCGGCCTGACCAATATGGAGAAACCCCGTCTCTACTAAAAAAAAAAAAAAAAATTACCCGGACGAGGTGGCGGGCGCCTGTAATCCCAGCTACTCGGGAGGCTGAGGCAGGAGAATCGCTTGAACTCGCCAAGCGGAGGTTGCTGTGATCGGATATCGTGCCACTGCACTCCAGCCTGGGCAACAAAAGTGAAACTCCGTCTCAAAAAAGAAAAACAACAACAACAACAACAACAAAAACAGAAAGAAAAAAGAAAATAAGAAAAAAACTACACTGAGATACCATTTCTTACTCTCAGATCGGTGAGGGTTATAGTGAATTCTAATACTTGAATGAGCCTGGTGTTTCACCACCCTGGTTTGTTTTTTGTTTTTGTTTTGTTTTAATGTAGCTTTTTCGTTTGATTCACTGTCACTCTTTCCACTCTGCTATTTTTATTGGTGGCTAAGTCCTTTACCTAACGTGACATGCAGTATCATGATAACAAAATAAGTGTCAAACCTTAAAAAAAAAAAAAAAAAAAAAGGCCAAAGGCTTTACAAGAGGTGGGATTCCCCTTTGGGGTCTCCCGGAGGAGGGGCGGGAACAAGACCAGAGCGAAGCTTCCGCTTTCATTTCTATGGTTATTAAGTTACCCATTCTCATTAAAGGAATACCGCGGAAGGGTGATTTTCTGTCGGCAAAGACTTCCCTAGCGACGAGTCCACCCATGAAACGGGGATGTAATAATGTCGTATCACAATGGGTGGCCTAGAAGAGTCCAAAAGCCAATCAGATGACTTACATTCGGGTAGAACGTTGTATTACAGTTCACCTGACTCGTCGGTTTCGTTCTCTTCTCTGCGTCTCCAAAATGCTGCCCTTCGGAATTAGGTTCTACCCCCTCCATTCCTGGCCAGTGGTTTGGTCCGACCTTAATACTGCCAGGAGGCGCGAGCTGCGTCTGCGCAGAAAGCTGGCGGGGGGGTGGGGGGAGGAACATGGCGCAAGCTCTGTCTGAGGAGGAGTTTCAGCGGATGCAGGTGCCGCTCGCGGTGGGAAAGACCACCCGGCTAGGCGACCGGGGGCGGGGTAGCGAGAGGTCGTGCTATCAGCTCTGAGAAGGGGTTGGTTGGGATGGACCCTGAGTTTATGGGGTGGGTCTGGAGAAGGGAAACTGAGGCTCGGAGTGGTGAGACTATTGGATTCCGAGATACTCTGCGGCTTTGAAGGTTGGACTCTGTTAGCATTGTGGGCTGGGAGAGCGCCATTAAGTAGGCGGTACCTTACTCAGACCTGGAGGGGACGAGACTTTTGGGCCCGTGCAGGGGACACCGTCGGCGGGTGATGATAATGGGCTTTGAGGGAAGGAGATCCTGAGAAGGCGAAACCATTTTGTCTGGAGAGGAAGGAAGCGGGTGTTGGGTCGTTTGCGTCATGGTGGTGGGAGCCCTTGAGAGGGCAGAACCATTAGCGGGTGGGAGGTGGTAAGTTTTGGGGGAGATACCACTGTGCCCGGGGATTGGGGAAAGACCCCAGATGTTGTCATTGTTCCTGGGAGGTGGAGATCCTGTGCCATTGGTGGTTGGTAGTGCATCCTAAGAGGGGGCGGCACCATTGGATGATTAAGGGTGATCCCATTAGGCCTGGGGTGAAGAAGGCCATGAATGGGTAATACCATTAATCCCATTAACTGGGGGGAGGACCAGAGGGGTAAAAGATTGATACCTTGGACTACAAGGAGGGAAGATCACTGGGCTTTGGGGAGGTACCCCCACTTGATTCTTTTGGGGGGACTCTGAGATGCAATGAAAGGCCATAGCATTGCACTATGAATGGGCCCTTGTTGAGAGGGTTCCTCACTGGGGGGGGGGTCTGAACAGGGTCCTGCATGGGGAGGGGAGGAACTCTGAGGGAGGACAGGTAATCCAATTGGTCCTTGAATGAGGGAAACCAGCTGTCCCTGTGTGAGGGACACTGAGAATGGAAGGGCGAGTTGATTAACCCATGAATGGGGAAGACCACTGTCATCTGAAAGGGATTCTAAGTGAGTAAGAGTCATCCAACTGGCCTACCCAAGGCCTTGTAGAGGCCTACCCTGAAGGGTGTAGGGCCATTCCCAATGGATCATGACTGGGGAGATCTTGAGGGGAGTGGGAATACCCTTGAATGAGGAACATTGATCCCACTGGGCCATGAATGAGGGAGAACTACTGGGCTTTGTTGGGGGGCAAGTCTCGGGGGGTACAAAGGATATTCCACTTGGACCAGTACTTGGAGAGACAGATCACTGGGTCCTGGAGAGGACAGGAGTAGGAAAGATTCTGTGAAGGCCAAGCCCTCTGACCTTGAGCAGACTACCAGAGAACAGTGAGTGGAGGCTGGTGGCGTGGGAGGGAGGGAAAAGTCCTGGTAGGGGAAGGAACAGTAAGTTCCTTAATGGGAAGGAACCGGCCTTGCTGGGTAGAACCAGCCTCAGGGTCCTATAGGGCTGGTAGGGAGGAGGATGCTTAATTCTTTTTCTTTTTCTTTTTTTTTGAGACAGAGTCTTTCTCTGTCACCCAGGCTATAGTGTGCAGTGGCACGATCTCAGCTCACTGCAACCTCCACCTCCCGGGTTCAAGTGATTCTCCTATCTCAGCTTCCCTAGTAGCTGGGATTACAGGTGCGTACCACCACGCCCAGCTAATTTTTGTATTTTTAGTAGAGATGAGGTTTCACCATGTTGGCCAGGCTGGTCTTGAACTCCTGACCTCAAGTGATCTGCCCACTTTGGCCTCCGAAAGTGTTTGGATTACAGGTGTCAGCCACTGCGCCTGGCACTTTCCCTTAATTCTTTTTTTTTTTTTTTTTTTTTTTTTTTTTTGAGACAGAGTCTCACTCTGTCACCCAGGCTGGAGTGCAGTGGCACAATCTCGGCTCACTGCAACCTCCACCTCCCAGGTTCAAGCGATTCTCCTGCCTCAGCCTCCCGAGTAGCTGGGACTACAGGTGTGCGCCACCACACCCGGCTAATTTTTTATATTTTTAGTGGAGACGGGGTTTCACCATATTGGGCAGGCTGATTTTGAATTCCTTACCTCGTGACCCACCCGCCTTGGCCTCCCAAAGTGCTGGGATGACAGGTGTGAGCCACCGCACCTGGTCCTCCCTTAATTATTGAAGGGGGCCTGGATGTATTTTGAGAGCCTTGGAGGTGGGGGGACCCTGGAAAGCCCCCTGACTCAATGAAAGTTGGGCAGAATACTTGACCCTTTTCCCTTAGGAAAGAGGGAGGAAGACAGGCCCTTAACCCCCTGCCATCAGAGGCCCCCAGGTCTGGTCAGAAATATGGACAACACCCCTGACAGTGTGTGTTCAGTGTGTGGAGAGGTCAGCCAGGATGAGGAGGAGGAACTTTATCCTGTGGGCATGGAGAGCCAGGGAACTCACACAAGCAAGACCCTGACTGGGGGCAGTGCTCTGGGATGGCCTGAGTGCAGCGTGGATTGTAGTGTGAGATGGAGGGGTGAGGCTGGCTGGGGTTATAAGTGGAGCTGGAAAAGGTGAGCCAGGGTCTGAGGGCCTGGAAGGTCACTTTGGGTGTAGCACATACAGGTCTTAAGGAGTAGCTACAGAGGCACATGGAGGGCGTAAGGTCTGTGGAGCTTAGGGGCTTGGTTCCCTCATGGTAGGGGTAGGGGCGCTTTCCTGACCAAGTCTTTTCCCTTCCTGCCTCCCCCAAAGGCTCAGCTCCTGGAACTCCGGACAAACAACTACCAGCTTTCAGATGAACTACGCAAGAATGGTGTTGGTGAGCCAGGAGGGCCTTATTAGATGGGGGTGGCTTTGGGGAATGGTGTCCGAGGTTTTCCCTCAGAGGCCTGGCAGGAAGGCCTTTCAGTTTCTTGCCACTGGCTGAGGCTGAGTTTCCCTGCTTTCCCGACACCAGAACTCACCAGTCTTCGACAGAAGGTCGCCTACTTGGATAAGGAGTTCAGCAAAGCTCAGAAGGTACCTCCCTCCACCCACCCATCCACCTACCCATCCACCCTTGCTTCTACCTATCTGACTCATTCATCCCTCCAGTGAGCACCTACAGTGAACCAGACCTAATGTTGCATGCTGTTTTCACGTAGTCATTTAAAGGATTCTCAATGGAATTCTCTTTAGTTGCTAATTTTACCTAATCCTGCTTAATTTAGTGATTAATTTTAATTTACTTTTAATTCATTTCTAATTTCAGTTACTCATTCTCATTCACTGACTTTTAATTAAATATTCAAATCTATCAGTAAATCTACCTCGAATCTGCCTCCCATCCTCTACTCACACTCCTGCCTTGTGCTCCTACTTCCCATCTCTGTCCTGGTCCAGTTGGGAAAATGAGAGCAAACCCACCTCTCAGATCCTCTAAAGATGAGATAGGATATAACCTATTGTGGCCCCTCAAGACATTCGAGGTGCTCCTTTGTCACTGCTCTGTCCCCATATCTAGCCATACCTAGCACAATGTTAATACATAATATGTGCTCAATAAATATTTGTTGGATGAACGAATACAGTATGCAGAAAATCCGACAGTCAGGAAGCTGCACTTCTCTTTGGTAGGATGCTGATTCCCCTAAGCTGGCAATGCTCTTGGCTGCCCAGTAGGGGAGCGACAGTTTCCACACTGCGTGGGAGGGACCCACAGAGACATGTATGGACAGATGTAGCAATGAAGCCACAGTTTCTGAGTCTGGAGATCCAGCCCATAAATGGTTAAATACCAGGGCATCTCCCTACCTCCCCTGTCCCCCCACCAGCCTCAAGAGCTTCCAAGAAAGGATGATTTATGTGTGCTGGGGCCCCAGGGCAAGACTTGCATTCATTCACTCACTCACACACTCATTCCATCATTCCTTTGGGCTCCAAATTGTCACACATGTTCTGTGGTTGAAGATGCTCCCATCCTGCAACCCCTGTCATCCTTGTCCTCCCAAAACGCTTGGCACAATTGTCTCCATATCCTAGTAAGGCAGTCCATCTCTGTTCACTTTAGCTCTCTTCCCACCCACCCCCACTTTAGGCACTGAGCAAGAGCAAGAAAGCTCAGGTAAGGGGATCCCTTGTGGGTGAGTGTGACTGGGAGATGTCTTGGTGGGCTATTTCTGTATGCTGATATTTCCTTGTACTGGCCTTTCTTTCTTTGTGTGCCTTTACATCTGCTACTACCTCACTGCCATGTGTTGCTGTATCTGTCCTTGTTTCCCTGTATTTGTCCTAACTCTGTGTCTCTTTCCTTCTCTCTCTTTCCATTCTTTTCTCTGAGTCTCTTTCTGTCTCTGTCTGTTTTCCTGTTCCTGTCTCTCTGACTCATTTCTCTTCCCAATCTTCTCTTTGTCTCTCCCCCTCCTGTTCCTGTCTCGGTGATTTCTCTTTTTTCTGCTTTCTCTCTCTAACTCCTTGTTTCTTCCACCCCATTCCTCTCTCTTCCTAACTCATTTCTTTTCCTGACCCCTCCTCTTCTCCCTGTTCTGTTCTCTCCCTGTTGATTTCTGTTTGTTCTTCTCTCCGTCTTTTTCACTCTCTCCCTCCCAATCCCTCTCCCCTTTTCTATCTCTCCCCCTTTCCCCATCTCTACTTCCTCTCTCCCCAATCATTATCTTCCTGTCTTTTCCTCCGCTCTCTTCCTCCCTGTATTCCCTTCTCTCTACCTTCCCATGTCTTTATCTTCCTTTCCCTGTCTCTCATTTTATCCCTCCCCATGTCTCTTTCTCCTATATCACCTCATTCTCTGTACCCTATGTCCTCTCCCACCCATGTCATTTTCTCCCTCTCTCTGTTTCTTTGCCCTACCTCCCTATCCTTTTTGCCCTTGCTGGAGTCCTGGCCCTTGTCTGCCACTGCAGGAAGTCGAGGTATTGCTGAGTGAAAATGAGATGCTGCAGGCAAAGCTGCACAGCCAGGAGGAGGACTTCCGTTTGCAGAACAGCACACTAATGGCCGAGTTCAGCAAGGTGCTGGTGCCTGGGATAGTCAAAGGGGAAATGAGGGGTAGGGGTCATCTGGGCTGAAACCTAACAGCGGCAGAGAGTGATTGGACAGGGTCTGGCCCTGGAGCACTGTCCGTGGTGCTGAAACAGGTCCTGGATTGCTGCTGGGGGGCAGTAATTTGACAGATGGGGCCGCTCACTCTGCTGGGATTAGAAGGCTTTGAGCCCTGAGGTCACCTGGTTCCTGGCCAAGTCACTCCTTTTATTTGAGCTTCAAGTCTCCATGTGTATAATGTGGGGTTGATGCTGTGGTGCTCCAAGGTGTTGGGGGGTTTTAGGCAGAGTTCTTATGCTTAATATAGGATGGAAAAGTGTTCGAGCTTCTTCCCTTTTCTCTTTCTTCTCTTCATCTGACATGAGCCTGGGGTTCTACCTCTTCCAGATAATTCATCCTGGAGCTACTAATTCTATCTCCCCATTGATTTTAGTGTCCTGTCTGTTTCTAAATCTACTGGGCAGTTGGAGACATTGTCTTTTGTTCCCTCATCTATCTTCTGTATCCACAGTTGATAATTGTCTATGTTTTTAGTGTGTTTTAAGGAAAAAAGTCTCATGGCAGCAAATTTTTTTGAGATGGAGTTTCACTCTCATTGTCCAGGCTGGAGTGCAATGGCATGATCTCAGCTCACTGCAACCTCTGCCTCCTGGGTTCAAGCGATTCTCCTGCCTCAGCCTCCCAAGTAGCTGGAAGTACAGGCATATGCCACCATGCCTGGCTAACTTTGTATTTTTAGTAGAGATGAGAGAAAATGACATGGGTGGGAGAGGACATTTAGTAGAGAAAATGACCATGTTGGTCAGGCTGGTCCTGAACTCCCGACTTCAGGTGATCCACCCGTCTTGGCCTCCCAAAGTGTTGGGATTAAAGGCGTGAGCCACCGCGCCCGGCCCAAAAATGGTATTTCTAAGGCTCCATCTGAGAATATAGTGCCTATGACCTTAAAAAAACAAAACCGAAAATAACCTTTAAGCAGGTACAATACCAGGAGAGGCAGTTGAGCAAGTAGTAGGTACCAGCAGGGACTCTGGAACCAGAAGGCCTAGATTAAAATCTTGGCTCTACCTTTTACTAACTGTAACCTTGAGGAAGTTACTTAACTTGCCTGGTTCTTGGTTCCCAAATGTTTAAAATGGAAGTCATGATAATAACAGTACCTGCCTCTTCACAGGGCTTTTGTGAGGATTAAATGAATAAATGTACGTAAATCACTTAAAACAGAGCCTTGCACATAGTATCAGCTATGGAAGCATTAGTTATAATATTATCCTTCTATTAACTCATCTTCCCTCTAAAATATTTGACTTTTTAAAAGTTTTATGGCCGGGCGTGGTGGCTCAGGCCTGTAATCCCAGCACTTTGGGAGGCCAAGGCAGGCAGATCATGAGGTCAGGAGATGGAGACCATCCTGGCTAACGTGGTAAAACCCCGTCTCTACTAAAAATACAAAAAATTAGCCGGGTGTGGTGGCACGTGCCTGTAGTCCCAGCTACTCGGGAGGCTGAGGCAGGAGAATCGCTTGAACCCGGGAGGCGGAGGTTGTAGTGAGCCAAGATTGCACCACTGCACTCCAGCCTGGGCGACAGAGCAAGACTCTGTCTCAATTTAAAAAAAAAAAGTTTTATATCCACCCTGTGGCCCTGCTTTGCCTTAGCCTCTACCACTTATCATCTGCTGTTTCTACAGCCGCCTCCCTGGTCTCTTCACTTCTAGTTTCTTCTACTTAGTTCACACCACAGAGGCTGTTCTGACCTGCAGATCTTATGACATCACTCCTTTACTTAATACATTCCAGTGCCCCAGTCCTGCTCCTAGTTCAGAGCCCCTGGTATTCACATAACTGCTGGCTTCACTGACTGACTCCTCACTGCTTCCTGCCTCCAGCCTCCATGGTATCATGATTCTTGCAGAGTGAGGCAGGGGCAGACATTCTTCCATAAATCCAGCTTGTTTCCCTGCATCTGCCCTGGGCCAGCACTGGGCTAGTCGTAGAGACTTCCTACATAGTCCCCTTCCTCCTCCAACTCCTCCCAGGAACTGGAAGTGCTCTCAGAGAGAGCTACGTTAAACCTGCCACCACCCCTTATTCATCAAGACATTTCAGCTTAATTGTTCCTTCGACAAATAGTTACTGAGTACCCACCACATGCTCTATGTTCTGGAAATACAGTTGTAAGCAGCACAGAATGATCTCCACTCTTGGGTAGCTTACATTCTGGGGGTGGGATGAGGAGAAAGATGATAACAGTAAACAAATAATACTAGTAGTGATAGCTGACATTTATATGGTGCTTACTGTGTGCCAAGTCCTGTTTGAAGTACTCTACATTATTCACTCATTTAATCTTTGAAATAAGCCTATGAGATATTAGTATCCCTATCTGACAGATGAGGAAAACTGAGTTCCAGGGAGATTAAGTAATTTGTCACACAGCTAGTAAATGGCAGAGCAGAAATTCACATTCAAGCAGTCTGGTTTCAGAATCTGTGCTTGTTACAAAAGAAAATTTTGATTAGTACTAGGTAAGAAAGAAATGAACAGTGCTGTGACAGAGAGTACTGGAATTTTCTGTGTTGAGGGATACTACTTTAAAGGCAACATCTGAGCAGAGCACTGAGGGATGCAAAGAAGCCAGTTAGGTGAAGAACTGGATGAGAGGATTGGTGTTCTGGGTAGAAAATATTGCAAGCAGGCCGGGTGCGGTGGCTCATGCCTGTAATCCCAGCACTTTGGGAGGCCGAGGCAGGTGGATCACCTGAGGTCAGGAGTTCAAGACCAGCCTGGCCAACATGGCGAAACCCCGTCTCTAATAAGAATACAAAAATTAGCCGGGCACGGTGGCGCATGCCTGTAGTCCCAGCTACTCAGGAGGCTGAGGCAGGAGAATCACTTGAACCCGGGTGGCGGAGGTTGCAGTGGGCTGAAATCGTGCCACTGTACTCCAGGCTGGGTGACAGAGCGAGACTCCATCTCAAAAAAAAAAAAAAAAAAAAAAGAAAGAAAATATTGCAGGCAATAAAATAAAAATTCTCTGTAGGCCTCGATATTCTCATCTGAAAATGGGGACAAGGAATTTTCTCAGGACTGCTTTGAGAAGTGTACTTCAGCCAGGAGTTGGGCAGGGGGCTGGCTTAGTTGTATTGGCATTGTATACCTCTCCAAGACTAACGGCTGGCAATGCAGGAGCTGTCATCAGTGTTGGCCCTGGAAATGCCCTGCGAGCTCTTTGTGGTGCTTAGGATGAGAGGGAGCTATCTCTGGGCCCAGGATCCAGCCCTCCACAGAAGAGGGGTTGCAGTGAGGCTGTCTGTAGCACTAACAACTTCCAGAGGAGCCTGAGGTCTTGGATTGCATCTCTGAGGTTGGGAGTAGGAAGAGGAAAATGGTTTTTGGTGTCCTCATACTTGGTATGCTCTTGGTATTCTCTGACTCTGCCACTTAAAAGATGTGTGAATTTGAACTTGTTTAACATCTCTGTGCCTCAATGTCCTTATTTGTAAAGTGGGAGGGCACCTATATCATAGGGTCATTATGGGAATTAAGTGAATTGTAAAGTACATGGACAAATGCTATGTAGGTTTCAGCAAATACTGCTCTGATTCTCTGCTTCTCTGCCCCTTCTCTTCCTCTGTTCAGCTCTGCAGCCAGATGGAACAGCTGGAGCAAGAGAACCAGCAACTGAAGGAGGGGGCTGCAGGAGCAGGGGTTGCCCAAGCTGGGCCCCTCGTGGATGGGGAGCTGCTGAGGCTACAGGCTGAAAACACAGCCTTGCAGAAGAACGTGGCAGGTGCATAGAGGCCCTCCTGGGGATGCGGAGACATTGGGGCTTGAGTAGGGCAAGGAAGGCCGTCATCCTCTCAGGGGAAGGAGAAGGGCTTCAGAAATAGGGTTGGCCCATGCCCTGTGTGGCTTTGGACAAGCCATTTCACCTCTCTGAGCCAAAGCCTTATCATCTACACAGTGCATGTAGTGATGTCTGTCACCCAGAAGATTGTAGTAGAGATAAAAGGTGATATCATTCTGCATTAGTTCAGTGTCTGGTACCTAGCAGATGTTACAGATTAGCAGCTTGAATGTCAAAAAGGAGATATTTGCGGCCGGGCGCGGTGGCTCACGCCTGTAATCCCAGCACTTTGGGAGGCTGAGGCGGGCGGATTGCGAGGTCAGCAGATCAAGACCATCCTGGCTAACATGGTGAAACCCCGTCTCTACTAGAAATACAGAAAATTGGCCGGGCACGGTGGCGGGCGCCTGTAGTCCCAGCTACTCTGGAGGCTGAGGCAGGAGAATGGTGTGAACCTGGGAGGTGGAGCTTGCAGTGAGCCGAGATCACACCACTGCACTCCAGCCTGGGCGACAGAGCGAGACTCCATCTCAAAAAAAAAAAGGAGATATTTGCTAAGTGAAAAAGTGAATGGAGTGTTGGGAAGATTCTGAGCCCAGATTGTAAGTGGGGTCTGGGATGAAAGCTGAAAGAAAGCTTGATAGAGTGTGGGAGCATGTGGTGTGTGGAACTTTGGAGAGCAGCTGGGACTTCTGTGGTGATGGATGCTGGTTCCATGACCAGGAGGGAGACTTAGTAGAATGTGAGTAGGAATTAGGAGGCTCTAGGAGGGATTCAGCTGTAAGTCAGTGGTAGCATATGGTGGGCATGGCCTTCAAGGGCTATGGGTGGGGCTTCAAGGATTGAGAATGGGATTTGTGAAACCAGCTTGGGCTAATTTAATAGTAAACAGAATCTTAGTGGTTGATAGGGCTTAAAATATTTGTGAGAGCCTGGGCACAGTGGCTCATACCTTGATTCCAGCACTCTGGGAGGCTGAGGCAGAAGGATCTCTTGAGGCTAGGAGTTTAAGACCAGCCTAGGCAACATAGCAGGAACTTGTGTGTACTAAAAATAAAATAATTAGGCCAGGCACGGTGTTTCACACCTGTAATCCTAGCACTTTGGGAGGCCAAGGTGGGCAGATCGCCTGAGGTCAGGAGTTCAAGACCAGCCTGGCCAACATGGCAAAACCCCATTTCTATTAAAAATACAATAATTAGCCAGGTTTGATGGCAAATGCCTGTAATTCCAGCTACTTGGGAGGCTGAGGCAGGAGAATCACTTGAACCTGGGAGGCAGAGGTTGCAGTGAGCCGAGATCACACCACTGTACTCCAGCCTGGGTGACAGAGAAAGACTCAGTCTCAAGAAAATAAACAAATAAATAAATAATAAAATAAAATTAACTGGGCATGGTGTGCACTTGTAGTCCCAGCTACTTGGGAGGATCGCTTGAGCCCAGGAGTTTGAGGTTGCAGTGAGCTATGATTGCACCACTGCACACCAGCCTGGGCAACAGAGCAAGACTGTCTAGGGAAAAAGATTTTTTTGAGACGGAGTCTCACTCTGTCACCCAGGCTGGAGTGCAATGGCTCGATCGCGGCTCACTGCAACCTCTGCCTCCTGGGTTCAAGCGATTCTCCTGCCTCAGCCCCACGAGTAGCTGGGATTACAAGCGCGTGCGCCACCACGCCCAGCTAATTTTTGTATTTTTAGTAGAGACGGGGTTTCACCATATTGGTCAGGCTGGTCTTGAACTCCTGACCTCATGATCCACCTGCCTTGGCCTCCCAAAGTGCTGGGATACAGGCGTGAGCCACCGTGCCCAGCCACGGAAAAAGATTTTTGGGGGAGGCTGAGGTGGGAGGATTGCTTGAGCTCAGGAGTTCAAGACCAGTCTGGGCAATGTAGCGAGACCTTGTCTCTACAAAAAAATCAAAAAATTAGCCCGGCATGATGGCACACACCTCTGATCCCAGCTACTTGGGAGAGTGAGGTGGGAGAATCACTTGAGCCCAGGAGGTCAAGGTTGCAGTGAACTGTGATCATTCCAGTGCACTCCAGCCTGGGTGACAGAGCAAGTCCCTGTCTCAAAAAAAAAAAGAAAAAAATGTGAGAGGCATGGATAGAGCTGAACCTTCGTCTTTTAGGCATGTGGTCATTTGGCACAGGGACTCTGCCACCTGAGGGGTTGAAGGCCAGTTCTCCCTCTATTCGAGGCATGGCAAGGGACTTCAGAGACCACCTCATCCATCATATATCCCTGTTCTACTCACCAGCCCTGCAGGAACGCTATGGGAAAGAAGCCGGGAAGTTCTCAGCTGTCAGTGAGGGCCAGGGGGATCCCCCAGGGGGCCTGGCCCCCACCGTCCTGGCCCCCATGCCGTTGGCAGAGGTGGAGCTGAAATGGGAAATGGAGAAAGAGGAGAAGAGATTGCTCTGGGAACAGCTGCAAGGCTTAGAGGTGAATCTGAGTCTGTTGGAGCTGGAATGCCAGAAGGCAGGGCAGATGTTCTACCTCTGTCTATAGTCCCACGGAGATGGCTGTGACATCACCATCTTGTGGGCTGATGGGGTGAGGGAGGCAGGAGGGCAGGGGAAGGCTTCTCCTTGTCCTTGCTAACAACAACCCTCCCATCCCTCATCCTTCCCTGCAGAGCTCAAAGCAGGCCGAAACATCCAGGCTGCAGGAGGAACTTGCTAAGGTGCGGCTGCTTGGCTCTTTCCCATTCTGCTCCCAATCTGCTGGATTCTTTCCCATTCCATTCCCAATCCTAGGGCAGAAGGGGCATTGTACCCCATCAAAGCCTAGGTTTCATCATCTGTGAAATGGAGAGACTCACACCTATGTCTCAGAGTTACTTTCAGTATGGAATGAGTTAATGTGGTCCCACTATATCTTGTGCATGATAAGTTTCATCCCATCCATCTCTCAGCTTTGCCCATTCACTCATTCATTCATTCATGCAAGCATTTACAGACTCCTGGCTCTTATCTTAGGACCTGGAGACCCAGGGGTGCGGCACCCAGTCATGATATCCTGCTTTCCAGGCCTCCCAGCCTAGCCAATCTATAACATGGCCATTGGCCACTATGTTGGGAGCATAAATACCGGGCTTTGGAACCTGAAGGATCTGGGTGGAGATAATATTGTTGTTGCTGACCCGCTGAGCAACCAAATTACTTAACCTTTCCAAGACTCTGTTTCCCCATTTGTAAAACTGGTACTACTCACTTGTCAGGGCTATTTTGAGGATTCCACAAGACAACATAAGTAAATCCTGGCTTCCAAAAATGACTTAATAAGAAGTGTCTATATTTATTAATTTTAGGTTTGTCTTTATATTATTCTCAATGTTATCACTTGTCTGTACCTCTCTCCCCAGCTCTCCGAGAAACTGAAAAAGAAACAAGAAAGGTAAATTTCTTTTTCCCAAGGGTACTGGGGGCCGAGGGGGGAATTAACTTACGGAACTGACCCATCTACATCTGTCCTTCTGTGCCCAGTTTTTGCCGTCTGCAGACAGAAAAGGAGACTCTGTTTAATGACAGCAGGTAACTGCCAGATTTGCGGGTATTGGTGGACAATTGGGACAGTGCCCAGTGAAGATTACAGGGGCAGAGCTAGGAGACTGGGCCTCAAGCCATGTCCAACACACCCCCTCCCCATCACTCCTAGGAACAAGATTGAGGAATTACAACAACGGAAGGAAGCTGATCACAAAGCCCAGTTGGCTCGAACCCAGAAGCTGCAGCAGGAACTTGAGGCTGCCAATCAGGTGATGGGGACTGGGTTCTGAGATCCCTGGGGTAGGGGCCAGGACTGGGAGCCTGGAGAGGTCTGAGGTCCATGGAGGCTGGCTGGGGAGTCTGAGATTTCCTGTGTTGGAAATGGGTTCTGGGGCCCCCCAGGAGCTAGGAAAATGGGAATTGGAGAGCCCTAGGAATTGTTATAGGAGTCTTCATGAGTGTAAGATCTCAGGGGGCTAAGGACTTAGGGGGCTGTGTGCTATAAGTTTGTGTAAATCTGAAACTCCTGGAGGTTTGAGACCACAGTCTGGATGAATCTGTGGTCACTAGGGCCTAGGACCAGGAACTGGGGTAAGTCTGAACTCCCTGGGTGCTGGGTGACTTTGAAATCTTTAGGGGCTGGGATGTCAGTAAATTTGGGACTCCCAAGGGCTGAGGACATGGCTGGGTAGATATACAACTTTCAAGGGTGAGATAGTTGGGGCTGAAGGCTGAGTGCATTTGAGATCCTCAGGATCTGGGCGCTGGCTTGGGCCTAAGACACCTAGGAAGTGGGATCATATGGGCTAGGTAGTCCTGAGATCCTTGAGGGCTGTGAACAAAAAGCTGGTCAGTCTGAGACCTCCAGGGGCTGGAGCAGAAGTTTAGGTGGGTCTGAGGCTCCTGAGGACTGGGGGCTGGATGGTTCTGAAGCCTCTGGGTTTCCTTCTAGAAAAGGTGAGTCTGAGGTCCCTTGGAATGGAGGATATGGTGGCTTGTGGTTCTGAAGTCCCTAGAAACTGGGAACATGGGGTCTGAGACGGGAGTCTGGGTAAAGCTGAGACCCCCAGGAACTGGTGGTTAACTGGGTCTGAAGATTCCAAGAGACTGGGGAGCAGAGTGACAGGTGAAGGGGTCAGTCTGAGAGTTCACCAGGACCTGGAAACTAGGAGGTTGTGAGTTTGAGACCTCTAGGATCTGGGACTATGAGTTTGGGTGGATCTCACCTGGGAAGTAGGGACGTGGGAGATGAGTGTGTCTGAAACCCCTGGTGGTTGGGATTGGGAGGCTGGGTGAAACTGTCATCCTTGGGTGCTGACTACATCTGAGATCCATGGGGCTGACTGTGTCTGAGAATCCTGGAGCTCCCAAGCTAGAATCTGGGTGAGCATGAGACTTCTTATGGATGGGAGCTGAGTGAGTTTGAACCGCGTAGCAGCTAGGGCCAGGAGTCTAGTCGTGCCTGAGATCTTGTACGCTGGGATAGAGGGGTTGACTGTGTCTGAGGCCCCTGAGGGTAGTGACCTGGCGTCTGGGTGAACCTGAGATTGCTGTTGGCTGGATAGTCTGAGACCCACAGGTGCTGAGAACATGCTGCTGGGTGGTCAAACAGAGAGTCTGTACGGTTATATGCACCCCAGGAGAGGCTGAGGTGTAAAATGGGCTCCCCTGGTCTCCACAGAGCTTGGCAGAGCTGAGAGATCAGCGGCAGGGGGAGCGCCTGGAACATGCAGCAGCTTTGCGGGCCCTACAAGATCAGGTATATTGTACTGCGTGGGCTCAGGGAGCTGGGGTTCAGGATGGGGGCAGCCTGAGTGGGTACTACATAGTCAGGCAAGGTCCCAGGGATCCTGCTTCCCCCAGGCCTTCGTGTGTGTGTGTGTGTGTGTGTGTGTGTGTGTGTGTGTGTGTGTGTGTGTGTGTGTCCTTTCTTTCTTGGTCGTGGGTAGGTCCTGTCCCCCTGTTCTGGACCCACTCTCACCTGCTGTGGACGTGGGGCCAGGTATCCATCCAGAGTGCAGATGCACAGGAACAAGTGGAAGGGCTTTTGGCTGAGAACAATGCCTTGAGGACTAGCCTGGCTGCCCTGGAGCAGGTAAAGAACACCTGGGGGCCCTTGCTGATCCCTCTCCAGTTCCCCCATCTCCATCTGCTTCTGGTCCACATCAGGGTAGGGTGGTCTGGACCCCATGCTGTTCTCCTGTCTTTGTTTCTGTTGCTCCTTTCTGTTGGCGTCCAGCCCTCTTCTCTCTGGCCATCCATCCCTACTTTTTTTTTTTTTTAACTTTTAAAAATTTTATTGGGGAGGCTGAGGCAGGAGAATTGCTTGAACCAGGACCCAGGAGGCAGAGGTTTCAGTGAGCCGAGATCGCACCACTGTACTCCAGCCTGGGCGACAGAGCAATACTCTGTCTCAAAAAAAAAAAAAAAAAAAAAAGGGCGTGGTGGCTCATGCCTGTAATCCTAGCACTTTGGGAGGCCAAAGATGTGTGGATGGCCTGAGCTCAGTTCAAGACCAGCCTGGGCAACACGGTGAAACCCCATCTCTACTAAAATACAAAAAATTAGCTGGGTGTGGCGGTGTGTGCCTGTAATCCCAGCTACTCGGGAGGCTGAGACAGGAGAATCTCTTGAACCCAGGAGGCGGAGGTTGCAGTAAGCCGAGATCGTGCCATTGCACTCCAGCCTGGGCAACAGAGCGAGACTCCGTCTAAAAAAAAAAAAAAAAAAAAAGCCGGGCATGGTGGCTCAATTCTGTAATCCTAGCACTTTGGGAGGCCGAGGAGGGCGGATCACCTGAGGTCAGGAGTTCGAGACCAGCCTGACCAACATAGAGAAACCCCGTCTCTACTAAAAATACAAAATTAGCTGGGTGTGGTGGTGGGCACCTGTAATCCAAGCTACTCGGGAGGCTGAGGTGGGAGAATTGCTTGAGCCCAGGAGGTGGAGTGTGCGGTGAGCCGAGATCGTGCCATTGCACTCAAGCCTGGGCAACAAGAGTGAAACTCTGTCTCAAAAAAACAAAAAACAAAACGAAAAAAAACTTATTGGCCGGGCATGATGGCTCACACCTGTAATCCCAGCACTTTGGGAGGCAGAGGTGGGCGGATCACCTGACATCAGGAGTTTGAGACCAGCCTAGCCAACATGGCAAAACCTTGTCTCTACTAAAAATACAAAAATTAGGCCAGGCGCAGTGGCTCACGCCTATAATCCCAGCACTTTGGAAGGCTGAGACGGGCGGATCACCTGGGGTTCGGAGTTCGAGACCAGCCTGGCCAATATGGTGAAACCCCGTCTCTACTAAAAATACAAAAAAAAATAGCTGGGCATGGTGGCGCACACCTGTAATCCCAGCTACTCGGGAGGCTGAGGCAGGAGAATTGCTTGAACCTGGGAGGTGGAGGTTATAGTGAGCCGAGATTGTGCCACTGCACCCCAGCCTGGGTGACAGAGTGAGACTCCATCTCAAAAAAGAGAAAACAAAATTATTTTGTAGAGACAGGGTCTCACTATGTTACCCAGACTGGCTTAAACTTCTGGCCTCAAGCTATCTTCCCACCTCGGCCTTCCAAAGTGCTGGGATTATAGGTGTGAGCCACTGTGCTTGGCCTATCTCTGCTTTTTTTTTTTTTTGTAGACGGAGTTTCGGTCTTGTTGTCCAGGCTGGAGTGCTATGGCACGATCTCGGCTCACTGCAACCTCCGCCTCCCAGGTTCAAGCGATTCTCCTGCCTCAGCCCTCCCAAATAGCTGGGACTACAGCCGTGTGCCACCATGCCCAGCTAATTTTTGTATTTTTAGTAGAGACGGGGTTTCACCATCTTGGCCAGGCTGGTCTCGAACTCCTGACCTCATGATCCACCCGCCTCGGCCTCCCAGAGTGCTGGGATTACAGGCATGAGCCACCGCGCCCGGCTTCTGCTTTTCTTTGTTTCTAGTTTCTCTCTAGTAAAGTGCATGAAATGTACTAATCTTAAGTGTACACTCAGTGAATCCTCTCTTCGTCTCTCTCTTTTTTTTCTCTCTCTCTCCCCGCCACCATAGCCACCACCCAGATCAAAGTATAAAGCACTTTTAGTACCCCAGAAGGTCCCCTTTACCCCTTCAAAGTCAGTACTCCCCCAGAAGTAACCATTATTCTGATCTCTAGCAACATAAGATTCATTTCGCTTGTTCTTTAACTTCATATAAATGGAATCAGCTGCTCTTTGTCTCTGACTTCTTTCTGGCAGCACTATGTAAGTTTATCCACGTGGCAGCACAGATCTGTTCTCTTACTGTTGTGTGGTATTCCATTGTATGAACATACCACATTTACCCATTCTCTTCATTGTTTTTCTGTTTGAAATTTCCTCTCTCTTCCTGGTTCTCTTCCCACCTCCCTCCCTGTTTCCCTGGAACTAGGGGGCTCATACCCTGTCCCTGGCCCCTGGGGTCCCTTTCACTCTACTTCTCATCACCACTACTTTCTCCAGATCCAAACAGCAAAGACCCAAGAACTGAATATGCTCCGGGAACAGACCACTGGGCTGGCAGCTGAGTTGCAGCAGCAGCAGGCTGAGTACGAGGACCTTATGGGACAGAAAGATGACCTCAACTCCCAGCTCCAGGTAACACCTTTGGCTCTGGCCTGTCTCTTCCTAGTTCCCTAGTAATGGCCCAGTGAAGTCCCCAGTAAGGTGGAGTGGGAAGACTGGAGTCAGGAGGACCTAGGTTCCAGTCTGGCTCCCTAACTTATTAGCACCTGTGTGTTCTGGGACAAGTCATTTCACTTCTCTGAAACTGAGCCTCTTCAGTTAGTTAGGATATCAATTCTTTTTCATTTTTTAAATTTTAATTTAATTTAATTTTTTTTTGAGATGGAGTCTTGCTCTGTCACCTAGTCTGGAGTGCAGTGGCGTGATCTCGGCTCACTGCAAGCTCCGCCTCCCGTGTTCTCGCCATTCTCCTGCCTCAGCCTCCCGAGTAGCTGGGACTATAGGCGCCTGCCACCATGCCCAGCTAATTTTTTGTATTTTTAGTAGAGACGGGGTTTCACCGTGTTAACCAGGATGGTTTCGATCTCCTGACCTCGTGATCTGCCCGCCTCGGCCTCCCGAAGTGCTGGTATTACAGGCGTGAGCCACCACGCCCGGCTCCTTTTTTTTTTTTTTTTTTTTTTTTGAGATGGAGTCTCACTCTGTTGCCCAGGCTGGAGTGCAGTAGCGCGATCTCAGCTCACTGCAACCTCCGCCTCCTGGGTTCAAGCGATTCTCCTGCCTCAGCCTCCGGAGTAGCTGGGATTACAGGCGCCTGGCACCACGCCCAGCTAATTTTGTATTTTTAGTAGAGACGGGGTTTTACCATGTTGGTCAGGCTTCTCAAACTCCTGACCTCAGGAGATCTACCCGGCTCAGCCTCCCAAGCAATATCCATTCTGATTCCATAATAGAAACCAGAATAATAGTAGATTAAATAAGATACAAATTTAGTTCCCTCTCATTAAAAGTCCAGGTAGGTTATTCAGGGATGGAATGATGGCTTTCCAGTCATCTGTGACCCAGGTTCTTTCTCCATTGCTGTTCCTCCACCTTCAACACAAGACTTTTATCTTGGCATCCAAGACGGTTGCTGAAACTCCCCGACCATCATGTTTGTATTCTATCTGGAAGGAAGGAGGAAAGGGGCAGGGAAGAGTGTGCCCCTTTCCTTTAAGAGCATAACCTAAATTACACTCACCACTTCCACATACAGAAATAAATCACATGGCCACACCTAACCATAAGGGAGGAGGGGAAACATCTGCTAGACAGCTGTATGCCCGATGATAAATTTTATTGCTAGGGAAGTAAGGAAGAATGAATACTGGGGAGCAACTAGCAGTCTCTGCTATATTTCCTATCCAGAAATTGAGATCACAATACCAACTTTACCAGGGAGAAGGGAGATGGTCTACCAGATGGTCCTGGGTGACTAGCACCTACTGGATGCTCTTTATCAAACTCTTTCCCTTTGGTGTCTGCATTAGGAGTCATTACGGGCCAATAGTCGACTGCTGGAACAACTTCAAGAAATAGGGCAGGAGAAGGAGCAGTTGACCCAGGAATTACAGGAGGCTCGGAAGGTAGGGGAACATGAGGGTTGAAGGGAGAGGATGGGGGGTAGGAATTGGCTCAGTCCATGGGGATGGGAGGAGGTGATATAACCAAACATGTGGGGATAGGAGGGAAAGGAAAATTGACTGGTTTCTGGTTGACCAGTTTCTTGGCCAAATCCATGAGAGTGGGAGGGGAAAGAAAGAAAGTGACCAGTTCTATAAGGATGGGTGAGTGCCTTAGCCAGTTCAGTGGGGATGGGAGGGAGTGGAGTTTGGCTAGTTCCTTGGGCATGGGAAGAGGGTTGGAGGCCTTTTTTCGATGTTGTGGAAGGAAGTTGACTGCCATCGTCCTGGCCCCCAGAGTGCGGAGAAGCGGAAGGCCATGCTGGATGAGCTAGCAATGGAAACGCTGCAAGAGAAGTCCCAGCACAAGGAAGAGCTGGGAGCAGTTCGTCTACGGCATGAGAAGGAGGTGCTGGGGGTGCGTGCCCGCTATGAGCGTGAGCTCCGAGAGCTGCATGAAGACAAGAAGCGTCAGGAGGAGGAGCTCCGTGGGCAGATCCGGGAGGAGAAGGTGGGTGGGTAGATGATGATGCCCTTCTTCCTCTAAAACCTGGGAACCACAGCGTTGCTGATAGGCCAGTGGGTGGCATGCATCAGGTGCCCGCTCCTCTGCCTTCCTGGCCCATGACAGTCTGCCCCATCCCAGGCCCGGACACGGGAGCTGGAGACTCTCCAGCAGACAGTGGAAGAACTTCAAGCTCAGGTACATTCCATGGATGGAGCCAAGGGCTGGTTTGAACGGCGCTTGAAGGAAGCCGAGGTGAGTTGGTGATGCCTGGTGAGGAACAGAGGCTGATTGGGGCCCTCATGTCAAACCACAGAAGCAGGAGTGGTCAGGCCCTGGAACTTCCCGAGATTTTCTGGACTTAGGGATATCCCCACAGTCCCCTGGCTCAATAGCAGCCCTCTGGAGTGGATCAGGGGATGGCCATCAGATAGGACAGACTGTCACGTGTTAAGGCTGCCCTGCCTTTGTGCAAATTTGGAAAGGCACCTCTTTCTCCTGAAACTGTACTTCTGTCAGGAAATTAATGCAATACACTGATGTTATTGAACAAGAACCTGCTGGGTGCGGTGGCTCACGCCTGTAATCTCAGCACTTTGGAAGGCCGAGGTGGGCGGATCACTTGAGGTCAGGAGTTCAAGACCAGCCTGGCCAACATGGTGAAACCCTGTCTCTACTAAAAATACAAAAATTAGCCGGGCATGGTGGCTGGCGCCTGTAATTCCAGCTACTCAGGAGGCTGAGGCAGAAGAATCACTTGAACCCAGGAGGCAGAGGTCGCAGTGAGCTGATATCGTGTACTGTACTCCAGCCTGGGTGACGGAGTGAGACTCTGTCTCGGAAAAAGAACCTTTGTTGCCATTTTCTGGAAATCTCATAATACACTGAAAGGCATTGTCATGTAGCAGTGAAGAGCACAGGCTGGAGCCAGTTGTTTGTCTAGGTTTGAATCCTGGCTGGGCCATTTCCTAGCTGTGTGACCTTGGGCAAGTTATCTGACCTCTCTGTGGCCTGTTTTCATCAATGGTAAAAAGGGGGTAACAATAATATCTACCATCTAGGTATTACGGGAGGATTATAGAAAATGAGTTAATATATGTAAAACCCTTAGAACATTCTTGGCATGTAGTAAGCGCTATGTTTTGTTAAATAAAATAAAATGTAAATGCAAATCTAAGTCAACCATGCGAATGGTGCAACTTTAGATGTGACACTTCAGCATATTGCCTAAGGGCGTGTGGGGTTCCCTGCAGGAGGGTCATTTCTGCATACCTCTGGGCCCCCATTGCAGTCCCTCATACCCCTAACTGGGCATGATACCTTCTGGGGGGCTGTGGCCAGACCTGGGACTTGTCTTGTAGGAATCCCTGCAGCAGCAGCAGCAGGAACAAGAGGAAGCCCTCAAGCAGTGTCGGGAGCAGCACGCTGCCGAGCTGAAGGTGCCTCTCGCATGATGGTGTTCCTCTCTCCAGACAGTGACGGGCCCTCCTGGGAGGACAGAGGCTTCCCAAGCCAATGCCTAAGCTGCTTTCTGCTTTGCAGGGCAAGGAGGAGGAGCTACAGGATGTACGGGATCAGCTCGAGCAGGCCCAGGAGGAGCGGGACTGCCACCTGAAGACCATTAGCAGCCTGAAGCAGGTCAGTGGTCACTGCACAGCCCCAGACACACCCCTGATCCTCAGCGTACAGGAGGGGCAGGGAGGGAGCATGCTTCAGGCAGCCCTTCCGGCATCTACCAGCCATGCCTGCTTTCTCCCACAGGAGGTGAAGGACACAGTGGATGGGCAGAGGATCCTGGAGAAGAAGGGCAGTGCTGCGGTAAGACAGAGCGGTGCCCAAGCACGGCTCCCTCCTACCTGTAGCCTCCCTCCTATGGGCCCACTGGGCCTCAGTCCTCATGTTACCCCTGTCCCCCACAGCTCAAGGACCTCAAGCGGCAGCTGCATTTGGAGCGGAAACGGGCAGATAAGCTGCAGGAGCGACTGCAGGACATCCTCACTAACAGCAAGAGCCGCTCAGGTGAGGGACTAGGACAGGGAGAGGAGGCTGAGGCATGGGGGAGGTAGGGCCTGGGCCTGCAGGCTGCAGGTTAGTCCTGCATCTTCCTCAGCTGTGCTTTCCTGCTTCTGTCGCTCTGGAACTCCATCTTTTACCTTTTCTCTGTCTCTCCTCTGATTCTTTCTCTGCATTCTCTCTTTATTTCTATCTTTCTCTCGTTTTTGCCCTGTCTCTTCTCTGTTTCTGTCTCTGCCTCTGTCTCAGTTTGTTCTCTCTCTTTCCTCTATGTTTGCCTTTATCTCCTTGCTTTCTTTCTCTAGTTTTCTCCTTTTCTCTCTCTTTTTTTTTTTTTGAGACAGAGTTTCGCTCTTGTTGCCCAGGCTGGAGTGCAATGGTGTGATCTCGGCTCACCGCAACCTCTGCCTCCTGGATTCAAGCAATTCTCCTGCCTCAGCCTCCTGAGTAGCTGGGATTACAGGCATGCACCACCACGCCCAGCTAATTTTGTATTTTTAGTAGAGACGGGGTTTCTCCATGTTGGTCAGGCTGGTCCCGAACTCCCGACCTCAGGTGATCCGCCCGCCTCAGCCTCCCAAAGTGTTGGGATTATAGGCATGAGCCACTGGGCCCGGCCCCCGCCCTTTCTTTTCTCTGTCCCTTTATCTCTTCCCGCCACTCTGTGTCCTCTTCGTCTCTTCTGTTTATATCTCTGTCTGTCTCCTCACTGTATGTACTACATTACACACTCCCACACCTCACTTGGCATTTCTAAATCTATTGTATACAATCTCTCATTCTATAAATCTCCCTGCTCAAGTACAGGGTCCCTGATATAAAACTCCCTGAGTCTCTGCCCTCTAGAAGCCCCCAGTTGAGCTACGGAGACAGACTTATACATAGTCAGCAACGCTGTGGTGTTTTCATTATACAGCTAATCCAATCTGTTATTTCTGCCACTTCAAGCAGAAGACACACACACACACACACACACACACACACACACACACACAACTTTAGTTGCTTCAGCCTTTTTTAAGACGGGGATGGCCTATAAATACATTTAAGTAAGTAAAATGCAGTGATGGCTCTGGTGCATCTCTTAGATTACAGACTCAGAGAAAACTTGGTCCCTTATTCCCCCACTCGGGATACCTACGGATCCCCACTCAGTCACCCCACCCTTGCCAGAGATCCTCGAGGGCTTTAAGTGATGTGGCAAAACAGATGTGTATCTCTCACCAAATCAATTTCTCTCTGAGGCACTCGGTCTCCTGAAGTAACCTTTCTTTAAAAAGGAGTTTTGTTTCTGTTTTATCACAGATGAATGTAAGAATCTTGGGAAAGGTGTAATCCCAGCACTTTGGGAGGCCAAGGTGGGTGGATCACCTGAGGTCAGGGGTTCAAGACCAGCCTGGCCAACACGGTGAAACCCCGTCTCAACTGAAAATACAAAAAATTAGCTGGGTGTGGTGGCGGGCGCCTGTAATCCCAGCTACTTCGGGAGGCTGAGTCAGGAGAATTGCCTGAACCCAGGAGGCAGGGGTTGCAGTGAGCCGAGATTGCGCCATTGTACTCCAGCCTGGGCGACAAGACTGAAACTCTGTCTAAAAAATAATAATAATAATAATCTTGGGAAACGTTACAATCGTATACCATACATTCAATACATTCACCTTGTCCATTAGATTAAACTGAGATTTAGGTGCGTGGGTACGAGAGCCTGCTTGCATTTCTTTTTTTTTTTTTTTTTTTTTTTTGTTAGACGGAGTCTCGCTCTGTCGCCCAGGCTGGAGTGCAGTGGCGCGATCTCGGCTCACTGCAACCTCCGCCTCCCGGGTTCACACCATTCTCCTGCCTCAGCCTCCCAAGTAGCTGGGACTACAGGCACCCGCCACCACGCCCACCTAATTTTTTGTATTTTTAGTAGAGACGGGGTTTCACCGTTTTAGCCAGGATGGTCTCGATCTCCTGACCTCGTGATCTGCCCGCCTCGGCCTCCCAAAGTGCTGGGATTACAGGCGTGAGCCACCGCGCCCGGCATCTTTTTTTCTCTCTGTCTCTGCTCTGGCTCACTTCTTTCACCAGGGTCTCAGTTTCTATCATCTGCTCTGGCTTTCCATCTCTGGCATTTTCTTTCTGCAAGTGGATGTGCCCTGTGCCCTCTCTAGCTGTCTTCCTTTCTCTGAACCCTGTGTCCAAGTGTGTCTGCCACTTGAGACCCATGTGTACCCATGTCGTTCTCTTTCTCCAACCTCTTCCATTTTCTCCCTCTCATTTTGTATGTGTTTCTCCAGAAAGGCAGCTCTTTCTTTTCTTTCTGTTTTTTTTTTTTTTTTTTTTGAGACAAGAGTCTCACTCTGTCACCCAGGCTGGAGTGCAATGGTGCGATTTCGGCTCACTGTAACCTCCGCCTCCTTGGGTTCAAGCGATTCTCCTGCCTCAGCCTCCTGAATCGCTGGAATTACAGGCACACACAACCACACCTGGCTAATTTTTGTATTTTTAGTAGAGACGGGGTTTCTTCATGTTGGCCAGGCTGTTCTCGAACTCCTGACATCAAGTGATCAGCCCACCTCAGCCTCCCAAAGTGCTGGGATTACAGGTGTGAGCCAGTGCGCCCAGCCTCAGCTCTTTTTTCTGTCTCTGTCTCTCCCTGTCCTCCTGTCTGCTTCTGCCTTTCCCCATGCCCAGGTGTCTCTCTTTCCATCTCTGTTAAATCTATTTCTGCCTCTTCCTGCTGGTTGCTGCCCTGGGACTCAGGGGTATTGGGGCTCAAGTTTCTCTTCCCTCCACCACCCAGGCCTTGAGGAGCTGGTTCTCTCAGAGATGAACTCACCAAGCCGGACCCAGACAGGGGACAGCAGTAGCATCTCCTCCTTCAGCTACCGGGAGATCTTGCGGGAAAAGGAGAGCTCGGCTGTTCCAGCCAGGGTAAGGGGAAAGGAAGAACCTACAGCTCCAGCTTCTCTCAACCCAAAAATCTGAGAACCCCTCCCCTTTTCTCCTCACCTAAACCCATCTCCTACTTTGGGCGCAGCACACATATTTTCTTGTCAACTTTTCCCCAAGCCCACCAACTTGGATTCAGATTGCGACATGCAGGACAGGCCAGTCATTCTCTCTCTCTGACTTTCTGTTTAATCATCTGTGGGCTAATTCCCCCTTCTCTGGTGCCATAAATTATGTGGCTCATAGTAGGTGCACCATCCAAGGAGAAGGTCCCTTTTTCCAACTTGTAATGATCACTAATTATTATTGCCGGCTGTCATGTCAGCCTCCTTACCAGCCACTTTCCTTTGGAAATAACTTTTTTATTGTTCCACAAATAGTATGTGCTCATTGTAGTACATTTTTTAAAAACCACAAATGAGCAAAGATTTTTTTAAAACCTTAAATGTCTGGCCGGGTGTGGTGGCTCATCCCTATAATCCTACACTTTGGGAGGCCAAGGTGGGCGGATCACTTGAGCTCAGGAGTTTAAGACCAGCCTGGGAAACGTGGTAAAACTCCGACTCTATTTAAAAAAAAAACAAAAACAAAAAAACCTTAAATGTCAAAAAAAAATAATATTTTCACCATCCAGACGTCACCATTATAAATTCTTAGTTCAGGGCTGGGCGCGGTGGCTCATGCCTGTAACCCTAGCACTTTGGGAGGCTGAGGCGGGCAGATCACTTGAGGTTAGGAGTTTGAGAACTGGCCTGGCCAACATAGCAAAACCTCATCTCTACTAAAATACAAAAATTAGCCGGGCGTGGTGGTGCGTGCCTGTAGTCCCAGCTACTCGAAAGGTTGAGGCAAGAGAATCGCTTGAACCTGGGAGGTGGAGGTTGCAATGAGCCGAGATCACACCACTGCACTCCAGCCTGGGCAACAGTGAAACTCCATCTCAAAAAATAAATAAATAAAATAAATTCTTAGTTCATACCCTTCCAGAATTCTCTCTCTTTTTAAAACCTAGATGAGATTAACCTGTTTTTTATTCAACTGTTGTCTCTACCTTCCCAATTTGATCAATTTTCATGTCATTGGCTGGGTGCGGTGGCTCCTGCCTATAATCCCAGTACTTTGGGAGGCCGAGGCGGGCAGATCACTTGAGGTCAGGAGTTCAAGACCAGCCTGGCCAACATGGTGAAACCCCATCTCTACTAAAAATACAAAAATTAGCTGGGCGTAGTGGCGCGTGCCTGTAATTCCATCTACTCGGGAGGCTGAGGCAGGAGAATCGCTTGATCCTGGGAGTTGGAGGTTGCAGTGAGCCAAGATCTTGCCATTGCACTCCAGCCTGGGCAACAAGAGTGAAATTCTGTCTCAAAAAAAAAAAAAAAATTCATGTCGTCTGATACTTTGACCTTAACCAGATTTCTCTAGTTGGCCCCAGAATGTCCTTTCTTGCTGGTTTTATGAAAACTAGCATTCAGATTCAGAGCACATGTTACATCTGGTTGTTTTATGGCCCTTAAATCTCTTTAGTGCGGTCCCTTTTTTCCTGAGACCAATTTGTTGAAGAGGCCAGCCCAGTCACCCCACAGGAAGTATGCTACCTTTTGGGTTTTTCTGCTGGCTTCCTGGTGGTATGATTTAACATGTCCCTCTCTTCCAGTTTTCCTGTCAGCTGAAAGTTAGATCTCATTTGCTTTGGGATCTTCCTTCAATCCTCTCCACAAGGCTCTGATGTGGTTACTCTCTACCCCCATTTAGGCAGAGGAGAAAACAGAGTCTGAGGGTACCAAGATGGGCCAACAGTCCCAGCTTCAGGGCCCATGTTCTCTCACCCACCTCTGGCCTGGTTCTCCTCCCCAGTCCCTGACACCTGTCTGGGGTCGGTGGTGCTGAGCCCGGGGCTGGCCTCTCCCCTTCTCTTTCCTGCAGTCCTTATCCAGCAGCCCTCAAGCCCAGCCCCCTCGGCCAGCAGAGCTGTCAGATGAGGAAGTGGCTGAGCTCTTTCAGCGGCTGGCAGAGACACAGCAGGAGAAATGGATGCTGGAGGAGAAGGTGCTGCCTGCCTGCCTGCCTGCCCATCCCCACTTGAAGTGCCCTTGTGGGTGTGGGGTCTGCCCGGGCCCGCCTCATGTGTGAACATGTACAGTAGAGGGGTCTCAGGTGGGCTGGGCCATCTTGCAGGTGAAGCACCTGGAAGTGAGCAGTGCTTCCATGGCAGAGGACCTCTGCCGGAAGAGCGCCATCATTGAGACCTACGTCATGGACAGCCGGATCGGTCAGTGTCCCCTCCCCGGCCCTCAGCCCTGGTCCAGCCTTCACCTGGCCCTCCCTCTCCATTCTGTGCTGCGGCTTCTCTCCTCTCCTCTCGGAACTCAGCGAAGCTACTGACAAGACCATGGCCTGTGGAGGGGAGAACAGGAAAGCACTGTCTCTTGATCTCGCCTCCTCCCTCTTCTCTCTTTCTCTGTCATCTCTCCACTCTCCATTCTCCATTGTGTCTCTCTGTCCACTTTCTCCTTTCCTCTCCCTGTGCCTCATCTTCCTCTCCTCTCTCTCTCCCTTCTCTCTTCTCCGTTTCTCTTTTTCACCCCACTCCTTCATCTTGTCTCGCTGTCTATATTGTTTTCCTTCTCTGTATCTTCATTGCTTTTGCTTTCTTTCAAACTTTCTCCTTCACAGATTTTTCTTTATTAATCAGAATCATACTGACCAACATGTGCTGAGGACTTTCTGTGTGCTCTGTGCTTCACATACAGTCATGTGCATCTTTCCAGTTCCACAAGTTAGTTATCCTCATTTCTCGGGGCCATAGAGCTAGTGAGTGACAGAGCTAGGTTTTGTATGTCAAAGCCTCTGTCCTACATGACATGGCTTTTCCTGCTGCCTTCTCCCCTGGTATTCGTCTCCCTCTTTTCTCCTCTGGCTCTGCCTGGCTCTCCTCTGGCTCTGCCGAGGGGGTGGTTTTCAGCCTGGGCCCTTGCAGATGTGTCTGTGGCAGCAGGCCACACAGACCGCAGCGGGCTGGGCAGCGTCCTGAGAGACCTAGTGAAGCCAGGTGACGAGAACCTTCGGGAGATGAACAAGAAGCTGCAGAACATGCTGGAGGAGCAGCTCACCAAGAATATGCACTTGCACAAGGCAAGTGTGGCCTGCCAGCCTACCCATCTGTTCACCCAGCCACCTGCCTACCCAGCCACATAGCCCCTGGGTCATCTGCCAGTCCCCTTGCCCACCCACCCAGCCTGTCCTCCCAGCTATCCTCCTACCCACTCATCAACTACTCCATCATGCTCTCATCTTCCACCCTCTCATCAACTTATTATCCATTCATTCCTTCCATGTACCCGCTCATCCATTTATCTACACATTCACCCAACCATTTGCCCATCTGTCCATCTACCCAATCTACTACTTACTTATCTCATTGTCTACCCCATGTCCTGCCACCCATTTCTTGACATATCATTCTCTTATCTACTCATCAATTGCCCCTTGTGTTACCTTTCACCCACCCAGTTACCTGCCTGCCCACCTGTTGATCTCCATCTGTCCTCTGGACAATTCATTCGTCCACCAATTTGTCTACCATAGATCCCCCATGCCCATGGGTCCACACACACATCTTTCTGCCCAAACTGCCACCCAAGGACTTTCCCCATCTCTGAGAGTTAGAAAGGGGTCAGACCCAGCTCCTGCCTTTGAGAAGCAAGCTCACACTTAGAAGAGCAGGTGGCCAGAGTGGTGGTGTATCCTGCAGCAGCACCATGCCACAGGAGGCATCCCACTCCCATTATCTGTAGCTCCCCACCCATCCTCATGACTTTTCTGAGCCCTGCCCACTGTTGGGGGTGCTGTGAGCTTCTCCAAGTACCTTCTCATCCCAGGCCAGACACAGCTGAGCATTGATTAATGAAAGGGTGTGAGGGAAATCACAGATGATACCCTACGTTTGGCAAGGGAGCAGCCTGTCCCCTTCTCTGGCCCCTGATGGTTCATTTGTTTCTTAGGATATGGAAGTTCTGTCCCAGGAAATTGTGCGGCTCAGCAAGGAGTGCGTGGGGCCTCCTGACCCAGACCTAGAGCCAGGAGAAACCAGCTAAAGACCTGCAGGCTGCACCCACCTCCTCCCCTTCCTACCCCCTAGGATGCTATTCCCTTGGGCTGTGGTGGAAAAATGAGGGCTGGAGCCAAAATCAAATAGCTTGGGAGACTGGACATTAAAGGGGCTAGAGGCCTGATGGTTAGTGTTAATGATCCTGTCTTAGGGCAGAGGCCACCAGGGAGTGGGGATCCTGAGGGAAGGGGCAGGGATTTCTCCTTCTTCTTGGTCCTGGCTCCCAAGGGCTTCTGTCTTCATCTCTGCATGAGCTCTCCTTCCCAGAGACCAACTCTTTTTATTTTATTTTATTTTATTTTTTAATTTATGTCTGGAGCCTGGCTACTCTGCATTTGGGATTGGGGATGCTGGGTGGGTGTGTGGTCCATGTTCAGCGTTCTAGCAACACGTGTGTGTGTGTGTGTGTAAAGGCTATGCAGCCAAAATACCATCTGGCCAGACGGGCCCACCCACTGACTGTCTCGTCTCGTTCTTTTCAACCAGGAGGAATATGCTGGGGGCGGGGAGGTTTACACCATTGGAATAGGGAGAGAGGTCTCTGGCTGCAACGTTACTCTCTTTTCCCCACCCTCATCCAGCCTGTCTCCATTTACTGCTGACCAGCCCCTCAAACTGAGTGGAGCTGAAATACCTGCAGATATGTACATGGGTAGACATGTATGGGATTGTGGGTATAGATGAGTAGACAGATGGGAGGATGGATAAGTGGTTGGATGGACCGATGGATGTATAAGTGAACGGTTGCATGGACTGATGATGGATAGATTGGGAAATAAATGGATGGATGGATAGGTGGTTAGATGAATAAATGGGTAGATAGATTGGTAGGTGGATAGAGGATGGATAGTAGAGATGTAAATGGACAGATGGATAATAGGTCTATGGACAAATGGGTGGATGATTTAGGTAGACAGGTGGATGGATGGGTTTATGGACAGGTTAGGAGTAAATGGACCAATGGTTGGGGGAATGGATGGATGGGTAGATGAGCTAATGAATGGGAAGGGTAAAGAGTGGGAGAAGAAATGACAAGTGGAGCTATGTATGGACAGAGATGGGCAGAGGATGTCACCCTGCATGTGTTCCGGGTGGGAAGAGATGGGCAGAGGATGGATACATACAGATAGATTGGCAAACAGCCAAATGGGGTGAACTTACAAATGGATGAATGAGTGGGTGGGTAGATTAACGACTAAGTGGACGGGTGGGTGGAGGGATGGATAGAGGAATTGATTGTGTGGGTGGGAGAATGGGTGGATGGGTAGGTGGAGGAATGGATGTAGAAATGGACAAATCAGGAGTGTGCCAAATGGGCAATTGGAAGTTTACACGGGTGGGTAAATCTTGGGTGAAAGGCTAGGCCTGGCCCTGCATTACAGTGCCCCTGTCATCACACTCCTTTAATTAAGATTAAGCATCCCTGGTGTGAGCTGTGTCCAGTGCTATCACCTTTCACATCATGTAATGCTCCAAATGACGCTATCAAGTTGGGATAAGTCTCTCCATCTGACAACTGAGGAAACAATGCAAGTCACTTGCTCAAGGATGCAGCAAGTCAGTGGCAAAGCTGGGGTTTGAACCCACCCATAGCCAGCCAGAGGCATTCCATAATCAGTGCTCCTGCCATCCAGAAGCAGAGCCCTCTAGCGGAGGAGGTGTGATTTGAGGCCACTGGATATGGACAGATAAGAGAGACTACCCCCTCGGAGTGGGGCCTGCCTGAGATGGTAGGGGGGTGGGACCTGGATTGTCCCCCTCTACATTCCCTTTACCCTCATTTCATATCTAAAAACAGGAAGTCCCGTGCTCCAATCCCACAGCCGAAGTCTTAGAGCTGGGGCTGTAACCCATGCTGCGCCCCTCAAGGGGGCGGCTTCGGAAGCTTGGCCATCTAGAGAAACACTCCCCAGCAATTACCCCCGACTCCTGGCTCTCCTGCCTTTCCACAGTCTGGGGGGCAGGGAGGGGACAGCGCTGCATCATTCCCTGTGGCACTCCGCTCTGGGGCCATTAACAGACGCCTTCCCATCGATCGGATCTGCTAAGTGCTGCTGATTCAGGCGAGTGGGGGTGGGGGCCCCTGGGGGCAGAGCGGGTAGGAGCTGGGCAGGAAGAGAGGGGAGTCCAGGAAGGAGGTGGAGAGAATTGGCGAAGTTCCCTGCCACCCCCATTTTCCAGATGACGCGACTGAGGCCCAACCAGCTTTGTAGGAGGCGGAGTCTCCCCAGGGTCCCTCTCTGGCTGTCCTAGGGGAGGGGGCTCAGGGAGCCACGAGGCCCCTCCCTGCCTCTCCATCTCCCGGCAAGCTCAGAGGGGCGGGGAGAGAGAGCCAGAGGAGGAGGAGAACTCAGGCAGCTCTGCAGAGGGGGCCAGGAGCTCGGGTGTTTGGTACCCCCAGCCCCACCGCTGTTGCTGCTCCTGCAGCGGGGACACAGGTGAGGACGCCCCGAGAGAGAGGGGGAGGGGGACCACCACTAGCGCTGTCCTCATCCTTCCCTGGTCCAGCCCCCACGCCCTAACCCATCCTGGGATAGTCCCCAGGGGTCCCACTGGACCTTGCCCTTCCCAGGCCTCCTTCCAGGGACCCCGCACCCTCCCCCTGCCTATGCCACCTTCTCTCCTATGCCTGGCTGTGGTTGCTTCTCTTCCTCCTGCTGCCGCTGCTGCTACTGCCACTGCCCAGTACACACCGCCAGCCCCTCGGGGTGTGGTTTCCCCAGACCTGCCCCCAACGGTGGGACCCAGCCTTCTCCCGGCGTCTCCTGCCAGCTTCCTGCAAAGCCCAGGAGCCCCCCTCCCTGGAGACACACCCAACTCCCTTTCAACACCCCACCCCCCTCTTAATCCCATTTTGGGGTTAACCCCCTTCCTCTTATTTAGTCTTCATAGATCCCCTGGGTGCTCTGGGATTGTGCCCAACTTCCTAACATTTGAGTCCCGGCCCTTGGAATTCCCCAGGCCCCTTTTTCCTCCCTGTAGAACTCCTGAGAGTGTCGACCAGGCTTTGTTGGCCCGTCTAGATACCCACCTCCCCCAGATAACTCTCAGCCTCTCAAAAAATAACCCAGCCCCCTGTCTACCCCTTTAGATAACCCCTTCCCCTCTCCAGCCCTACTAGGAGGCTCTGGCCTCTCCTTTCTTCCCCAGAACTCCTGTAGAGTATAGACACCCCCCCGGGCTATTCTTGGCAACTCTAGGCAGTCCCAAGACACCTTTCAGCCTCTTTACAACCTCCTGGATCCACAGCCACCCCTCAAGATGCACCAGCTCCCTTTCCAGATCCATGAGGGGGGTCTAACCCTCTTATGCTTCCCCTAGAAGTCTTGAGGGTGTGGACAACCCTCCTCACCTGTCTCAGCCCCTCTAGAACCCCCACTTCCAGGCACTCTCAGTCTCTTTCAAGCACCTCTGGTCCCATTTCTACCCCTCTGGATGCCCCAGTCTCCTCTCCACCACTGCAAAGGAATTCCAGGCTCTTCTGCCTTCCCTGAGACTCTTGAGAGTGCAGAGAATTCCCCACGTGTTTCTTGGCCCCTCTAGACGCCCCCAGACACCTCTCAGGCACAGGCTGACTCCTTTAGAATCATCTCAGTCTCTCTAAACCCTCCCTCAGCTCCTTCTTGGCCCCATCCCCACACCCCTTTTCTGCTCTTCTCCATGTCCCCAAGGCCCTTCTCAGTCCCTCAGAACATTGCCCAGGCCCCTCCTAGGTTCTGTAAATGTCCCCCAGACTCCTTCCCATCTCTTTAGTTCTTCCTCCTGGTTCCTCTTGGCCTCTCTAGACACCCCCAGTTTCCTTGTTTGGGTGGCTCAAGGTGTCTCCAAGCCCCCACCATCCTGGAGACAGCCACATTCTCCTAAACGCCACCCTCACTAAGTCTCCCTGGGCTTGGGGAGTGGCACGATGGCGGCAGGCCTGGCCACGTGGCTGCCTTTTGCTCGGGCAGCAGCAGTGGGCTGGCTGCCCCTGGCCCAGCAACCCCTGCCCCCGGCACCGGGGGTGAAGGCATCTCGAGGAGATGAGGTTCTGGTGGTGAACGTGAGCGGACGGCGCTTTGAGACTTGGAAGAATACGCTGGACCGCTACCCAGACACCTTGCTGGGCAGCTCGGAGAAGGAATTCTTCTACGATGCTGACTCAGGCGAGTACTTCTTCGATCGCGACCCTGACATGTTCCGCCATGTGCTGAACTTCTACCGAACGGGGCGGCTGCATTGCCCACGGCAGGAGTGCATCCAGGCCTTCGACGAAGAGCTGGCTTTCTACGGCCTGGTTCCCGAGCTAGTCGGTGACTGCTGCCTTGAAGAGTATCGGGACCGAAAGAAGGAGAATGCCGAGCGCCTGGCAGAGGATGAGGAGGCAGAGCAGGCCGGGGACGGCCCAGCCCTGCCAGCAGGCAGCTCCCTGCGGCAGCGGCTCTGGCGGGCCTTCGAGAATCCACACACGAGCACCGCAGCCCTCGTTTTCTACTATGTGACCGGCTTCTTCATCGCCGTGTCGGTCATCGCCAATGTGGTGGAGACCATCCCATGCCGCGGCTCTGCACGCAGGTCCTCAAGGGAGCAGCCCTGTGGCGAACGCTTCCCACAGGCCTTTTTCTGCATGGACACAGCCTGTGTACTCATATTCACAGGTGAATACCTCCTGCGGCTGTTTGCCGCCCCCAGCCGTTGCCGCTTCCTGCGGAGTGTCATGAGCCTCATCGACGTGGTGGCCATCCTGCCCTACTACATTGGGCTTTTGGTGCCCAAGAACGACGATGTCTCTGGCGCCTTTGTCACCCTGCGTGTGTTCCGGGTGTTTCGCATCTTCAAGTTCTCCAGGCACTCACAGGGCTTGAGGATTCTGGGCTACACACTCAAGAGCTGTGCCTCTGAGCTGGGCTTTCTCCTCTTTTCCCTAACCATGGCCATCATCATCTTTGCCACTGTCATGTTTTATGCTGAGAAGGGCACAAACAAGACCAACTTTACAAGCATCCCTGCGGCCTTCTGGTATACCATTGTCACCATGACCACGCTTGGGTGAGTGTGGACTCTGCGTTGGGGGCTGCCCGATTACACTCACCCTTTCTGTAAAATTAGGAAGTTTAAAGGAATGATCTCTTTCTTTCTTTCTTTTTAAATGGAGTCTTACTCTGTCGCCCAGGCTGGAGTACAGTGGCAAGATCTCAGCTCACTACAACCTCTGCTTCCTGGGTTCAAGTGATTCTCCAGCCTCAGACTCCCAAGTAGCTGGGATTACAGGTACACGCCACCATGCCCAGCTAATTTTTGTATTTTTAGTAGAGACGGGGTTTCACCGCGTTGGCCAGGCTGGTCTCAAACTCCTGACCTCAGGTGATCCGCCCGCCTTGGCCGCCCAAAGTGCCGGGATTACAGGTGTGAGCCACCGCGCCTGGCCTCTTTCTCTTTTTGAGCTTCAGTTTGCTCATCTGTACAAACTGAGGGAGCTGGACTTAATTCTTCAGATCCCTCCCAGCTCTGACAATGCCTTGATTTTCTAGGTCAGGAGACTTGGGTTCAAGGATTGTCTTAGCTGCTCTCTTTCTGTTGATGTCGTTTTCTCATGGCCTCAGTTTTCCCCTCTGTAAAATGGGAAATGCTGATCCCTTCATCATCTAGAGAGGATTCAATGACATCATAGTTGTGAAAGTTCTCTGAATGTTTCTGGTGCAGGATACATAGGTGTTGGCTTTCTAGCACCTTTTTCTGTTTTGGGGACCCATGTCTCCCAACCTTCTAGAATTGTCTGCTGTGTGGGGCACTACTTCTGAGCCTTTGTGATTCCTTGATGTTTCCCAGAACAAGATGTTTTCAGCATTTTTATTATTATTATTTTTTTGTCGATCCCTGCAGAAGAAACAGAGTTGGGATAAAAGTATCAAATGGAATCATCGAACTCATGAGCTTTCCAAAGATACTGTCTAGGGCAGATGCTGTGATCCTTCTCTAAGTTTCCATCACTGGGATTGGGTATACAGTTGGTGCTCAGTATCTGTTGAAGGAATGACTGAATGAATTGGGTTTGCTCAGTTTCTTCATAGAGGTACAAAAAAAAGTTGATTTGGGGTTTCTAAAGCGTAGAAACCCCAATTCTGGTTGGAGGTCCAGGATCAGACTGACAAACAAATACTGAGCGCTGACAGTGGGCTGGAACTGAGTATTTTGATGGCTTTTACTCTATTCAAGTCCTCACAACAACTCTGTGATGGTGGATGGCTGCCCATGTCTCACAGTTGAGGACACGCTCTGAGATGACACATCACAGAGCCAGCAATGGCCAAGTTGGAAAGACTTTTGAGCAGAGTCCTGAATGCTTAAAATGAGTGAAAATACCGAAATAAGGAACAGCCATCCTAGGGCACAGCCTGAGAAAAGGCTTAGAGGCTGAAGACTGCAGAGGCTGTGTTTCTCTGGAGGAGTTCTGATTGGTTCTGCGGTCAGAACAAGAGTATGCAGTGTGATCTTGGGCGAGTCAGTTACAGAATCTCCCTGATCTTCAGGGGAGCTCTCTGTGAACAAGTTAGTAAGGTTGGCTCTGCTCTGTCTCTGTGGGAGGTGGGTGGCATGGAGAAAGGCAGGAGGGTTTCAAGGCTCCTCCCTGTTTTGTCATATGTGGACAGTTTTCAAGGATTCCCCTATAGGGGAATGAAAAGGGGTCCTACCTAGAGCAGGTAAGACAGAGGCAGCCAAAACCAACAAAACACTCCTCCCGGGACTTGAAGCCCTTCGGCTGGCCTGTGGTGCTGGGACTCTCTCCCCAGGAGGCTGTGTTCACTGCCTGTGACTTCCTCATGCTCCCCTCTGCTTGGTTTTCATAGATTTCTAGCTGACTCAGGTGCTTGGTATGTAGCTTGGACAGGGGCAGCAGATGGTAGGGGTTGAGGGCCAGGCCCATTTCTCACTTGGCCACCCAGCATTTTACAGAGCAAGAAACTGAGGGACTCAGAAGGTTTGAGTGCCTGGCCAGGGTCACAGAGCTAGTCCGGATTAGATGGGATGGAGTGGGGGACTGAAAGGTAGGTGGGCACTTTTCCTGACCTTGGCCTACCTCCCCTCGCTCCAGCTACGGAGACATGGTGCCCAGCACCATTGCTGGCAAGATTTTCGGGTCCATCTGCTCACTCAGTGGCGTCTTGGTCATTGCCCTGCCTGTGCCAGTCATTGTGTCCAACTTTAGCCGCATCTACCACCAGAACCAGCGGGCTGACAAGCGCCGAGCACAGCAGGTAACCGCACTTTCCATCCGAGCACCTCCTACTCCCCACACCCCAAGCCAGTCTACTTTGGGGCTTACCCACCTGACCTTTTATCTCCTCTCTCTGCAGAAGGTGCGCTTGGCAAGGATCCGATTGGCAAAGAGTGGTACCACCAATGCCTTCCTGCAGTACAAGCAGAATGGGGGCCTTGAGGTGGGTCGGGGCCTGGATAGGGTTGGGGTGAGCCATAACGGGGAGGAAGGTGCTGCCCTTATCGCTCTGCTCCATCTACTCCAGGACAGCGGCAGTGGCGAGGAACAGGCTCTTTGTGTCAGGAACCGTTCTGCCTTTGAACAGCAACATCACCACTTGCTGCACTGTCTAGAGAAGACAACGGTGAGGCCTAATGTGAGGTGATATAGCAGAATAGAGGGGGTCCCTCTGCGGCCATGCCAGCTCTCTCCCTTGGATGGGAGGCTCACTACAAATTGTGGAAATCACACAGAGCTTCCTGGAAGAGGCTACAGGAGAGCCAAGCCTTGAAGAATGGGCAAGGGAAGGGAAGAGGGAACAATGTCCAGAAAGGAGAAAACAGCCTGAGCAAAGGCTTGAGGGTGGGATCAGCTCCCATGGGATGCCCCGTGACCCTGCCTCCCTTCTGCCCATAGTGCCATGAGTTCACAGATGAGCTCACCTTCAGTGAAGCCCTGGGAGCCGTCTCGCCGGGTGGCCGCACCAGCCGTAGCACCTCTGTGTCTTCCCAGCCAGTGGGACCCGGAAGCCTGCTGTCTTCTTGCTGCCCTCGCAGGGCCAAGCGCCGCGCCATCCGCCTTGCCAACTCCACTGCCTCAGTCAGCCGTGGCAGCATGCAGGAGCTGGACATGCTGGCAGGGCTGCGCAGGAGCCATGCCCCTCAGAGGTAAGCAGCCCTCCTACCTGCTAGCCACACCTGGGGAAGCTCAGAGCTTAGACCAGTAGCTCTGAGATTTCATAACTCCAGGCCTAGCAAGTCAAGCTCGAACCCAAACCCCTCCATGCTGGAAGCTTGGGCTTATCTTGTCTGGAACTCATTCTTCATCCATTCTTTTTTTTTTTTTTTTGAGACGGAGTCTCACTGTCACCCAGGCTGGAGTGCAATGGCGGGATCTCAGCTCGCTGCAGCCTCCACCTCCTGGGTTCAAGCGATTCTCCTGCCTCAGCCTCACAAGTAGCTGGTATTACAGGCACACACCACCACGCCCAGCTAATTGTTGTATTTTTAGTAGAGATGAGGTTTTGCCATGTTACCCAGGCTAGTCTCGAACTCCTGACCTCAAGTGATCCACCTGCCTCAGCCTCCCAGAGTGCTGGAATTACAGACATGAGCCACCTCGCCTGGCCTCTTCATCCATTCTTTCACCAAATATTTATTGAGCACCTACTGTGTGGCAGGCACAGTTGTAGGCAACTTGGATGTGGCAGTGAATGAACAGACAGAAGCCCCTGTATCCCAGTCCTCTGGAACTTCTATTCTAGTGGGATAAGACAGTTAATAAACAAATACACAGATTATATAGCATATCAACAGCTGTAAACACCAAGGAGAAAAGTCAGTCAGGGATGGGGGCTAGAAAGCATAGAGCAGGCCGGGCGCAGTGGCTCATGCCTATTATCCCACCACTTTGGGAGGCCAAGGCGAGTGGATAACAGGTCAGGAGTTCGAGACCAGCCTGACTAACATGGTGAAACCCTGTTTCTATTAAAAATATAAAAAACTAGCTGGGTGTGGTGGCGCGCACCTGTAATCCCAGCTACTTGGGAGACTGAGGCAGGAGAATTGCCTGAACCCGGGAGGTGGAGGTTCCAGTGAACTGAGATCACATCATTGCACTCCAGCTTGGGCAACAAGAGTGAAACGCTGTCTAAAAAAAAAAAAAAAAAGCATACAGCAGGGTGGTGATGCAGTTTTTTTTTTTTTTTAGACGGAGTCTTGTTGCTAGGCTGCAGTGCAGTGGCGCGATCTCGGCCCACTGCAACCTCCGCCTCCCGGGTTCAAGCGATTCTCCTGCCTCAGCCTCCCAAGTAGCTGGGACTACAGGCACGTGCCACCATACCCGGCTAATTTTTGTATTTTTAGTAGAGACGGGGTTTCACCATGTTGGCCAGGATGGTATCGATCTCCTGACCTCATGATCCACCTGCCTTGGCCTCCTAAAGTGCTGGGATTACAGGCGTGAGCCACCGCGCCTGGCTGCATTTTTTTTTTTTTTTTTTGAGACGAAGTTTTGCTCTTGTTGCCCAGGCTAGAGTGCAGTGGCGTGATCTCGGCTCACTGCTGCAACCTCTGCCTCCCGGGTTCAGACGATTCTCCTGCCTCAGCCTCCTAAGTGGCTGGGATTACAGGTGTCCGCCACCATACCCAGCTAGTTTTTTATATTTTTATTTTTTTATGTTTATTTTTATTTATTTATTTATTTTTGAGACAGAGTCCTGCTCTGTCGCCCAGACTGGAGTGCGGTGGCGCGATCTTGGCTCACTGGAACCTCCGCCTCCCGGGTTCAAGCAATTCTCTGCCTTAGCCTCCCAAGTAGCTGAGACTACAGGTGCGCGCCACCACGCCCAGCTAATTTTTGTATTTTTAGTAGAGACAGGGTTTCGCCATGTTGGCCAGGCTGGTCTCAATCTCTTGACCTTGTGATCTGCCCACTTTGACCTCCCAAAGTGCTGGGATTACAGGCATGAGCCACCACACCCAGCCAATTTTTTATATTTTTAGTAGAGATGGGGTTTTACCATGTTGGCCAGGCTGGCCTCAAACTCCTGACCTTCAGGTGGTCCACCTGCCTCGGCCTCCCAGAGTGCTGGGATTACAGGTGTGAGCCACCACTCTTGGCTGGTGATGCAGTTTTAGTAGTGTGGTCAGAGAAGGCTTTACTGAGGTGACAACTGAGCCAAGACCTGAAGGAGGCAAAGGAGTGGGCCATGCAGATAACTAGAGGAAGAGCTTTCTAAGCAGAGTGAACAGCCTGTGCAAAGGCCTTGAGGCAGATGTGGGTCCACATTAGAGACATAGCAAGGAAGCTATCATGGGTGGAGGAGAGTGAGCTGGGGGAGACTGGTAAGAGGCAAACTCAGAAAGGAGCGAGGGTCCCACCTTAGATCCTACTATGGACAGTTTGTAAGGACTTGGACACTGTTAGGAGTAACCATGAGAGATAGCATTTTCATATGTATGCACATTGTGTTCCAGACACTGCTCTGAGCACTTCGTATCATTTTTAATCTCATTTAATCTCCACAGCAACCCTATGAGGTGGGAGATAGTGTTCGTCCCATGCTACAGATGAGAGAAGAGAGAGGTTTGGAGTGGTTAAAGTGGGACCAGGATTTGAACCCAGGACTATCTGACTCTAGAGTCCTCACTCTTTACCACCATAATTGGGGATGCAGGAGAAGTACTTAAGTACTTAGCACAGTGCCAGGGACCCAGTAGGTGCTCAATAAATGCCATGATTGCTGTGGCAAGTATTAATTTTTTTTTTTTTTTTGAGACAGAGTCTCACTCTGTCACCCAGGCTGGAGTGCAGTGGTGCAATCTCAGCTCACTGCAAGCTCCGCCTCCTGGGTTCACGCCATTCTCCTGCCTCAGCTTCCTGAGTAGCTGGGACTACAGGTGCCTGCCACCACGCCTGGCTAATTTTTTGTATTTTTAGTAGAGATGGGGCTTTACCGCGTTAGCCAGGATGGTCTCAATCTCCTGATCTCGTGATCCGCCCGCCTCGGCCTCCCAAAGTGCTGGGATTACAGGCATGAGCCACAGCACCCGGCTGATAACTTTTTTTCTTTTTTTTTTTTTGTTGAGACAGAGTCTCATTCCGTCACCCAGGCTGGAGTGCAGTGGTGCAATCTCAGCTCACTGCAACCTCTGCCTGCCGGGTTCAAGCAATTCTCCCGCCTCAACCTCCCGAGTAGCTGGGATTACAGGCATGCGCCACCATGCCCAGCTAATTTTTTGTATTTAGTAGAGACGGGGTTTCATCATGTTGGTCAGGCTGGTCTCGAACTCTTGACCTCAGATGATCCACTCACCTCGGCCTCCCAAAGTGCTGGGATTACAGGCATGAGCCACCGCACCCGGCCTAAGATAACTTTTTAAGAGCCTTCCATCTTCTCCACCCTTGTCCACAGCCGTTCCAGCCTCAATGCCAAGCCCCATGACAGCCTTGACCTGAACTGCGACAGCCGGGACTTCGTGGCTGCCATTATCAGCATCCCTACCCCTCCTGCCAACACCCCAGATGAGAGCCAACCTTCCTCCCCTGGCGGCGGTGGCAGGGCCGGCAGCACCCTCAGGAACTCCAGCCTGGGTACCCCTTGCCTCTTCCCCGAGACTGTCAAGATCTCATCCCTGTGAGGGGTAGGCCTGCTGATTCAGAGGGTCCTCTTCATTTTTGGGAACTCCTTTCCAAAGCCATATTTTTGGGAGGCAGAGAGGGGCAGGCTTGGGCACCCCTTCTGCCCCCCCCACTGAGAACTATGCAATGGAGTTTCATGAAATGGTCCACATAGTGGGGAAGTAGCCAGGAAATGAGAAACTTCCTCCCACCCCAGACATTTTTCCTGGTGGGAGCTGAAGCACTGGGCTTCCACAGGCCCCTGGCCTCCTTGCCCTAGCACACTGGGACTGGCCCCACTCTCCCAGCTGGACTCCTGCATGCTCCTCCCCTTGGGCTCTCAGATGAAGGCAAAGCTTTGATCCGACATCTGAGCTCTAGCCTAAGAAGGAGAGTTGAGATTTCCTCCTCCCTCTGGCTGGGATATGGAGCTTTGGAGGTTCAGAGAAGAGAACCCTCACCTCTGATCTGGCCTCTACGAGAGGTCCTCATCTCCATCTGGCCCAACAATTCCCAGATTCTGAAGCTTGGAATGCAAACACAGGCTTCATGGGCTGTGGCCTCTGCAGCGACCTGCCATCCCCAGGCCTTGCCTGAGGGGTCAGGCTGCCTCTCCCAACACACACTCAGATAGCACAAATTCTACCATCCCCTTCCCTGGCTGCTGGAAATGGACCCCGCAACCCTGTCCTCTGCTGGGCCCCCAGCAAACTCTAGCAATAGCAGCTGCTGCCGTGTCATTATGCAAAGCCTCTGACCAGTTTGCTGCAGCATTTACATCTGCCCTAATCAGAGGGGCCACCTCTAACTCCTCCTCCTCCTCTCTTCTCCTCTGGTTTGCGTCCTTCCTGGGTTGGGCTGGAGTCTGGACTGGCTGAGATAAGAGCCTGGCAACCAGCAAGAGCTGGGCTGTATTTGGAGATCATGGGCTGATTCCATGTTCTTGGGCAACAGTCCAGAAGCATCAGGGGCTCCGGCCTGGGATGTTTCTGAACTTTGGGAGTTATAGGAGACAGGAGGAACTTCTCCTCCTCCTCCTCCCCTACAATTCCTTTTCACATATTCCTTTCTTCTCCCTCTTGGGTGACCTTCCAAAACTCTGCTCTCAGGCTGAAATCTGGCATCATCTCAGGTTCCCTGTCCCCAGCACTGTCCCCATGGAGCTGGTGGCTGACAAAGATGTAGTTTCCATCAGTCAATAAAACCTGAGAGGAGAGATGAGGACTGAGAGTATCTCCTGGCTCTGTGGGTTTGGGGGCTGGGTTGGGCTTGGGGGTTGAAAACACTCTGATTTCAATCCCTTTTGGCTAGGAGAAGGGCTGGTATGGGTCAAGGTATGGGAGATGGATGGTTGGTGATGTATTCTGGAAGATGGGGATCCAGGAGAAATGAAAGAGTGTGGTTTGAGGAGTTCATCTACAGCCAGTGAGACAGGCCAGGGGGTCCTGAGACATTCCTCCTTGGATATCATCTGCGCCAGCTTCCTGATTCACAGATCGGGAAACTGAGACCCAGAGAAACACATAGTTAGTTAGAGGAGGCTTAAACCCAGGCTTCCTGACAGCAAACAACCCTGAATTTAACCCTAATAAAAGCATCACTTTGTTTGGTGAATTTCCCTTCCTTGTGGACGCCCCCTACATTCTCTCTTCTGGGCTACTGGCTACACTAGGCTAGTGTGTGGCTGAGTTCTATAGAGCACTGAGCAGACAGACCATGGATTCAGGTTGATCTGGGTTCCAATCCCTGGGTGAGAGAATCACTTACCTTCTCTTGCCTCAGGTTGCTAGTCTGTGAAATAGGGATAATTCATTTAGTCACCAAATATTTATTAACTTCCATCATGTGCCAGCCCTAGGGATACAAAGGTGGGCAAAGTAGACATTGTCTCTGATGTATAGTTGAGCATGGAAGGCAGACAAGTAATTACAACATGGTGTGGCAGAACTAAGATCCATGTGTTATAGAGGCATGCAGATGGCAGGAGAACTTAACCTGGCCAACACACAGGGAATGAGTTGGAGTTAGCCAGGCAGCAAATGAAAGGATGCAATGTTCTGGGCAGAGGGAACAGCATGTGCAATGACCTGGAGGTTGGAGAGTGAGCTCAGGCCTTTGGGGAACTGAAAGTAGTTCAGTCCAGCTGGGGAGGAGAGTGTGAGGCTGTGAGGAGAGGAAGGATGGAGAGGTAGGCTAGATAATAAAAAGCTTTGAAGCTATGACGCGAATTTTAAACTTCATCCTAAAGATAGTGGGGACCTCTAAAGACTTAAACAGAAAACTCATGATGAAGTTTGTGTTTCAGAATGATCATTCTGGCTGTGGAGAGTGGATATAGAGAAACAGTCCTGGAAGGAAGAAAAGTAGGGTGGAGGCTTTTATAATAGTCCAGGTGGTAGGGGACAGTGGCTTGGACCAGAGTAGTGGCAGTAGAATTGGAGAGTCTAGAGATTTGGGAGGCAGAATTGGCAGGACTTGGGATTGACAGGCATGTGGGAGTTGAGGAAGAGGGAGCAGTCAAAGTTGACTCCCAGTTTCTGGCTTGGACGACGGCTGGATGGGAGTGCTATTCCCTGGTAAAGGGAACATCAGAGCTGTCAGCACTCAGTGCTAGGTACATAGTAAGTACTTGGTGAAGGGTAGCCATGATTGCTATCATGAGTTCAGTTTTAGATGTGTAGTGAGTGAAATATATGGGGCTGGAGTGAGATGATCATGAGAAGATTCAATGTGATAATGTGCATAGGCATTTGGCACAGAGCCCTGAACACAACAGGCCCGGTAAACGTGAAAGTCCCCTCCTATTAAGTCTCATGAGCAGAAAACACTACTTAGAGCCCATTTATTACTTACACCTTTCAGGGAAGAATTTCAACTAGGGTTAGTATCTCAAGGGAGGCAAGGCTATACTCAAAACAGCTTTCCCATGGTCTCTTTCAGTCAACCTGTTGTATGGTTTGTCTCCTAAGACTGGAAGTGAACTCCAAATACCTTCTTGGTTCATCAGCTCATCTGAACCCCATAACCATTCCCTGAGGTAGTCTGGGCAGGTATTATCATTCCTGTTTTACACATGGGTAATCTCAAAAGTGACACAATGACTTGCTCAAGGTCATACAGTTGGTAATGGTCCATCTGTGCCTGGAACTGAGGTCTTTCTGGCTCCAAAGCCTGGGATCCTTCCACTGCACCACCATGCAGACTACTTTATTGAACACTTCCTATGTGCTGGGCACAGCACCAGGCCCTTCACAAGCATTAATCTCTGATCCTCGGATTAGAATTATTGCCAATTTATAGAATAGAAATTAAGGATGGGTGCTCACTTCGCACCACATATACTAAAATTAGAACGATACAGAGATTAGCATGGCACTATGCGAAAGGATGACACGCAAATACGTGAAGCGTTCTATAAAAAAGTAAACAACAACAACAAAAATTGAGGACGGGGTGGGTTTTAAATGACTGACAAAGATCACTCAGACAGGAAGGGCAGAGCTAGGATTAGCGTGTAGCTCTCCAGCTACTCAATAGCAGGGATTCTGCCAACCCCATTTTGAGACGCTGACTGGTGACAGAGCTTTCATAAACCTCGATCGACCCAAGCAAACTCAGTTTTAGAAAAAGGCTGGGCTTGGCCAGGCGCGGTGACTAACGCCTGTAATCCCAGCACTCTGGGAAGCCGAGGCGGGAGGATCGCTTGAGCCCGGGAGCTGGAGATCAGCCTGGGCAACATAGTGAGACTTTGTCCCTACAAAAAAGTGAAAAAAAAATTAGCCGGTCGTAGTGGTGCGCGCCTGTGGTCCCAGCTATTCGGGAGGCTGAGGCGGGAGGATCGCTTGAACCTGGGAGTTGGAGTTTGCAGTGAGCTATGATCGCGCCACTGCATTCCAACCTGGGCGACAGAGTGAGACCCCTGTCTCAATTAGGAAAAAAAAAAAAAAAAAAAAAAAAAAAGGCTGGGCCGCGCCTGCGCACTAGCCATAGGGGCGGGGAGGTCAACGCGAGGCCGAGAGTGCTGTGGTGCCAGAGAAGGCGTGTCTGTTTCCCAAACAACCACTGTCCCCACGGCGCCTGTCTGTCCCAAGGTTGGTCGGTATGCCGCGAGTGACGGCGTCTCTTAACCAATCACCGCAGAACTCAGGCTGTTGCCGGGGCGAAGCGGTGTCCGCCTCCCCCGGAAGGGTATTTGTAGGTGGGTGGGACCGGAAGTGACGCTACAGGGGCCAGCTATGCTCCCGGGAGTGTTGATGTTTTCCAGTCATTCCGGCTGACAGCGTTCAAGTTGGAATCCTGGAGGGGAGGTGTTTTTCCTGTCGTACGTGGGACAGGCCACGCTGTCCGTCCGCAGTACCGACGCCTGCAGGTCAGAGCTTCGGGGAGAAAAGTGAAGAGCAAGACGGAACTGACGGGGAGAAAGGCTGGGAACCAGGGTGTCGACTTTGACTGAAATTTGAGACGGAGGGCACCGGAGGGCGAGCACTCGCCTGTGATTGGCCCGTGGGCGTCGTCGAGGTCCCACGCAGCTGCTCAATTGGTTGGTGTTGCAATTGTTGTGGCGGCGGCGGCGGCGATTTTGCCCACGTACTTCCGAGTAAGGGGCGGGGCTGTGCCCTGGCGCGCGTGCGCAGCGCCCCGGGGCCCCACCCGGTAGTGCAAGAACCTGCGAGGGGGCGGAGCGAAGAGGTGCTTGTTTTGGTTCTGTTTCCTTTGAAGCAGAAGGCCGGAACAAGCGTAGCAATAAACTTGCTGGACTTGGAGAGAAGGCTAAGACAAACTCGCCGCACTGCCTTCATCTTGGACTTTACATCCGGGTTCTCCTCTCGGCGTGACCCGCGCGCCGCCACCGCCGCCGCCGCCGCCGCCGCCTCCTCCGCCGCCGAGGGTTCTCGAACCGGTGCCGCGATCCCTTTATCCGGGTCTCGCCGTTCCCGTCGTGCCTCGCGCACTACACTAGCCCCCTCATCCGGGTTCTCTCCCGGCGTGCCCCGCGCCGGGTTTGTTGGGGGGTACTCGGCAGTGCAGCCATGACTATACTCCCCAAAAAGAAGCCGCCGCCTCCCGACGCCGACCCCGCCAACGAGCCGCCGCCGCCCGGGCCGATGCCCCCGGCGCCGCGGCGCGGCGGAGGTGTGGGCGTGGGCGGCGGCGGCACGGGCGTGGGCGGCGGCGATCGCGACCGTGACTCCGGCGTCGTGGGGGCCCGTCCGCGAGCTTCGCCACCGCCTCAAGGCCCGCTACCAGGACCGCCGGGCGCTCTTCATCGCTGGGCGCTGGCCGTGCCGCCTGGTGCAGTGGCGGGTCCCCGGCCACAACAGGCTTCTCCACCTCCTTGCGGGGGCCCAGGTGGTCCCGGCGGCGGTCCCGGCGACGCGCTGGGCGCAGCGGCGGCGGGTGTGGGTGCCGCGGGCGTGGTGGTGGGTGTGGGTGGTGCCGTAGGCGTGGGCGGCTGCTGCTCCGGGCCTGGGCACAGCAAGCGGCGACGTCAAGCTCCCGGGGTTGGCGCGGTTGGCGGGGGCAGTCCCGAGCGTGAGGAGGTCGGCGCAGGCTACAACAGTGAGGACGAGTATGAGGCGGCTGCAGCACGCATCGAGGCTATGGACCCTGCCACTGTCGAGCAGGTAAGAGCTGTGGGGTGAGGGGTGAGCGGCCACGGCAGATGGGACCCCCAGACTGTGAAGGGACTCAAGGAAGGCTGTTTGAGATCGCCCCAAGGGATCTAGGCGTTTTCACTGGGCCTGACAGTCTTCTCTGGCGGTAGGGATGTGAGACACCTTCTTTCCTCCCCTCCAGGATTTTGGGGCTAGAGGCCTACGGTAAGGTGTCAGACTTAAAGATCCGAGGTCTCTTTTAAGGTCTATAGTCGTCATTCCAGTCCCTGGGACCTCATCATATAGGGCCAATAGGTGGGAATTCTCCAAGAGATACAGGTAGGATCGCGCCCCTCTTGAGTAGGAGTCTCAGGTCTCCCAAGAGACTTAGGTATGTGTTCAGTGGCTTAAGAGCTCTTTTCCTCTGGGATAGAAGTTTGAGATTCCCCTTCCAGGAAAGTCAAATAAGGTGGAGACCTCGGAGATCGGGGCTGAACATCCCCAAGGAGCCTAAGCCCTTTCAAGAGTCTGAGACACTCTGCATATAGGACAATCCTCTCCCGCTTCGCTGGGTAACACTGCACAGGACCACTGAATAGCCAGACCTGAGACCTCAAGGGTCCTAAGTCTGTCTTCAGGGGCCTGAGAGTCCTGCTTCTAGAATCAAGGTCCTGACACACACACACACACACACGCCCCCTTTAAGGATAGGGATCTTCTAAGCTTTTTCCAGGGATGTAAGACTTTTCACAGGGAGATATGATTCCCTTGCCCTTGGGGACAGGGACCAAAACCAACACCCAATGACCAGCAGCTTTACTTATCTCCTTTCTGAGTGACAAAGGTCTGCATTTCCTATCAGTGGCCTGAGACCTACCTCTTGGGAGACAAGGGCCTGAACCGCTTCAGGATCTTAAGCTTCTTGTAAGAAGAGATGGGCCCTCAGCACCCCCACCAGGGGCCTGAACCTTTCTTCAGGAAAATGAGACTCACAGCGTTGGATCCTAGGGCCTAAGATCCACCTGCTTATGGACTGAGGTTTTTAGAGACCGAGTCTGAGGCCTCTTCAGGGGCCTGGTGTCCTGCTGCAAAGGTCTCAGACAAGGTGAAGTCTTTAGGAGATCCTTCTTCTCAAGGCTGGTGTCTGAGTGGTTTTGGGGATCTGAGACTCCCCACCCCACGAGCATATGTGACCCTTTTACCCCAATTATAAGGAACTGAAACATACCTTGGGGATACAGTATCCCATTTTCCCCTCTGTAACAGGGGTTTGAGGCCCTCCCACCTTGGGCCTAAGCTTTTTGTCAGGGACATACGACCCATGCCTTGGGAACTTGAGCCTGAGACGACTACTCAGGGGACATGGGCAACATGGGATCCCAGAGATGATGTCTGGGGCCTCCCTACAGATCTTTGCCTACTTTTAAGGGCCTGAGACCCACTCTGCCAAGGACACTTGAGCTTTCCTTCAGGGACAGGAGACTCATACATACCTTGGTGACTTGTGTGTCTAGAGGTAAGGTCTGAGCTTCCTCCTCAAGGAACTTAAGATGTACACCTGAGAAACAGGAGGACTCCTCCCCCCAGACCTGAGCCCTGAGACTCTTCCCTTGGGGCATGGATAAAGGATCCCTGTGGAACAGGGTCCTGAGTCTACCTCCAAGGGTTTGAATCATAACTCAGGTGTGTGAAGGCCTGTTCCCCACCTTAGGACCTGATTTCTGAACCTGCCCTGAGGGTACTGTCACCTCACCTCAGACAACTTACATACACCCTAGTCTTAGGGGTCATTTAGGGACATAAGACTTCCTGCCTCGGGGACTTGGGCCTTAGACTCCCAACTCCTTTTGGGGACATGAATAGGGTAGGATTCTGAGGAAAAGAGTCTGGGCCCAAGCTTTCTCTCTGGGACAAGATACCGTTTGCCTTAGGGACTGGGGGCCTGGCTCCCACTTGGGCATGAGGCTCTCCTCCTACCACACCAGGCAATCCTTTCTGTCCAGGGAGAGGAACGTGAGGTCATCCTCTCCCATTGGACAGAAGGACCTGGATGCTCTTCAGGGTCATATGAACCCCTTATCCAGAGCTCCCTCGTGGCCAGGGCCAAGAAGGTCCTCCTACTTTCTATGAGAAGATTGTCAGGTCCTGGGGACATGGAGTCTGGAGCCTCCCTTCTGAAACCAAGAGCGATTCCGAGTCTCTCCCTGACCTAGCTATGCTTGCTTCTCACCTCTAGGTCATATAATAAGTTTTGAACTGCTTTTGACAAGCTTTTTTCTTCCCAGGGACAGGAAAGGGGTTTGGGACATCGCCACTCTGGGGAAATTCTCCTCCCACATTCCTTTTCCCCTTGGCTCAGGTAAATCTTTCTGTACTTCACAGGGGCCCCAAGCCTTGTCTTGAGCTCCTTGTTCTTGGTCCCTTCCTCCCATCATTAATTCTGGCACGATAAGCCATTTGTACTCAAGGGTCAGGACCAGTTATTTCTTCTCTCTCTGGTTGGGTAGTTTCTTTCCTCCTCTAGAAGCAGGGAGCCATACATCACTGGTCCTAGGGACAGAGGAAAAACATCCTATGCAGCCATGATAATTCAAAAACACCTCCTTACTCCCCTCCCTTGCGATACATCCCTGGTCCCAGGGACAGAGAGAAAGAACATCCTATGCTGCCATGGTAACTCAAAAACACTTCCTTATGCCCCTTGCAGTCCCTCCCTTATACTTGTCCCCATAAGAACATAAGAGTAAGCCGGGCATAGTGGCGCATGCCTGTAGTCCCAGCTACTCGGGAGGCTGAGGCGGGAGGATCACTTGAGCCCTGGAGTTCAAGACCTGCTTGGCAACATAGCGAGACCTCATCTTTACTAATAAAAAAAAAAGAATATGAAAATCAAGTTTTGTGGGTTCATGAAACCTGCCCTTCCCAATGACAGGAGAGGCTTTCTGTCCCCACACTTCTTAGGACAAAGAAGGTGATCCTCTTCTCCCTGCCTCACCTGGTCCAACTTGAGAGCTTTTGGGGATGAGAAGAGGGAAGATTCCTCCTGCCACCCCAGTCTTGGTCCTAAACTGTCACTAGGGGTGGTTGTAGCCTGGAGGTCAGTTGGATCCCTTGGGAAGAGAGGCGTCGTTGAGGGGGAGTCTAGATGGCGATTCTGGGGTTCTGACTACTTGGGCTTCCTCTTTGTCCTGATTCTCTTGTATCCCTACTTCCTTTAGGAGTCTTTTTGGCACTCTGGGGTCCAGGTGCTGGGTGGGTGGTGATGTCAGGGGTTCCCAGGCATGGCTGCCTTGCTGAGAGTCTGCTCTATGAAAAGGTTGGCCTGTAAGCATCCTGAGTTTGGAGACCCCACAGAGCTCTTTGAGAAGGGGCATGTGAACTGAGGTGGTGGAAAAAGCTGGGTGTGGCACGGTAGTTGGTGCCTGGGTTCCAACTCTGGGTCTTTCAAGGCTTTGCTGGATGAACCAGGGTAGGTTCTACCTATGCTCTCTGGGCCTCAGTTTCCTCACTGGCCAGGCAAAATGCTGGTGAGGTGTTGTTTAGCTTTGGGATTTTAGGGAACTCAGTCCAAAGTTCTCTGGACCTGGAGGTGGCAAAGAATGGTGGATGTCTTTTGAGGAGGAACTGGGTTTCTCCCCTCTCTTCCTGGCTCCTCTGTTCCCTCTCAGCCATCCAAGCTTGGTGGGCAGGACAAGCAGCCTGTTTTGTGTGAGGCTCAGGGTTGATGAACAGCCATTTTTTGTGGGCAGCCATGTTGTAATGAACAAGCTCGATGGGATTTCCTGTCAGGAGGCCTGTTGGATAGTGGTGTAGAGAGGTAGAGTTGTGTGTGGAGTTTGGGCTTTGGAGCAAGGCAAGCTTTGAGCCATCATCCCTCAATTCTCTCATCACCTCCAGACCTCAGCATCTCCTCCTTACCTGCTTTATAGCTTTAGGCAAACTACTTGCCCCCTCAGCTGCCCATTTTGCAAAAGTTTGTCCATGCCCAGGTGTGTCTGACCTTGCACACCTTGGACCTTGGCCGGTTCTTCCTCTTGCCCAGAATGGGCAGTTTGCCCCAGGGTCATCTTGGTTCTTCCTAGGAGCCTTTGTCCACTCCTAGTAACCTATCTTTGATAGCAAAGGCCCTTCATTTGGCATCTAGGAACCTGCTGATTTCTTGGGCTCTTCTTACCCCAACTGGAATTGGGTAGCTAGCTGGTGGGGAAGCAGGAAGGGGTCTCTGCCCAGGCAACGTGGATTTGAGTCCTGTTTCTGCAGTAAGCTTTTCTGTGGTCTTCAGGCAGTTCTCTTTTCTGGTTCTTGGTTTCTCCCTCCATGAAATGGGTAGTGTTGAGGAGGGAGGTTGGACTCATTGCTCTGAAGCAAGTTATAGTCTCCTCCCTGCTCCCACTCCCCTCACCCTTCATGAAAGTTTTAAGTGGGACCCCTTGGCCTTTGGGGATTGTGCTAGGACATTTCAAGCAGTGTTCAGCGTCCTTGGCTGGTGCTGAGCCCTTGGGTGTGTTTCTTTTAACAACTTTAATGAGATGTAATTCATGTACCATACTATTCACCTCTTTGAAGTGTACAGTTCAGTGGCTTTTAGTATATTCACAGATTTGTGCGTCCATCACATCACTACAGTCCATTTTAGAACATTTTCATCACCTTAAAGAGAAATCCAGCACTCTTTAGCTATGATCCCCCAATTTCCTCATCCCTTTCCAGCCTCTGGCAACCACTAATCTACTTTCTGGCTTGATTGATTTGTCTGTTCTGGATGTTTCATGTAAATGGAATAATAGAATATGCAGTTGTTTGTTACTTGGCTTTTTTCACTTAGCATAATATGTTCAAGGCTTATCCATGTTGTAGCATACATCAGTGCTTCATTCCTTTCTATTACTGAATAACAGGACCTTGGGTTTTTTTGTTTTTTGGTTTTTGTTTTTGTTTTTGTTTTTTTTTTAAGGTGGAGTCTTGCTCTGCTGCCCAGGCTGGAGTGCAGTGGCGCAATCTCAGGTCGCTGCAACCTCCGGCTTCCGGGTTCAAGTGATTCTCCTGCCTCAGCCTCCCAAGTAGCTGGGGCTACAGGCATCTGCCACCACACCCGGCTAATTTTTGTATATTTAGTAGAGATGGGGTTTCACCATGTTGGCAAAGCTGGTCTCCTGAACTCCTGACCTCAGGTGATCTGCCTGCCTTGGCCTCCCAAAGTGCTGGGATTACAGGTGTGAGTCACCGCACCCTGCCAATCTTAGAGGTTTTTAATCCCCCTGCCCTCAGTGGCCTAGCCAAATGTTGGGGCCTTGCTCTTCTCCCCTTCTGCCCTGGAGGGCTTGTGTTGGTCCTTAGAGAGTAGTGTGTCTATGTTCCTCGTTGGATGGGTTGCCTGTGTGTGTTTTTTTTTGAGATGGAGTCTCACTCTGTCCCCCAGGCTGGAGTGTAGTGGCGCGATCTTGGCTCACTGCAACCTCCACCTCCCAGGTTCACACCATTCTCCTGCCTCAGCCTCCCGAGTAGCTGGAACTACAGGTGCCTGCCACCTCGTCTGGCTAATATTTTTGTATTTTTAGTAGAGACAGGGATTCACTGTGTTAGCCAGGATGATCTCGATCTCCTGACTTCGTGATCCGCCCACCTCGGCCTCCCAAAGTGCTGGGATTACAGGCGTGAGCCACCACGCCTGGCCCCCTGTGTTTTGTCCATGGAGCCAGGCTAGTGTTCCTGGGTGCTTTGCTGGAGGGGGTGGTCTTGGCACCAGGGCTGCTGGGACAGAGCTGTGAGTCACAGAATGCTAAACACCTTTTGACCATAGGCTCTGGGAAGACATCTGTCCATGAACTGCCACTGCTGCTGCCATCTTTTGCCCCCCCACCCCACCCCCACTTCAGTGGCAGCTCATCCATCCATAGGCAGGGTCAGTAGTTTCCCAGGGTGAGAAGGGAGATTCCAGGCCCCTGCTGCCTTAATTCTAACCTCCCACCCTGGAGGATGGTAGGCAGGTGGACCTTGCAGAGCGGGATCCATGCCATATTGTCTCACACCTGTGAGGCACTAGGGAACAGACACCAAGGAGTGCTACCAAGGGGGGTGTGTTAGTTTCCTGTGGCTGTTGTGACAAATGTTACCACAGACTGGGTGGTTTAAAACAACAGAAGTTGGCCGGGTGCGGTGGCTCACCCCTGTAATCCCAGCACTTTGGGAGGCCGAGGCGGGTGGATCACGAGGTCAGGAGTTCAAGACCAGCCTGGCCAAGATAGTAAAACCCCATCTCTACTAAAAATATAAAAATTAGCTGGGTGTGGTGGTGGGTGCCTGTAATCCCAGCTACTCGGGAGGCTGAGGCAGAGAATTGCTTGAACCCAGGAGACGGATTGGAGGTTGCAGTGAGGTGGGGGTTGCAGTAAGCTGAGATTGCGCCACTGCACTCCAGCCTGGGTGACAGAGCGAGACTCCATCTCAAAAAAAAAAAAAAAAAAAAAAAGAGAGAGAGAAGTTTATTCTGTCACAATTCTGGAGGCCAGAAGTCCACAATCAGTTTCACTGCATCCAAATCAAAGTGTTGGCAGGGCCACACTCCTTCTGGAAGCTCTCAGGGAGAATTTAGACCTTCTCTAGCCTCTCGTGGCTGCCAACATTCCTTGGTTTATGACTGCATCATTCTAATCTCTGCCTCCATCTTCACCATCGCCTTCTCTGTATATGTGGTTTCCTTTTCTGTCTGTATCAAATTTCCCTCTGTCTCTCTTTTATAAGGACACTTGTGATTGCATTTAGGTCCTACCTGATACTCTAAGATAACCCCCCATCTCCAGATTTAATAATGTAAGTTAATTACATCTGCAAACACTTTTTTTCTTTTCTCTTCTCTTTTTTTTTTTTTTTTTGAGGTGGAATCTCACTCTGTCACCCAGGCGCAGTCTCGGCTCACCGCAACCTCCGCCTCCTGGGTTCAAGCTATTCTCCTGCCTCACCCTCCTGAGTAGCTGGGATTGCAGGCGCCCACCACCACACCTGGCTAATTTTTGTATTTTTAGTAGAGATGGGGTTTTGCCATGTTGGCCAGGCTGGTTTCAAACTCCTGACCTTAGTTGATCCACCCGCCTCGGCCTCCCAAAGTGCTGGGATTACAGGCATGAGCCACTGTGCCCGGGCTTTTCTTTTCTTTTCAGACAGTGCTGGCCTCTGTCACCCAGGCTGGAGTGCAGTGGCGTAATCTTGGCTCACTGCACCCTCCACTTCCTGGACTCAAGTGATCCTCCAGCCTCAGCCTCCTGAGTAGCTGGGACCACAGGTGCGAGCCACCATGCCCGGTTAATTTTTGGTGTTTATTTATTTGTTTTTGAGATGGAGTCTCGCTGTGTCACCCAGGCTGGAGTGCAGTGGTGCTATCTCGGCTCACTGCAACCTTCGCCTCCCAGGTTCCAGCGATTCTCCTGCCTCAGCCTCCTGAGTAGTTGGGATTACAGGCGCCTGCTACCATGACCAGCTAATTTTTGTATTTTTAGTAGAGATAGGGTTTCACCATGTTGGCCAGGCTGGTCTCGAACTCCTGACCTCAGGTGATCCACCCGCCTCGGCCTCCCAGAGTGCCGCGATTACAGGCGTGAATCACCGTACCTGGCCTGTATTTTTTGTAGAGATGAGATTTCACCATGTTGCCCAGGCTAGTCTTGAACTCTTGAGCTCAAAGCGATCTGCCTGCCTTAGCCTCCCAAAGTGCTGGGATTGCAGGCATGAGCCACGACGCCTGGCCCTACCTTTTTCATTATAAGGTAACATTTACAAGTTCCAGGGGGGTTAGGGTTTGATATCTTTGCGTGGCTATTAATCAGCCTACTAGAGAGGCTTTTTTCCCTCCTGGGGAAGGGAAGGGAACTCATTAAGTGGTCTCTTACTGGGCAAAGCCCTGTAATATTTGAGTCTGCCCAGCATCCCTATTATTGGGAGGCTTGGTATCCCCATTCACAGATTGGAAAACTGTGGCTCAGAGCAGTTCATCATCACATGGCTAATAATTGGTGGAGCTAGATTGGAACCTAAGTCAGTTGGGTTCCACAGCCTGCTCCAACTTCACTTGGGCCCTTAGACCACTAGGTTACAGAATCTTGCCTCAGCTCCTGGGATCCTCTGGTGTTAGGGAGCTTTACTCAGCCTTTTTGTGGAGGCTCAAAGATATGGAGGGATTTTCCCATAGGCTCAGCGATGAGTTTGCAAGGTTCACAATCTCCTCAGGCCAGGGCATTGTTGGAGCTTAAACTTATCTATGGCTGAGCTATCCCCTACCCCCCACCCCTACTAGCCCTTCCTGAGCAACATTTTCTCCCCAAAAGGAGAAAGAGAAGGGCCAGAGCCCAAACTCCTCAGGCTGCTGATGACAAAGCCAGTGGGTGGCTAGCAGTCCAGCCTCTAGATCCAAGCCTGGATGCCAGTTTGACTGCCCCAGGACCCAAACCCTGCAGTGCGAGGGGCCTATTCAGGTCTCTTTCATGTTTAGAGACAAACCAGGATATTCTGTGGATGGGCTGCAAGGTATGTCCTCCATGCTGTGGCTCGTGGGGGCCTTCCCTGTTGCCTCTACACTAGGCTTTGCTGGTATCCAAACTCCAGCTCCTTTCTCTTTCTGCCTTTGTTTTTTTGTTTTTTGTTTTGTTTTTGTTTTTGTTTTTGAGACATAGTCTTGCTCTGTTGCCCAGGCTGGCTGGGGTGCAATGGTGCCATCTCGGCTCACTGCAACCTCCACCTCCCGAGTTCAAGCGATTCTCCTGTCTCAGCCTCCCAAGTAACTGGGATTACAGGCACACGCCACCACGCCCTGCTAATTTTTTGTATTTTCAGTAGAGACAAGGCTTCGCCATGTCGGCCAGGCTGGTCTTAAACTCCTAACCTCAGATGATCCTTCCGCCTTGGCCTCCCAAAGTGCTGGGATTACAGGCGTGAGCCACCGTGTCTGGCCTCCTTTCTGCCTTTGTAAAGTGAGGGTAATGTTTCCTGCCACCTGGGCTGTGGTCAGGAAAATTAAACGAGGTCACCCTTTGCATCTGGCATGGGGCAGGTATTCAGTTAATATGAGTTCATCTTTCTTCCTGGTCCTCCCTGCTTACCTGCCTAGTACTACCCAGAACTTTAGCTCTACTGAATTCATTGCTGGGCTCCAGGCATTCCTGGTACTTCGTGGCAGAAGTGACTTCATTTCTCATCCAGTTAACAAGCATTTTTGGAGGTCTTGGTGTTTTAATCCTTTGGTCAGGTGGCACCTCCTCTCAGGTGCTAGCCTTAATGACTGTGTTTCTTTTTTTCTTTTTTTTTTTTTTCCTTGAGACAGAGTTTTGCTCTTATTGCCCAGGCTGGAGTGCAATGGTGCGATCTTGGCTCACCACAACCTCCGCCTCCCGGGTTCAAGCGATTCTCCTGCCTCAGCCTCCCGAGTAGCTGGGATTACAGGCATGCACCACCACACCTGGCTAATTTTGTATTTTTCAGTAGAGACGGGGTTTCTCCATGTTGGTCAGGCTGGTCTCAAACTCCCGACCTCAGGTGATCCGCCCACCTCAGCCTCCCAAAGTTCTGGGATTACAGGTGTGAACCACCGTGCCTGGCCCAATGACTGTGTTTCTTTTCTTTTCTTCTTTTTTTTGAGACAGAGTCTCACTCTGTCGCCTAGGCTAGAATACAGTGGTATGATCCCGGCTCACTGCAACTTCTGTCTCCCAGGTTCAAGCGATTCTTCTCCCTCAGCCTCCTGATTTAGCTGGGATTACAGGCATGCACCACCATGCCCAGTTAATTTTTTTTTGTATTTTTTAGTAGAAACAAGGTTTTACCATGTTGGCCAGGCTGGTCTTGAACTCTTGATCTCAAGTGATCCACCTGCCTCGGCCTCCCAAAGTGCTGGGATTACAGGCGAGAGCCACTTCGCCCAGCCTCTTTCTGTTTCACAACACCTGGCATTTACATTTTTCACAGCCTTGTTCATACCTTGTGGTGGTTACCTGTTTCCCTACCCCTCTGCTAAGTAGTTTGTGAGCTTATCAAGAGTGGAGACTAAGTCTGATTCATTTCACTGTCCTCACTGCCCAGCCCAGTATCTTACTTAGTAGCTACCTGGTAAGTCTTTCTTGAATGGATAAGTAGGAGCCCCTCTCCTGTTTGATCTCCTTTTCTCCTCTCTTTTTCCCCTCTCTCCAAAGCCAGGAAGTCGCTGTGTTCCCTTCTTTTTAAGAACCTATTCTTGTGTCAGGTTTGGGACTATAGTTGTGGTTGCACCATCCCTGCTGGAGACCCCTGGCTGGGGCAGGCCCATGACTCTGGGAGATGGCTGACCATGTGTGGCCAGGATGGACTTGGGCATAACTGGCTGGAGTGTGTTAATCCACAGGCTTGGGGGCAAGGAGGGACACCTGGACCACTGGAATGTTGTGCACAAACAGGAGTCCTTGTGCTGCGCATGGAAGCTCATTAAGGGCTTCCAGGTGTCTTTGTCATCTCTAGAAATCCAGCCACATTTTCCTGGGGTGTGGGCCCTGATGATGGGACTGGCTGGGTATTCCCTTGTCACCTCTTCCTCCCCTCCTGTCCCGCTACTCACCTGGGACTTTCTGAGGGTCTCTCAGTTGTGCATAATCTCTGTGCTGATCTCCTCCCCTTCTGTGATTGGCGACAACTTCCCCTAGTATATGGTACGTTATTTACAAAGCTTCTTTAGGTCCTGAAACTCCTCACAGCTCTGTCCGGTAGATCAACATATCCCCCATTCTATAGGAAACTGAGAGTGATAACAGACAGCAAGTGTGTGGCAAAGCTGGGGTTGGAACCCAGAGCTCTTGCGTTCCAAACCTTGTGCTTACAACTTTGCCAGAGATGCTTCTCCTCTGGCTTTCTTAGGGGATGGGTTCCACCCCTTGCTTGAGCTGGGGAAAAATGGCCTTACGGATAGGTGGGCCCCTATGTCTGGTCTCTAATACCCCAGATCCTATAAATCCCTGGGCAGGCCTGTGTCCACAAGGAGCAGGCTTGGGATCCTGTAGTTTGCAGCCTTGTTGCTAGGTCAGGCTGGCTGCTTCTGGTAGCCAGCAGAGGGCGTGAGGGGCCCAGGAAAGGTCTGCTGCTTCTGGTTGGTTTTGTTTTGAAATGAAAATTATGTTTTAAGAGGTTATATGGTCATTATTTTTTTAATTAAAAAATAGGCATTTGTACAGGTTCATTTAAGTTGAACCTTCGTGGTGCCAGGTGTGCTTTGGAATTTAGGAAAAAAACAATTTATAAAACTTACCTGGTGTGTATACTTTGTGTTACATAACACCTCCAGCAGGGTCTGAGGCAGCACCTCATAATCAAACACCTGAATGTTTTCTGCATTGAAATATTTGAATATTTACCCCAAGTGGGATAAATAGATTCTTGTCAGTTCTGGTCAGGTTATGATGCCAAATGAATTAGATAAAGACTTTTGGGCCGGGCACAGTGGCTCATGTCTGTAATCCCAGCACTTTGGGAGGCCGAGGTGGGTGGATCACGAGATCAGGAGATCGAGACCATCCTGGCTAACATGGTGAAACCCCGTCTCTACTAAAAATACAAAAAATTAGCCAGGCATGGTGGCAGGCGCCTGTAGTCCCAGCTAGTCGGGAGGCTGAGGCAGGAGAATGGCATGAACCCGGGAGGCAGAGCTTGCAGTGAGCCGAGATAGTGCCACTGCACTCCGGCCTGGGCAAAAGAGTGAGACTGCATCTCAAAAAAAAAAAAAAAAAAAAAAGACTTGATTTTCAAAGCTTTTTGGGTTTAGTGTAACTTTATAAAAGGGAAAGTGCAATAAAATCGCTGATAACACCAGGACTTAGGGATATTTTGCTGTCTAGCCTTCCCAATTTTGTGTACGTGTGTTTGTATACATACATATGTATATATGTGTAGATATCTGTTAAATGTGTTCAGTCACAGATGAGAACATTGTTTGCACACTTTTGCCTTCTAGAGTATATCTCTTTTTTTTTTTTTTGAGACAGAGTTTCGCTCTTGTTGCCCAGGCTGGAACGCAATGGGGTGATCTTAGCTCACCGCAACCTCTTACCTCCTGGGTTCGAACGATTCTCCTGCCTAAGCCTCCCATGTAGCTGGGATTACAGGCATGCACCACCACGCCTGACTACTTTTGTATTTTTATTAGAGACGGGGTTTCTCCATGTTGGTCAGGCTGGTCTCGAACTCCCGACCTCAGGTGATCCACCCACCTTGGCCTCCCAAAGTGCTGGGATTACAGGTGTGAGCCACCATGCCCGGCCTACAGCATATCTTGGAATCCTCTAGCCCTTTGTCAGGTTCAGGATCTAGGCTCTTGCTAGTTACCCCCTCTTCACCACCTTTCCTAGATGAAACTCCTTGAGGTAGAGCCACATTCTCCACCCAGGCACTTGCTGGGTCTGAGTCTCTGGCTGCCTGAGGCAGTGTGGCTCCCTGGGCCAGGCCCTGCAAGGTCAACAGAAGCCATAAGGCATATGGGGCCACTGTTCTCAGGGCACCTAGGACCCTTTTGGAAGTAAGTCTTAGTTTCACTCAGCAACTAATTCCCTAAAAGAGTCTCCTACTTCACATGCATGGAGTGGTCAAACAGGGCTGAGAACTTTACCTTGGCCAGCGTCCTCTCTGTCAATGATCTAGGCCTCTCGGGAGCTTGAGGTCGGGGCCCTGGGGAGGGAGTACAGGTTTTCCCTGTTGCTGACCCCCACCTCTTCCCTCCAGCAGGAGCATTGGTTTGAAAAGGCCCTACGAGACAAGAAGGGCTTCATCATCAAGCAGATGAAGGAGGATGGCGCCTGTCTCTTCCGGGCTGTAGGTGAGTCTCTGCCTTAGTCCTTAAGGGCCTAGGGCTGCCCCTAAGCTGTGTCCCAGTTATCAGGAATAGCCCCTGAGACAGGGTTGAGGCAGAGCTAGCTAATCTTTTAGGGACTCTAGGCTCCAGCCTCAAGTTGGTATCTGACCTCTAGCCGTGGGTCTTGAGACATTGTAGTGGTGCAAGATTAATATGCATAATAACAGCAAGAAGAATGATAAAGAAAATAATATCCTTTGGGACACATTGTCAGGTGCTACAGGAAACCTCTTTGATTCCCCTCTAAGCTAGGTGAGTGTAGGGACTACTGTTGCTTCCATTTGTCAGATGAGAAAAGTGGCTCAGAGATGGTGGGTGACTTGTCTGGAGTGAAATAATAAGTGGTAGAGTTGGGATTCAGTGTCTGGGTTAGATTAGTCTGAGGCCCATGCTCTTAACCATAGCATACTGCTGCCACCCTGGGCTGTATGACCCCTAGGTTTATACCCAGATCCCATCTCTGGTGTGTTGCGGGTCTCTGTTCCTCAATCTGTGTGTATGGGGGCTATCAGACTAGATCTTTACAAATTTCTTATATCATAGAATTTTTTTTCAACTTATATAAAAGTAGAGAGAATGATGAACCCTCATGTACCCATCATCCAGCTTCAAAATAGTCAATACGTGGCCAGCCTTGTTTCATCACTATCCCGCCCACTCTTTCTCACTCCCCTGAAAGAAGAGTATTTTTAAAGCAAAACCCCGACATTGGATCATTTCATTCATAAATATTTCTGTATGTTTCTCTGACAGATACAGACTTACTCTCTTCTTTTTAACATAATCAAAATGCCATTACTGCACCTAACAGAATTAATAATGCCTTAATACCATCTGTTATCCAGTCTGAGTTAGATCTTTGAGGCCATTTTGGCTCTGAATCTGTGACCCAACAAGTAGTTGTGAGGTCCTGTGCTAGGGTGAAGGGGAAGCTGGGAATGTGACCTGATCCTCCCTGTGGTTCTCTGATATCTACCAAGGAAAAGTGCCCTCTGATAGGAGCTTTGAGCTGGGAGTCAGAAGACCTACCTTCTAGTTCTGGCCCTGACTCATAACTGCTGTGACACTTGGCCTTGGTCTTCCCGTCTGTGAAATGGTGTTGATTCTCAATGCCTCTTTGAGTTCCTTCTTGGTCTGCTATTCTCTCCGTCTGTGGGTACCCCCCATGTCTACTGGTGGGCTGGGGTGTTTTAGGCTCCATCCCTGGCTGCACAACTGATTCTTGGTATGACCTTAGGCAAGCAGCTCTTCTTTCCTGAGGCTGTTTCCTCATCTGTAAAATGGGGCTAAAAGACCCTAATGCTGTAACGATTTAATGAAGTTGCTTTGGTAAATCCCTTTAGTGCCTGACACATATAGTAGACCCTCATGGAACAGTAGCATTTGTAAAACCCAGATGCCATTTTCACTGGTGCCTCAGAGTCACATGTGTTTGTTGAAAGGGTGGAGTGAATGGTCTCCTCTCTATTCTGCCAAGCAGAAGAGGCTCAGGCAATGGGCTCTATTGGACTGGGAAAAAACTTATCCCTCCTACCCCTCTGGCTCAAGTTTGTGTTTTCCCTGGGATGTTTCCCAGAGGAAGAGCTGGGTTTCGGGGCATCTTGGACAAAAGAAAGGCAAAGAAAGAATAGGTGGGGGCCTGTTAGGTGCTAGGCCCTGTGTTGAGACCTCAGGCTAGATGTGGGGTAAGCAGGGCTTCTGGTGGAGTTAGGATTAGAGAATGCAGCGGGCATCTGAGTCTTGGGCAGTCATTGAGGGTAAGCCTTGGGACTGGCTAGTGAGGACCTGGCTTGTGTAGTAACTCATATCAAGAGCCGTGTGTGTGTGTGTGTGTGTGTGTGTGTGTGTGTGTGTATCTAGCTAGCTGTTCTCTGTGTGTGTGTGTGTGTGTGTGTGTGTGTGTGTGTGTATGTGTGTGTGTATCTAGCTAGCTGTTCTCCCCAAATACCCCCGACCCTTGGGGCTAGCTAGTGAGGACCTGGCTTGTTGTAGTAACTCGTATCAAGAGCAGTATTTGTGTGTGTGTGTGTGTCTATATGTATCTAGCTGTTCTCCCCAAATACTCCCGACCCTTCCTCCCACTGGGGCCTTCAGTAAGGGGCCTCTACTTACAGGAAGAGCTGACCAGGGCAGGTTGAAGGCCTTTCCTTATCGGCACTATGGCTACACATTTCCCCTGACTGGGCTGCCTTTGGCTTTTCTCTGTAAAACCTCAGAAGTCCTCTGGCCTCTCCCCCGAAGTACATGGCCCTTGGTCTCTAGACCTTATCTGGAGGTTTCCTTGGTGCAGAGTGCATAATACATGTGCCTGGGAAGGGGACTTTGTCCCTGGGCTTTTTGCTGCCCCCGTTTCCAGCCTCGCCTGGATGGGGACAGATGGCAGTCAGCTTAGACTGTAGTGTGAAGCCCTACAGGCTGACTTCCTGCCATGTGTTGAATAGTGGAAGGAACGTGGAGCAGAGAGTTGGAGTTGGGCGGGGGCTGCAAACATAGAGGGCACTGTTTCCTTGACCCCTGCTGTGTGCTAGGCATTCAGCTGGGTGCTTCAGGCTCACTGCAAAACTTGGATCATTATCCCATGAGACAGGTGAAAAGATTGAAGCATAGAAAGGGAAATGACATGCTCAGGGCCATTAGCCAGAGCTGGCCTGGGAACCCAGAGGTGTCCAAAGGACACGCATTCTTTTTTTTTTTTTTTTTTTTTTTTTTTTTTTTTTTTTTGAGATGGAGTCTCCCTCTGTCGCCCAGGCTGGAATGTGCAGTGGCGTGATCTCGGCTCACTGCAACCTCTGCCTCCCGGGTTCAAGTGATTCTTCTGCCTCAGCCTCCTGAGTAGCTAGGATTACAGGCGTGCACCACCACACCTGGTTAATTTTTGTGTTTTTAGCAGAGATGGGGTTTCACCATGTTGGTCAGGCTGGTCTCAAACTCCTGACTTTGTGATCCACCCGCTTTGGCCTCCCAAAGTGTTGGGATTATAGGCATGAGCCACCGCATCCGGCCAGGACACATTCTTTTTATGATCCTAGGATCCTTAGCTTCTTAGCTTGGTTGTCAACTGGCTGGATGACCTTGGCTGTGTTCCTTGACTTCTCTGGACCTTACCTCCTCCAAGTAGGAGCACGTGGCCCTCTGTTGTTGGGAGTCTTGAGGCAGGTGGCTTTCTGCCTTCTGTTCCCCTGGATTATCTTCCTATAGGGTCCTACCATTTGCTTTAGAGACTTCTGAGAATTGCCTACTCCCCAGGTAGCTGCCTGCCTGCCATTGGTTCCCCTGAGTTAAGCAATATCCATTGCTTGCGCTCAGTTCTCTCCCACCTCCTCTTATTGGGGATTCATGAGCATCATTGAAGGCTTGGGTGGAGTGGAGGTGGGAACCTGAGCCTCAGAGGTATCCTGTGGCCCACCCTGTCCCTGTTATGCTCAGATAACCTCCTCCTGGAAACATGACTCTGCATCTCTCCCTTGCTCCCTCCCTCCATGTGGCTTTGACTCAGCAGAAACCTCTAACCCTGACCAGGGTCCTGGTGCTAGCTTCTGTGGGCAGAGTGAAGGCCACATGGTTGTTTCTACATGGGCCATGGGGGAGTGGCAAGGGCTGTGCATGTTACCACGATGAGGCCCAGAAACATTAGCTAGGCCCACTCTTCTGGGCCTTTTGGTCTTGGAACATCAGCACTAGGAGGGATGGATCTGAGATCAATTTTGATTGTTTTATAAATGGGGAAACTGAGGCCTCAAGAGAAAGCCAAGACCCTACCCTATCTAGGTCATACAACCAGTGTCAGAACATTGGTATTTGAGGTTGAACCAGGCCACAGAAAGAAGATTCCCACGGGCCATTTCCTGTACACCAGCTTCCTTCAGCCTCTCCCGTGTATCCTTCAGGTTTCTCATCCTTGCAGTGGGAATCCTTGAGCAGAGGAGCACACATCTCAGGAACCAGACTATCCAGTGGGATGAGTTCTGTCTCTCCCACTGAGGGTATGCTAGTTGGGGTAGTTGGGGCTACAGACCAGGTCACACCACAGCTGCTTGACAGGCAAGTGAGACCTTTGTCCTGGCTCATCTCCTCAGGAGATTGGTTCTCAGTGGGGCCAGGGTTCCCACTGGACCAGGAGGGTAGTGGGGAGCAGACCAGGTCCCTGTCTCCCTCTGCAGCTGTGTGTACACACGTTAGTGTGGTTTGTTTTTAGGTTCCCTGTAGACACCTAGCTTCCTTTTTTGCCCTTAGCGGAACTTGCTGTGGCTCTTCTGGGAGGCAGGCAGCTACCTGGGGAGTAGGCAGTTCTCAGATGTCTCTAAAGCAAATGGTAGGACCCTATAGGAAGATAATCCAGGCTCTCATGTCTTGCTTCTTAACATAAATCTGGGTACATTATTGGTTACATTACATTAGTTACATAAGGACTTCCCCCGGGCAACAGAGGAGAGAGGTTGAGGCTAGTCTGTTAGAGCTCTTGGTTATTTCCCCTGCCCTCCACCTACCCTGCCAGAGGCCAGGAAGGAGGTTGGTGGGGTAGGGGGTCCCTCAGTTTATAGAGCCTCACATCTTCAGTCTTTCCTGAAGTGGCAAGGGCATCTACTCATTGAATGTGATAGTTCTCTGTTGTGGGATTTGTTGGGTGAGCATTTGGCCTCAGGGAGCATCTTTGGCAGTCTCTGCTGTATGTGTATACACATGTGCATTTCTATACTGGTGTCTCTGTGTGTCCAGAAAAAGGAAAGAAGTGGGGTGTGTATGGGGAGGGTAAGGTTCATATTGGCCTCTGTGGCCCTAGGGAGAGATGCAGCCCCTGATATCTATAATCTCTGCCCTCTCCCATGCCTTTCCTGGGTTCTAGCTGATTCCTGCTTGTGCTGGTGTGGAAACTGAGGCACACAAGATCAGGTCCTGCCCCAGGGAGTAAGGTGACTAAGATGGTGGCTGGATTGGGGTGAAGGTGGTAATATCAGCTGGGGCCAGCAGTTACCCTTTGAGAGCCTGGCCTCCCCTTCACTCCCCCTAAATCTGTGATCCCAGGCAAGCTTTGCCACATTTCTGTGTCTCCTGGGTAAAGTAAGAGTGTTTTGGTAAGGATAGAATGAGTTGGAGTGTGAAAAGTCTTTGGTGTGGGACCAATTGTAGTATTGTACTGAGGATTTCTGAGCCCTGTTTGAGATGGGAACAGAGGTAGAATGGTGGGGGACCCCCTTCCAGCTGGCCTCTGGGAGGGGAGAACAGGTGCAGATTGCCCACAAGTGCAGCGTCAGCAAGAGGAGGAGTTTCAGTTTCTATCAAAACAAGTTCTCTGAATTCCCCTACCTCTGCAGGTCATCCCCCCAACCTCAGACCCCTCCACAGGGAAGTCAAGCCTGGCCCCCAGCCCTGTGTGCCAGCCTTCTGGGAAGAGGAGGGCTTTCTGGAGGACAGAGGTGGAGCTAGGAAAGTCAGAAAAACGAATTCTTTTTTTTTTTTTTGAGACAGAGTTTCGCTCTTGTTGCCTAGGCTGTAGTGCAGTGGTGTGATCTTGGCTCATTGCAACCTCCACCTCCCGGGTTCAAGCGATTTTTCTGCCTCAGCCTCCCAAATAGCTGGGATTACAGGCATCCACCACCCTGCCTGGCTAATTTTTTGTATTTTTAGTAGAGATAGGGTTTCACCATGTTGGCTCGGCTGGTCTTGAACTCCTGACCTCAGGTGATCCACCTGCGTCGGCCTCCCAAATTGCTGGGATTACAGGCGTGAGCCACCACACCTGGCCAAAAATGAATTCTTGTTGAGTACTTCCTATGTGTTTAGCTCTGTGCTTAGATGCTTTTCCTGCCTTATATTATTGGAGAAATCCTTCTATTCTCCCTTGTTGGGGTAGTACTATTGCTGTTTTCCTTGGTTTGGAGATGTATATTTTCTTCCACGTTAATGATTCCAAACTTAGGGTATACCTTATAATCAGTGTGGTGTGTTTCCCCCCTCAAAAGCTGTGATTAGGTACATGTTATACCATATCACCTATCAGTGCCATCATAGGATTGAGGAGAGAAGGTGGTATTTTACATTTTACAGATAAGTAAAGAAGTGTCATAACTCGTCCATACTTTAGGACCCTGTTTTATGAAGCCTGTATTGTTAATTCGATATTAATTTAACTGCTGAAGTTTTGTTAGAACTAACGGCCTAGAGGTAGACTTGTGGACCTTTGGTTTCGCTAAAGGTAGAGAGCCAGGAGAGGACATGCATCCTAGGTCTGCATTTGGGGCTTTCCTCTGGCTGAGGAATTGCAACAGAAATGAGGAAGGGCTTCATAAGTGGTTATGGCAACATTCTGGCTGACTCGTGGGTAACTAGCATATGAAGGAATCATTGTCGTCATGACAAATTGTGTTCCTGTTTCTTGACCACCTACTGTGCCTTAGGTGCTTGGCAAACCTCCTGTGTAGTTTTGACAACACCCAGCAGATGGAAGAGGAGTTACTGTCTCCACCTTATGCATGAGGACATTTCAGCTTAGAGAGGTTAAAGGCCTTATCCATTGCTACACAGCTAGGAGGCAGCAGAGCCTTTCTGCCAGGCAAAGGGGTCAGTGGCAGAGAAATGGGACCCTCAGGGGGTTTTCCCCCAGATCCCTTCCCTGTTCCACAGTCTCCTCTCTTTCCCCATTTTCCTGCATCTGGCATCTAGCTCTTGAAGATAGAACTCCCAGGCCTGGAAATGACCGTTGACCTTTCCATAGGAGATGGGCTTTCTCCAGCACCTCAGCCTATCTCTCTGAGCCTGGCCAGCCAACCCCTATTTAACCCCTTCATTCTCATCTTTGTTCCTGTTTACTGCAGCTGCCAACAGCACTGCCTCCCAGTACCCCAAGCTCAGTCTACAGAAATAGCTCCCCAAGTAGCTCACTGTGCGGGCTCTGTGGTCCTGGCTTCTAAGAAAGGCAGCAGCAGGGGGCCCCCAGCCTGTGCGCAGGACATGTGACTTGCTGGAAATGCCGCTGGGGAGGGCGGGGGAGAGTGTGGCCGCAGAACCCACATCCTTGTTTACATTGGTGAAGGGGCTACCCCCCTTCCCGCCTTCACAACCTCCACACCCCCTTACCCTTCAGGTCTCTTCACCTCCAAGAGGACTGGAGACAAACATGGGCCCTATTTTCTATCTCAGAGTAGCCTTTCTCACAGAACACTCCAGGGTAGGAAGGGGAAGGCAGGGAAGGTGTTCTTCTGACAGTTCTTCAGAGAGGTAGACTGACAGGGAAGAACTCAGGAGTGTTCCTGTGTGACCTGACCCTAGCCCCATGCCCCAGGGAGATCCCATCAGAGCAGTGGTCCTCTGGGGAAACAAAGGGAAATTCCCAAAACCAGTGGAAATCAGACTTGCATGATCTTCAGGCCCACTTTAATTTCACAGGGAGAAGAGCTCCCTGGCTTACCCAGCCTATCCATTTGCTCAGTAAACTTTTCCTGATTTCCTTTACTGTATCGGGCCCTGAGCTGGGGGTGGACTTTGGTGTGAACTGCCCTTTGCCTTCTGTGGGAGCCCAGTGTGGTCGGGCAGAAGTCTATGCACACCTTTGATAAATCTGGTGATAGAGGTGTCCTGGGTAGTGGGGAACTGTATTAAAGAACATGTTGGGCCAGGCGCGGTGGCTCACACCTGTAATCCAGGCACTTTGGGAGTCTGAGGCGAGAGGATCGCTTGAGCCCAGGAGGTCAAGGCTGCAGTGAACTATGATCGCGCCACTGCACTCCAGCCTGGGCGACAGAGCGAGACCTTGTCTCAAATAAATAAATAAATAAAGAACACATTGGTGTTTGAGAAGTAGGCAGCTGACGAGGATGGAAGGAGCGTCCTGAAGAGAAGGAACGGCATGTGTGAAGATCCTCAAGCGAAGCAGAGGGAGTGTGTTTCCTTCTCGCCTTAGTTTGACCAAATCTCACGACGCCTGGACTATTCGGGCCACAGGCTGCCCATCCTGAGTTAAGCTAAAGTTAGTTGCATGTGTGTCTTATCTCTTTTACTAGACTGTGTGCTCCCCGAAGGTAGGGGCAGGATTTTACTCACCTCTGTCACCTTCACAGTACCCCACATTCAGGCCTCCCTACGGAGGAAGGAATTCTGATTTACTCTGTGGCTACTCTGTCCCAAGCCCAGTGGTAGTTATTTTATACCCGTTATCTCATTTAATCCCCACAAAAGGCCTGCCATTTGGTTATCCCTTTTTTTTTTTTTTTTTTTTTTTGAGACAGAGTCTTACTCTGTCGCCCAGGCTGGAGTGCAGTGGCATGATCTCGGCTCACTGCAACCTCTGCCTCCTGGGTTCAAGCGATTCTCCTGCTTCAGCCTCCCAAGTAGCTGGGATTATAGGCGCCCGCCACCATGCCCGGCTAATTTTTGTATTTTTGGTAGAGACGGGGTTTTACCACGTTGGCCAGGCTGGTCTCGAACTCGTGACCTCAAGTGATCTGCCCACCTTGGCCTCCCAAAGTGCTGGGATAACAGGTGTGAGCCTCCACGCCTGGCCTGTTATCCCTCTTTTTCCCATTTTACAGATGAGGTATATGAGGCTCAGAACACTTGGGTCACTTGCCTCTGGTCACTCAACTCTCTAGTATCTGGCAGAACTGGGCTTGGAGCCCATTTTTTTTTCTTTCCTTTTTTTGTCTTTGTTCCCTTTTTTTTCAGCCTACAAAGGCCATGTTGACTTGTAGGAGTCAGGAAAACTGAATTCAGAGTTGACTCTGTCACAGACTGACTCTTTGTGACCTTGGACAAACCACAAACTCCCCCTGAACCTCAGTTTCCTCATGTGGAAAGCAAAGGGGGTGTGGGAATCAATAGCATTTGAGGCCAACCTGTGGAACTTAGAATGTTGTTGATTTCTCTGAGTGGCCACGTGTACCCTAGACAAAGTCATCTGCCCAAGAGGCCTGTGGATGTGTTCCTCTCACCTGCACTCTCTTGTTCTTCAAGTCTGGCCCTGCCTGCCATATTTTTCCATGACCCCGTTCTAGCCTACAAGGGCAAGAACTCTCCAGGCCTTGGGGTAGAAAAGGGAATTTCCCTGGTCCCCCAGTTCCTCCTCCCCAAAGGATGTTCTATGATTCAGAGCTCTTCTCTGGCATCTCTGACCCTAGCTGCTGCTTTCTTCTGCCCCCACAGCTGACCAGGTGTATGGAGACCAGGACATGCATGAGGTTGTGCGAAAGCATTGCATGGACTATCTGGTGAGAAAATGGAGGCCTTTGGGGAAGGGGCAGGGTGGGAGGATTTCTTCTCCACACAGACCTTAACCTTCCAATCTATTCTGCAGATGAAGAATGCCGACTACTTCTCCAACTATGTCACAGAGGACTTTACCACCTACATTAACAGGAAGCGGAAAAACAATTGCCATGGCAACCACATTGAGATGCAGGCCATGGCAGAGATGTACAACCGTCCTGTGGAGGTGTACCAGTACAGCACAGGTACTTCTGCAGTGGGTAGGTGAGGGAAAGATGGTGCCTCATTCGAGCCTGCCCAACCTGGCCTGCTGTGGATGCTCCCTCCTTCTCTTTCTCTGCAGAACCCATCAACACATTCCATGGGATACATCAAAACGAGGACGAACCCATTCGTGTTAGCTACCATCGGAATATCCACTATAATTCAGTGGTGAATCCTAACAAGGCCACCATTGGTGTGGGGCTGGGCCTGCCATCATTCAAACCAGGGGTGAGTGGGTCCCTGTGCCCAGAATGGCTGCTGGATATAGAGGTCAGAAACCTCTGTTGGAGTCTGTTTTGCCCCTAACTCACAAAAATATCCTGTCTCCTCTCTCCCCTGAGGTCTCACCCTTACAAAAAAAAAAAAAAAAATAGGGAGTTACTTAAGGTGATCTCTCAGGGCTTGTTCTTTGGTCTTGGTTTGCCTGTCTGAGTTGGCTTACCTATCTTTTGTGCCCGTTGAGGGCTGGCATTTTAGGATGTGGAGTCCTATTTTGGAGCAGTGAGCCAGGGCTTGCTCTGGGCATCTTGGCATGGATCTTTCTCCTGGGATCATAGTGGTTACAGACAGCCATGGTCACAGAGACATGGGGTACAGGCCTGGCCCCACCACTCACTGGCTGTGTGATCTAGGCAGATTCTGTAAGTATTCCAGGCTGGCAGCTTGGCTGATACAGAAAGCACCTCCCACTGGGCCTGGGGCCTAGTAGGTGTTCAGAAGGTGGCAGTGCATTTTCCCAGCACATACCGATAGATTCTCATTCATTTCTCTCTCTCTCTCTTACAGTCATTTGCTGAGGATTTTGGTATCTTCTATTCAGGTTTCACTTCTACAAACACAAAGTACTCCTGCTTCATTTTCGGAAACACATAGCCTAACACCAACACACCCTCCAACATAGGGTTCTTTTTTGTTTTGTTTTTAAATAAACTTAATTTTAGAGCAGGTTTAGATTTACAGAATTACTGCAAAGAGGCTGGGCACGGTGGCCCACACCTGTAATCCCAGCATTTTGGGAAGCCGAGGCTGGCAGATCACCTGAGGTCAGGGGTTCAAGACCAGCCTGGCTAACATGGTGAAACCCTGTCTCTACTAAAAATACAAAAATTAGCTGGGTGTGGCAGTGGGTGCCTGTAATCCCAACTACTCTTGGGAGGCTGAGGCAGGAGAATCACTTGAAACTGGGAGGCAGAGGTTGCAGTGAGCCAAGATTGTGCCACTGCACTCCAGCTTGGGCGACAGAATGAGACTCTGTCTCAAAAAAAAAAAAAAAAAGTTACAAATATATTACAGAGTTCCCATATGCCTCGCTATGATTAATGTATTAACATAGTACATTTGTCATAGTTAATGAGCCAATATCGACATATTATTAACTAAAGACCATACTTGACTCAGATTACCTTAGTTTTTCCCTAATGACCTTTATCTGTTCCAGGATCCCATCCAGGGTGCCATATTATATTTAGTTGTTGTGTCCCCTTTATCTCCTCTTGGCTGTGACAGTTTCTCAGAATTTTCTTGTTTTTTGTATTCGATCTGTTTACTGACTCTCGTTTTGCCTTTTCTAGAATGTCATATAATTGGAAATGTACAGTATGTAGCTTTTTCAGACTGGCTTTTTTCACTTAACACTATGCATTTAAGATTCATCTGTGACTTGTCCTGGTTTAATGGCTCATTTTCTTTTTTGGTGGGCGGGTGGAGAGACAGGGTCTCACTCTCTCACCCAGGCTGGAGTGCAGTGGGGCAATCTAGGCTCACTGTAGCTAGCCTCCACTTCCCTGGCTCAAGCAAGCCTCTCACCTCAGCCTCCCGAGTAGCTGGGAGACTACAGGTGCTCGCCACCATGCCCGGCCAGTGTTTTAAAAAAACTTTTTGTAAAAAAATGAAAAAAAATTTTTTTTTTTTGTAGAGACAAGGTCTCACTATATTGCCGAGGCTGACCTTGAACTCTTGGGCTCAAGTGATCCTTGTGCCTCGGCCTCCCAAAGTGCTGGAATTACAGGCATGAGCCACTGCACCCAGCTTCCTCTTTTTCTTTCTTCAAAAATATGAATGTTCTGGCCAGGTGCGGTGGCTCACGCCTGTAATCCCAACACTGGGAGGCTGAGATGGGAGGATCTCCTGAGGTCAGGAGTTCGAGACCAGCCTGGCCAACATGATGAAACCCTGTTTCTACTAAAAATACAAAAAAAAATTAGCCGGGTGTGGTGGCACACACCTGTAATCCGAGCTACTTGGGAGGCCGAGGCAGGAGAATCACTTGAACCTAGGAGGCAGAGGTTGCAGTGAGCTGAGATTTGACCCCTGCACTGCAGCCTGGGTGACGGAGCGAGACTCTGTCTGAAAGAAAAAATAAAAATGAATGTTTTAAGTTTTTGTATTTAATAGACTTAATTGTTTAGAGCAGTTTTAGATTTACAGAACAATTGAGGAGATAATACAGAATTCCCACATATCCTTCTCTTCCCAAACACAGTTCTGCTATTATTATTATTATTATTATTATTATTATTATTATTATTATCATCTTTTTTTTGAGACGAAGTTTCTCTCTCATCACCCAGGCTGGAGTGCAATGGCGCAATCTTGGCTCACTGCAACCTCTGCCTCCCGGGTTCAAGCAATTCTCTTGCCTCAGCCTCCCGAGTAGCTGGGATTACAGGCACCCGCCACCACGCCCAGCTAATTTTTGTGTTTTTAGTAGAGACGGGGTTTCACCATGTCAAAGGCTGGTCTCGAACTCCTGACCTCAGGTGATCCACCCATCTCGGCCTCCCAAAATGCTGGGATTACAGGCGTGAGCCAACGCGCCCAGCCCAGTTCTGCTGTTATTAACAGTTCAAATCATTATGGTACATTTGTTACAATGTGCGAACCAACATTAATACTTTTTTTTTTTTTTTTTTTAAGGCAGAGTTTCTCTCTGTTACCCAGGCTGGAGTGCAATGAGGCGATCTCGGCTCACTGCAGCCTCCGCCTTCTGGGTTCAAGCGATTTTTCTGCCTCAGCCTCCCAAGTAGCTGGGATTACAGGTGCCCACCACCACACCTGGCTAATTTTTCTATTTTTAGTAGAGACGGGGTTTCACCATGTTGGCCACGCTGGTCTCAAACTCCTGACCTCAGGTGATCCACCCGCCTCGGCCTCCCAAAGTGCTGGGATTACAGGCGTGAGCCACCATGCCCAGCCTAATACGTTACTATTAAATGAAATCTGCATGCCTCCTTAGGCCCCTTTATCTTTGATAGTTTCTCAGTTTTGTTTTGATGACCTTGACAGTTTTAAGGAGTACTGATCAAATATTTTGTAGGAAATGTCTCTTTTGGACTTTTTCTCATGTTTAAACTAGGGTTGTGGGTCTTAGGGAGGAAGATCACAGAGGTAAAGTGCCATTGTCATTACATCATTTCAAGGGTTTATACTATGAGTGTCATTTATGCCTGTTGGTGTTACCCTTGATCAACTGGCAGAAGTAGTGTTTGTTAGGTTTCTCCACCTAAGGTTACTCTTTCCCACCTTTTCCATACTGTACTGTGTGGAAGGAAGTCACTATGTGCAGCCCACGCCTAAGAAATGGTTATGCCCCATCCCCTTGAGGGTAGAGTATCTACATAGATTATTTGGAAATCTTTAAGGAGGATCTGTGTCTCATCCTTAACTCATCCTTAATTTATTAATTTTTCCAGTTATTACGTACATCAATATGGTCTTTTTTTTTTTTTTGAGAGGGAGTTTCGCTCTTGTTGCCCAGGCTGGAGTGTAAGGGCGCCATCTCAGCTCACTGCAACCTCTGCCTCCCAGGTTCAAGCGATTCTCCTGCCTCAGCCTCCCGAGTAGCTGGGATTACAGGCATGCGCCACCACACCCAGCTGTTTTTTGTATTGTTTAGTAGAGATGGGGTTTCACCATGTTGGGCAGGCTGAAGTCTCGAACTCCTGACCTCAGGTGATCCACCCTCCTCGGTCTCCCAAAGTGCAGGGATTACAGGTGTGAGCTACTGCGCCCAGCTCAATCAGCCATTTCTTTAGAGAGCCCTGGCATGTATTGGAGACTGTTAACAGAAATCAAGACCTAGGTGTTGAATGTGCTCTTCGATATCAGGTTGTCCATGCTTCTAGGCCCTGTCAGCTGATAGAGCAAGGAGCTACATGTATGTATAGTGGCCTTTGTACACATATCTATAAATATTTCTACCTGTAACCATCTGTATTTATATTAAACATGAATCCTTACTGATGTCTCCAACTCAGATCCATTATCACATGCTTCATTCTAGCCTTCTCCCCTTGTTCATCTGCAAATTCCCTCTCCAACAGTAGATACGCCATCAGATGTATATGCACTGGTTCCTACCATCCATTTATGTAACTGCTCATTTCCATATACACGCGTAGCAGAATCACACTTGTTCACCCGTACCCCCGTGGGAAACAACTTTATCACTATAGCTCAATGCTACATATAGTTCTTTTTTGCCTTTGGTGTTACAGACTCCATTCATTTTGAAAGTGACCTACTTGTACCCCCACCCCCTTCAAATGAGGGTGTTTATTTTTATTTTATTTTATTATTATTATTTTTTGAGACAGAGTCTCGCTCTGTCGCCCAGGCTGGAGTGCAGTGGCGTGATCTCGGCTCACAGCAAGCTCCACCTCCCAGGTTCACACCATTCTCCTGCCTCAGCCTCCCGAGAAGCTGGTACTACAGGTGCCTGCCACCACACCTGGCTAATTTTTTGTATTTTTAGTAAGAGACGGGGTTTCACCGTCTTAGCCAGGATGGTCTCAATCTCCTGACCTCGTGATCCGCCCGCCTCGGCCTCCCAAAGTGCTGGGATTACAGGCGTGAGCCACCGCGCCCGGCCAAGGTTGTTTCATGTTTGTAATACATTTGTATTATTTTGTCACATTTTTGCATTCTATGCTGGGATCTCAGATCTCCTAATTTTTTATTTATTTATTTTTGAGACAGAGTCTCACTGTCGCCCAGGCTGGAGTGCAGTGGTGCGATGATCTCAACTCACCGCAGCCTCTACCTCCTGGGTTCAAGCAATTCTCGTGCCTCAGCCTCCCGAGTAGCTGGAATTACAGGCATGCACTACCACACCTGGCTAATTTTTGTATTTTTAGTAGAGACGGGGTTTCATCATGTTGCCCAGGCTGGTCTCGAACTCCTGACTTCAGGTGATCTGCCTGCCTCGGCCTCCCAAAGTGCTGGGATTACAGGCATGAGCCACCGCGCTGGCCATAGATCTCCTAATTTTTATTTTATTTTATTTTATTTATTTATTTATTTTTTGAGACAGAGTCTTGCTCTGTCACCCAGGCTGGAGTACAGTGGTGCGATCTCGGCTCACTGCAACCTCAGCCTCCGTGGTTCAAGTGATTCTCTTGCCTCTGCCTCCCGAGTAGCTGGGATTACAGGCACGCGCCACCACGCCCAGCTAATTTTTTTGATTTTTAGTAGAGACAGGTTTCACCATATTGGCCAGGCTGGTCTCGAACTCCTGACCTCAGGAGATCCACCCACCTTGGCCTCCCAAAGTGCTGGAATTACAGGCATGAGCCACCGTGCCCAGCCTTCCTAATTTTTTTTTAAATAGCATATATTAAGGTCCACTCTTTGTGTTGTACATTCTATGGGTTTTGACAAATGTGTAATGTTATGTATCTACTATTACAGTATTATTCAGAATAGTTTGACCACCCTTAAAATTCCTCATACTCCATATGCTTACCCCTCCCTTCCTCCCTCTTCCTGCAAACACTATTGTCTTTGTGGGTTGCCTTTTTCAGAATGTCATATAATTGTAATCATACAGTATGTAGCCTTTTCATACTGTTTTTTTTTTTTTTTTTTGAGACAGTGTATCACTGTTGCCCAGGCTGGAGTGCAGTGGCACAATATCACTGCAGCCTTTACCTCCTGGGTTTAAGCAATCCTCCCACCTCAGCCTCCCAAGTAGCTGGGACCACAGGCACACACCACCATGCCTGGCTAACTTTAAAAATATTTTTATTTTGTAGAGACAGGATCTCACTGTGTTGCTCAGGCCAATCTCAAATTCCTGGGGACAAGTGATCCTCCCGCCTTGGCCTCTCAAAGTGCTGGTATTGCAGGGGTGAGCCACCTGCAGCCAATTTGCTTTTTTCCCCCCTGAAATTAAAATGGTCAATGTGACAGACTGCTTCTTTTCACTTAGCAGTATGCATTAAGGTTTCTCCATGTTCTTTCATGGCTTGTTAGCTGGTTTCTTTCTTATCACTTAATGTTCCTTTTATGGAGGTACCAGTTTAATTATTCACCTATTAAAAGACATTCTTGGTTGCTTCCAGTTTTTGATGATTATGAATAAAGCTTCTGTAATGTGCATGCAGGTTTTTTTGTGGACGTAATTTTTTAGATCAGTTGTATACATACCTGGGAGCAAGATTGCTGGATTGCGTTGTAAGATTATGTTTTGATTTATGAGGAACTGAGAAACTGTCTTCCCAAGTGGCTGTATTATTTGCATGCCCACCATAATGATTTGGAAGTTCCTGTTGTCAGCATTACCAGCAATTGATACTGTCATTGTGTTGGATTTTAGCCATTCTCTTAGGTGTGTAGTGGTATCTCATTATTTTAACTTGCAGTTGCCTATTGGCAAATGCTGTTGAGCATCTTTTCATATGCTTATTTGCCATCTGTATAGCTTCTTTGGTGAATTGTGTTTGTGACTTCCTGACATACAATTCCTAAAATCCTTAGAATCTGCAAAGTGTTGCCTTTTTGTATGCTAATGAGGTGACTGATGGCTGGCAGCCTCTAGGTAGCTTCAGGATGGGGGCTGGTGACCTGAAAGACCAAGGCAGGATTAGAGGTTTGCAACTTTAAGCCCATCCCCCAGCCTTTGGGGAGGGGAGAGAGGCTGAAGATTAGGTTGATCACTAGTGTCCAATGGCATAATCAATAATGCCTGCATAATGAAGCTTCCAAAGAATCCCAAAAGGATTGGGTTCTGGGAGCTTTTGGGTAGCTGAATACATGGAAGTTTCTAGAGGGTGGCACCCCAGGGAGGGCATGGAAGCTCCACGTCCCTTCCCCCATATCTCACTCTGTGCATCTCATCTGTATCCTTTGTAATTTTCTCTATAATAAACTGGCAGACGTGTTTCCTGGGTTTTGTGAGCTGCTCTAGCAAGTTAGTTGAACCCCCAAAAAAGTATTGTGGGAATCCCAATTTATAGCTGGTCAGTCAGAAATTCTGGAGGCCCAGACTTTCGACTGGTGTTCGAAGGGGGTTGGGGGGAGTCTTGTGGGACTGAGCCCTCAACCTGTGGGATCCCAGGCTGTCTCTGGGTATTGAATTGCATTGGAGGATGGACACCAGGTGTCCGCTGCTTGCTGTGTGGGAAAACACCCTCCCCCCAGCCCGCACACTTGGTCACAGAAGTCTCCTGTGTTGATTGTTGTTGAGTGAGAGTAGAAAAAACACTTGGAGTGTGTTTAACACTGCCAGAGTGGTTAGATTTTTTGACTATTTTTTTAATTGGCTTGTTCTAACATAGTTTTACGAATTGTTTTTAACTATTCACAGTAAAAAATTACATTTTATCTGAATGCAAGGTCTGCAGGAAAAAGAAAAGAATACATTTTACATGATTACTTAGCATATATGCATTTGTGTGTGATGTGTATATGTGCATTAAAATAATGTTAACTAAAGCTTCATGAAACAACATTTGCACTTATTCCCTGGGATATATTCTGATATTTTCTATTTTTTAAAAATGCTGTTGGATCTCAGCCTGAAAAACAGTACTCTGATGTAGTGTCCTGTAACTCATAGCACCCCACACCATGTTGATACTGCCCCCTTATTCCCTCACACACCCACTACTTCCCCCAACCCCTCACATGCTTGAATACTCCCTCCACCCGGTGCACACATAGCTAATTTTTGTATGTGTCTCATCTGCTCATGTGTGTGAAAGTCCTCAACATTATGAAACAGTCATCACTGGATGGGGCTTCTTTAAATTAAGGCCCAGGGCCAGGTGCAGTGGCTCACACCTATAATCCCAGCACTTTGGGAGGCCGAGTCGGGTGGATCACCTGAGGTCAGGAGTTCAAGGCCAGCCTGGCCAACATGGTGAAACCCCATTTCTACTAAAAATACAAAAAAGTTAGCCGGGGGTGGTGGCACTCACCTGTAATCCCAGCTACTTGGGAGGCTGAGGCTGGAGAATCCCTTGAACCTGGGAGGCGGAGGTTGCAGTGAGCCGAGATTACCCCACTGCACTCCAGCCTGGGCGACAGAGCGATACTTCGTCTCAGAAAAAAAAAAAAAAATAAGTCCCAGGTTGGAAGGCACCTGACTGCTCCAGTCTCAGTGCCTCAGTTGAGGTGGTTTGGGGGTTAGAGTCAGGTCTTACAAGCATAGGAGTTTGGAATGACAGGTCCCACATCCCAAGCCTGCTTTCCCTTGGTCCCCAATCAAGAGGTAGTCTGTGGAGTGTTGCTCTTTGGGAGTACCTGCTTTCCTGTCTCCTTTTTTTTCTGGGGCCTGTGGGCCTACCTCGCTGAGCCTGTTCTGGCTCTTGGGCAGGTTCAGTGTGTTATTGCACATCCCTGTTCCTCTCCCTCCTTGCAGTTTGCAGAGCAGTCTCTGATGAAGAATGCCATAAAAACATCGGAGGAGTCATGGATTGAACAGCAGATGCTAGAAGACAAGAAACGGGCCACAGACTGGGAGGCCACAAATGAAGCCATCGAGGAGCAGGTGGCTCGGGAATCCTACCTGCAGTGGTTGCGGGATCAGGAGAAACAGGCTCGCCAGGTCCGAGGCCCCAGCCAGGTGGGTCATGGACTCTGTCACAGGCTTGGCCAAAAACTCATTACTTCTCATGCTTTGCCCTCAAGCGAGCAGAAAAAAATTAAGCAGTTTTGACATCTGGGAGGGAAGGAAGCATCCAGCACCATCTGTAACTCATCTTGGTCTTAGTTTTGGCATTGTACCTTGGAACTTTAAATACTTGTGCAGAACAGGCACTTAAGGAGTGAGAGGAGGGCAGCCATGCTGCTGGTGACACGAGAATAATGGATAGCTTCAGAGACACAAGCTTTTGTTGACTGCCCTTGTGTGCCAGGTCTCTACTGAGAATGTAACATCAGATCTGGACTACTCTGCCCTCAACGATCTCGTCTGTTGGCAGAGACAACTCAATGGTGGGGTCCTTGACCCTGACTGGGAGATCAGTGGAGGTGGGGGCTCCGGTTAGTCTTCACAGAGGAAGGTTGAATTGTTAGGGGAGCGGGGAGGGGCGGGGCAGACAAGCATCTGAGGAATTGTAAAATCGCAAGGAGTTTGGAGTGATTGTAGATGTTGGCTGGCAGGAGCTGAGTTTTTTTTTTTTTTTTTTTTTGGAGACAGAGTCTTGCTCTGTCGCCCAGGCTGGAGTGCAGTGGCGCAGTCTCGGCTCACTGCAAGCTCCGCCTCCCAGGTTGATGCCATTCTCCTGCCTCAGCCTGCGGAGTAACTAGGACTACAGGCGCCCACCACCACGCCTGGCTAATTTTTTGTATTTTTAGTAGAGACGGGGTTTCACCGTGTTAGCCAGGATGGTCTCCATCTCCTGACCTCGTGATCCGACCACCTCGGCCTCCCAAAGTGCTGGGATTACAGGCGTGAGCCACCGCACCCGGCTGAAGGAGCTGAGTTTTATTCCACAAATACCTACTACCAGTCTGTGGCAGGCCCTGTTTTCAGTATATGGGGATACATAGGTGAGCCCAGCAGACCAAGATCCCCGTCCTTGTGATGTTCACAGTTTTGCAGAGTGAAATAAAATAATAAATATAATGAATAAATTAGTTGGGAAGTGCTATGGATGGAAAGTGTAGAGCCAGGATAAAGGGGCTGAGCAGGAATGTGCGTTCACGGTATGAAATAGCGCAGTCAGGGTAGGCCTCAGAGCAGGTGAGATTTGAGCCTTGCAGAAGGTGAGAGTTAGCTGAGCGCACATGGAGGGGAGGACAGCAGGCCCACACACCTGGTACAACTCAGGCACAGCCCAGAGGGAGGCCGGTGTATCCGAACAGAATGTAGTAGTAGATGAAGTCAGAGAGGTTGTGGGTCCAATTGGGTAGGGGCTTGTGGGCTGTGGCGAGGACTTTGGCATTTACTCTCAGAGAGGCAGAAACCATGGGAGGATTGTGAGCAGAGGACGGACAGGATGTGGTTGGGGATTTAATAAGATCGCCTTGCCTGCTAGTCATCCAGTGGAGTCTGGTGAGTGAGGGCAGAAGCAGGGGCCAGTGAGGAGGAGGCTACTGCAGTAGGCCAGGTGACTGGTGGCCAGTGCTGGCAGTGGAGTTGGTGAGAAGGGGTTGGATTTGAGATCTATTTTCAAGATAGAGGTAACAGGGTTTCCTGTCAGATTGGCTGTAGGGGTGTGAGAGAAAGGGTAAGGAGCTCCACCTCTGTCCTGTGAGGAGTCTTGTGGTCCACCGTGTGAGTGGGGATGATGTTGACCTACATAGAAGCTGTATCATAGCCAAGGTCCTGGGAAGGGAGCCAGCATTCAGGGATGGGTCACAAGAAGGTCATGGCTGCTGGTGGTCCTTAACGCATTTACCTTCCCCGCTGCAGCCCCGGAAAGCCAGCGCCACATGCAGTTCGGCCACAGCAGCAGCCTCCAGTGGCCTGGAGGAGTGGACTAGCCGGTCCCCGCGGCAGCGGAGTTCAGCCTCGTCACCTGAGCACCCTGAGCTGCATGCTGAATTGGGCATGAAGCCCCCTTCCCCAGGCACTGTTTTAGCTCTTGCCAAACCTCCTTCGCCCTGTGCGCCAGGTCAGTGACTTGCCCACAGGGAATGTGCTGGGAGTTAGGAGGCACGTCCTGGGTCCTGGGTCCTGGATCCTGGGTCCCTACCTTTGACTGTCCGTCTGCTTCAGGTACAAGCAGTCAGTTCTCGGCAGGGGCCGACCGGGCAACTTCCCCCCTTGTGTCCCTCTACCCTGCTTTGGAGTGCCGGGCCCTCATTCAGCAGATGTCCCCCTCTGCCTTTGGTAAGCCTCCTTTGTCTGGGGGGATGGAGGCTGCTAGGAGCTGGGAGAGACTGGAAGAAGTGGCAAGTCCTGAGAGGGGCTTTCTGGAGCCTCTGGCCATCTCCCCAAGAAAAGAAGGGAGAGGCACTGGAGGGGATTTTTCAGATCCAAGGAATTTGCCCCAGAAGGGTCTGGGGTCTAAGTGGGGTTTCACAGGCCTAGCAGATCCTTCTGTTTTGAGAAAGGAGTGAGAAGGGCCCTATGGGATTTCTCCAGAGCCCCAGATGTCGGCACAGGGTGAGGAGAAGGCAGGCTGAGAGCGCTCCATCATCCTTTTCCTCTTCCTCTCGCCCAGCAGGTCTGAATGACTGGGATGATGATGAGATCCTAGCTTCGGTGCTGGCAGTGTCCCAACAGGAATACCTAGACAGTATGAAGAAAAACAAAGTGCACAGAGACCCGCCCCCAGACAAGAGTTGATGGAGACCCAGGGATTGGACACCATCTCCCAACCCCAGTACTCCTGCTCTCCGGTGCCACCTCACCTTCTTTGGCTTCTTCCCTCTTGCCTCCTTCTGTTCTTTCTGCTCTCCCCTCTTTTCCCTCCTCCTCACTTCCCTCTGGCTAGCCCACCCCTGCACTCTCTCTCATTGCCGCTGCCACTATCACCTGTCTCTCTGCCAGCTGATGTGCCCTGTTGCCCCCCACCCCATCCCGCACAGAACCATCCCTGCATTCCACAGGGGACTCGGGCAAGGGTGCCGAAGATAGACAAGAGGCACACAGAGACAGACCAACTGGCAGCCAGGCAGCCCCAGAGGAGAGAGACATTCAGACAGAGGAAAGTCTCCCTGCCCCTCATTCCTTCCAAGATGAGAAAAACTTGCCGCCACCCCCCGACACTGATGCCAGGGAGGTGGGAGGAAGAAGTGGGAAATTTCCCTTCCCAGTACCCCCAAGAACGTCTGAGCCTTCAATGTTGAATTTTTTCTTTATTAAAATTACTTTTATCTTATAAAATCAACTAATCAAAAATGATATAGACGACAGCACTGGCTCTGTGAAGGTGGCATCTTTCTGGGCAGGCAGGCCATGGGGCATGGAGGAGGGTGCAAAGATATGGGTTGCTGTCTTCTGGCCTCCAGCTGCATGGAGGCCGGCCCAGGGTCTAGGGTGTGCACTGGGCAAGGGCAGGGCGGCAGGTGTCAGGCCGGCTTGGACAATGAAACCCTGACCTTGCTGCATTCCTTTTGCTTCCACCACCACTAGCTTCTTTGGAATCTTGGGGTGGGGGTCATCTTTGGGGATTATGGCTGCCACCCGGGATTTGAGTGTAGGGAGTGTGGGAGCAGCCTTGGCAGATGGGGCACCCGTGCCCTGCAGGTGTTGACAAGATCCGCCATCTGTAATGTCCTTGGCACAATAAAACCAAATGTCAGTTTCCCTGAGCGACTCTGTTCTGTGTGGGGCAGGGGTTGGGCGGGCCTCTGGGCAGAGGATGCAATGGCACGGACCTTGGCTTGACCTCAGAGGTGTGAATGCTCTCCAGCAGGGTCTGTCTGGGGGCCTGGAGTTTGTATTTGATTTGCTGCTTATTAAACCTCCTTCTGGACCTATTGCCACTGGAAAAGCTGCGTCTTTGCCTGCTGACCCCACCCCTGCCTACCCTATTTCCTGGGGGGGGGGGGGTGATGGTAGCAGAGGACTGTGAGCTTGAACTTCCTGCCTGAATTCCAGCTTCTCCGCCTGCCTCTCACCATGAATGCTGCTCTTTCCTTATCATGATCTGATGAAGAAAAGCCTTGGAAAAGTGCAACTGATACTTTGTAGCAACATGAGTTTAGTGGAAGTAACCAGAGGGGCCTCACCCACTAGGTTTTAGAAGGTGAAGGACGGCTAAACCCTTTTTTGTTCTTGTCCCCCAGTCTGACACCTCTTTGCCTGTCCTCCCTAGGGGTAAATCCAAGGTAAAGAAGGCTGGCTGGCCCCCAGGTTTTCTCAAGCAGCTTTTTCACCATGCCATGATAATGGAGACCCTCTGACAGGATGTGTGTCTGGTTCTGCAGTTGAGGGCATGGCTAGCTGAGTGGCTGTCTGCGGAGTGTGTCTGGAACCCAGTGGCCAAGCATCTATTTGTTGTAGAGTTGCTTTGAAACCTTCCTGGCCCTGGTCAATTGCTTCTCTGTTTCAAGTGTCTCATCTGTACAAGAGGTGATTAGGCTGGGTGCAGTGACTCACACCTATAATCCCAGCACTTTGGAAGGCTGAGGTGGGTGAATCACCTGAGATCAGGAGTTCGAGACCAGCCTGGCCAACATGGAGAAACCCCATCTCTACTAAAAATACAAAAATTAGCCGTTCATGGTTGTACGTGCCTGTAATCCCAGCTACTTGGGTGGCTGAGGCATGAGAATCGCTTGAACCCAGGAGGTGGAGGTTGCAGTGAGCCGAGATTGCGCCACCACACTCCAGCCTGGGTGACAGAGCGAGACTCAGTCTTAAAAAAAAAAAAAAAAAGTGATATCTACTCCCTCATGCTTCTGCTGTGATCATCTAGAGGGAATATGTATGATCAAAGTAACGTACTACCTGGGCACAGTGCTTGGCACATTGAGAGAGCACAAATGTTAGTAGTATTCTTTTTGTAGAAGTTTCTGCACCATTTGGCCCCTGCCAATCTCTCGCCGCTCTGTCCAGTGTTCTTGGCCTTTGCCTGCAATTTGCCCTCCCCTGTCCTGAGCCACCAACCTTCTTTGTCTTTCAAGACAGAGGGTCACCTGCTGAGAAGCCCATTCACATTCTCACTTCTATCTAAAAATCTCCCCAGTAGCTGTACTACAGATAAACTTCATGGCACGGGTTTGATGCCTGACTTATCTGTACATCTCTGATACCAACATCCCCATCAAGGCCTGGCAGGCTTATAGCAAACCACCCCCAATAACGTTGGGTGAACAAAGGAGAGTACATGTGTGCTTTTTTGGTGTTGTCTGTGTGTGTGTGACTGTGGTGAGTCCAAGTCTTCATGTGCAGCTCACAGAGTGTCCCCAGTTGTGTGTGTGATGAAGGGCTTGTTTCCAGGTGTGTCAGATGGTGACTGAGTGTGGGACTCTTATCTCTGACAGTTTGTGTCTAAATCCAAGATGCGTGCATGCCTGCGTGGGTCTGTCTGTGACAGTGCATCTGTGGTTTCTGTCTGATGGGGTGGATGTCCGTTTGTGTTCCTGCAACAGATTCTGGGTAGCTATTTCTGGACAGTTTGTTCCATTGATAAACTGCATGTGTCATGGTGTATGTATGTCTGTGTCTGAACAGGTCTATCCATGTCTGTTTTTGTGACACTGCCACAAAATGTGATTCTATCACATCAGTACATGTCTGCCTTCAGAGCAGTGCATGTGTGTCCCTGGAGCATCTGTGCATCTTCCTGTGACAGACTCTGCGTCTCTCATTTCTGGGACAGTACAAGTCTTGCTGTGACAGTGCATATCTGATGGTGACAGTGTGTTTGTGACAAGTTCTGCCAGTGTGACGGGACATTTCTGTGTCATCACATGGCAAATGTAGGTCTGCGTGAGTGCCTTTCTGTAACAGTGTATCTCTGGGTGTCATTCTAGGACATAACTATTTTTCTGACAGTGTGCTTGCCTGAAAGTGTATGTCAGTCTCTGGCTGCATGTGTATCTAGGTCGTTTCTGTGAATGTGTCTGACAGTATGTGTTTGTGTATATCTTGGCATTCATGTGTCTTTGGAGTGCATTTTTCTTCCTGGGGTGTGGCGCCTTTTCTGGCTGTTTTTCACAAATTTGTGTCTGAGAGTTGCCACTTCTCTAGCAGCCTCTATCATGTCTCTCAGTCCTTGCCTCTCTCAACTCCAAGAGCAGCCCCATGCCACCACCACTCTGGGCTCACCCCCATCCCCCAAGAACCACCCCCTGCTGTTCTAGATTCTAGACTTGCTGACTGGGCCCAGGGCTCAGGGTTAAAAGCTCCAATAAACACTCACCAGGCAATGCTGCCTTTGACCAATGCACACCCGTGGCGTTGATGGTAGGGGTTCCCCCTCCCTGGCTACCAGATATTTCCAGGGCCCTGGCCTCAGCTTTCCAGTGAAGGCCGCCAGTCGCCTGGAGGACTCCGGTGAAGGAGTCCGACAAGCACCTTTCGAGACGGAGTCTTGGATAGCCACAAGCGCGAATTCTTAGAAGCCCGGCCTGGCGCTATCTCTGTGCTAATATCCAGGCAGCGGCGGCAAACCAACTTCCCAGGAAAGGATACTGCGCAGTTATTTTTTAAGTGTAAATACACACACACACCGCCACCACTACCAACAACAACCCCGCGCAACAACCAAAACAAGCGCGGTGCTGCAAAGGGATTCCCAGAACCGGTTTCCTCTTGGTGTGAGCCCCACCTCAAGCCCCCTCATTTACATGCAGGCCCCGCCTCCTCGGAAGAACCGAGCGTGTATTTGCATAAGGGGGCCCTTGAAACGATGAGGGTGGTATGCAAATAAGAACTGGCTCCGATTGGCTGTGGTACAGCAGGTGCCGCGTCCGGATTGATCAAAGCCAGGTGGGCGGGGCTGTCGCCCAGGGTGACTCTCCCGGGAGGCGCGTGCCCAGGCTCAGTAGCATTGGGGCTGGCGCGCGCGGCGAATCTCAACGCTGCGCCGTCTGCGGGCGCTTCCGGGCCACCAGTTTCTCTGCTTTCCACCCTGGCGCCCCCCAGCCCTGGCTCCCCAGCTGCGCTGCCCCGGGCGTCCACGCCCTGCGGGCTTAGCGGGTTCAGTGGGCTCAATCTGCGCAGCGCCACCTCCATGTTGACCAAGCCTCTACAGGGGCCTCCCGCGCCCCCCGGGACCCCCACGCCGCCGCCAGGTGAGTACATCCTCCCCTACTGCAACCAGACGGGGTGGGCTGGAATGATGGGTTGCAGCGCGGGGGGAGGGAGTCGTGGCTGGGCTCAGCACGCCGCCACCCTGACTTCCTCGCCTCCGCCTGCGTAGGAGGCAAGGATCGGGAAGCGTTCGAGGCCGAGTATCGACTCGGCCCCCTCCTGGGTAAGGGGGGCTTTGGCACCGTCTTCGCAGGACACCGCCTCACAGATCGACTCCAGGTATCCGTCATGAGGGTCTTGGGAGGGTCAGGTGCGTGTGGCGGGGGCGGGGGTCCTGGCCCTGGAATGCTGGTTGACCGAGGAGTGAGCCTGCAGAGTGTGTAGAGGACCAGGTGTGTGTGTGTGTGTGTCCGTGTCCGTGTCCGAGGAGTGAGCCTGCAGTGTGTGTAGAGGGCCAGGTGTGTGTGCGTGCGCGTGTGTGTGTCGGTCTAGGAGGTTATGGGCGGGGGGGGGGGGCAGGGGGCTTCAGATTCCGGAGTTCCTTGACCCCGGGGTCCAGGCTGTGTATGTGTGGGAAAGCAGGGACCTAGATGTGAGATTTGTGGGACTTTTGGAGGTAGGTGTCCAGTGTGGAGTCATGCGGACCAGGACCCTGGTACAGAGTTGGGGTGTCGTAGAGCTAAATAGGAAGATTGTGGGCCTGGGGTATCAGGAAATCTAGAACTCAGGACTTGGAGTGATGAGTCCTGATGCCTGAGAACGGAGAGCCCAGGGCTAAGGAAGGTGGGAGAGATAAACTTGGTTCCGAGGACCTGGAGGGCAGGGGAGACGCCCTGGTACGCGTTCTGTGGGGTGCTGTGGTTGGGGACCAGAAAGACTAGAGTGCTGGTAGATGGAGGAATACTGGAGGTAGGCAGAAGGTCTAGACTGGGAGGGGTCTGGGGATCACCTGCTGGCCTCCTTATCACGGCCTTCTTCTCCAGGTGGCCATCAAAGTGATTCCCCGGAATCGTGTGCTGGGCTGGTCCCCCTTGGTGAGTACCTTCGGAGCCCTTCCTAACCTACCTACTCCATCACTGATGTATTCACCTCCTTGCTTTTCCAGGGGATGTATGACTCCCTGGGCCCTGTAACAGTGAGAATACTGCCAGCCCATTTATACTCCCTTGGGGTGACATACAGTTCTGATTCACCCCAATTCCCCTAGAGCCCTGGATTCTCCCCTCCAACAAACCTTTACCATCCTTCCTCCAAACACTGCTGGGGGACTGCCCGCAGGGCGTGCTGGTGGGGAACAAGGGGCAGAGGTCACTGGTTGCCATGGTGATGGTGGCTGCTTCTCTCTTGCCGTTATAACGCTAACGGACATCAGGGCGGGTCTGGGCAAGTTGTAGAGTTGGGAGCGCCCCCTGGCGGGCTCTAGGGGAAACTGCGCCTGCGCAGTCCATGGGACCCAAAGGGAGAGGGTGCGCCTGCGCAATATCGGTATTTTTGCATCTCGGTGAGAAAACGTCTGCTGCCGTGCAAGTCAGCAGCCTGGCCAGGAGAGGGCTCTACCTCATCCCAGAAGGTTGCTGCTCGAAGTGTACCTGCGCAGGGCTTGGGGAGGCAGTGGGGGGCGGATTTTGTGGCCCCCAGCGTTTATACTTTTTTTTTTTTGGAGACACAGTCTCCCTCTGTTGCCCAGGCTGGAGTGAGGTGACGCGATCTCGGCTCACTGCAACCTCCGTCTCCTGGGTTCAAGTGATTCTCCTGCCTCAGCCTCCCAAGTAGCTGGGACTACAGGAGCGCACAACCATGCCCGGCTAATTTTTGTATTTTTAGTAGAGACAGGGTTTCACCATGTTGGCCAGGCGGGTTTTGAACTGCTGACCTCAGGTGATCCGCCTGCCTCGGCCACTCAAAGTGCTGGGATTACAGGCATGAGCCACCACGCCCGGCTGCATTTATGACTTTTTTTTTTCCTTGAGACGGAGTTTCGCTCTGCTGCCTGGGCTGGAGTGCAGTGGCGTGATCTCAGCTCACTGCAGCCTCCACCTCCTGGGTTCAAGCGATTCTCCTGCCTCAGGCTCCTGAGTAGCTGGAATTACAGGCACCCGCTGCCATGCCCGGCTAAGTTTTACGTTTTTAGTAGAGACCGTGTTTCACCATGTTGGCCAGGCTGGTCTCGAACCCCTGACCTAGTGATCTGCCCGCCTTGGGCCTCCCAAAGTGCTGGGATTACAGGCGTGAGCCACCGCGCCCGGCCTCTAATTTTGTATTTTTAGTAGAGACGGGGTTTCTCCATGTTGGTCAGGCTGGTCTCGAACTCCCGACCTCAGGTGATCTGCCCGTCTCGGCCTCCCAAAGTGCTGGGATTACAGGCGTGAGCCACTGCGCAGGGCCACATTTAGGCTTTTTATTGGCTGGTTCTAGGTGCTTGGTGATGCTGACAAAACACATGATAACACTAAGTCCTTTTGTGCTAGGTCCTTTGTAATAAATCACTCAGCTGTTTAACAAATTAGGTATATTGACCACCTACTATATGACAGACATAATTCTAGACACTCAGCAAAGTATTACATAAGTATTGAGAGCTCATTTTGTGCTAGGTCCTTTTTTACTAATTGTTTTCACCTGTTTAACAAATATTTATTCAGCCCTACTCTGTTAGCAGCCACTGTTCTAGTGCTTCATATACGTCCGTGAACAAAACAAACCATTACACAATAAGTGTTTATTGAGTGCTAACTGCTTGTCAGAGCCCATGCTATTAAGTGCTGTCATCTGTTTAACATTTATTGATCACCTGTGTAAGGTACTATTCTAATCTGGGATATGTCAGGGAACAAAACAAAACACATAATGGTGGTGCTGCTTCTGCTGAAAGCCTTCAGTTGATAACCAGATTTTTCTTTGTATTTTTGCTTGTTTGTTTTGAGACAGCTGGAGTGCAGTGGTGTGATCTTCACTGCAACCTCTGCCTTCTTGGCTCAAGCGACCCTCCCACCTGAGCCTCCCAAGTAGCTGGGACTACAGGTGCATGCCACCAAGCCTGGCTAATTTTTGTGTTTGTGCCATTTTGCCCAGGCTGATCTTGAACTCTTGGGCTCAAGCAATCCACCCACATCAGCCTCCCAAAGTGCTGGGATTGCAGGGATGAGCCACTGTGCCTGGCCGAACTTCTTTCGTTTATTCAAATGTTTATTGATCTACGACATGCGAGATTTGTGCAGGCTCTTTGCTGGTTTCACCCTCTCAATCGCTGTGTGAGTTTGTGTCTTTAGGGAAAGTGAGGCCCAGGAAGGGAAGTGAGTTGCTTAGCGACACACTGTCAGGAAAAGGGGCCCTGAGTTGAGCTTAGGTAAAAAGCCTCAGAGCTGTTGCCCTGACATCTGTCTTTTTTCTCTCCCTGCTTCCCACCCCACCTGTGCCCCCAGTCAGACTCAGTCACATGCCCACTCGAAGTCGCACTGCTATGGAAAGTGGGTGCAGGTGGTGGGCACCCTGGCGTGATCCGCCTGCTTGACTGGTTTGAGACACAGGAGGGCTTCATGCTGGTCCTCGAGCGGCCTTTGCCCGCCCAGGATCTCTTTGACTATATCACAGAGAAGGGCCCACTGGGTGAAGGCCCAAGCCGCTGCTTCTTTGGCCAAGTAGTGGCAGCCATCCAGCACTGCCATTCCCGTGGAGTTGTCCATCGTGACATCAAGGATGAGAACATCCTGATAGACCTACGCCGTGGCTGTGCCAAACTCATTGATTTTGGTTCTGGTGCCCTGCTTCATGATGAACCCTACACTGACTTTGATGGTAAGGCTTCTCTAAATCTCCCTGGAGGGATTGTTTTTACTTGATGGCCTTGTGACCTTTGGCCTCCAGTGGTGGGGTGTCCTGTAATCCTTGACCCATACTGCATTATATAAGATGATCGATTGCTAATACTGGGGATTCTCAGCCTTGCCCTCTGATAAAGTCCATCTTTTAATGGTGTGCTAACCTTATTCTGGGCTCCTATTCTGGTGAGGGGATCCTGTTACCATCCTGAGTATTCTTTCTCTGGTAAGGGGATCCTGTTACTTTTCAGTGCTTTTATTCTGTTGAGGGGACTCTGTTATTTTAGCTGCTTTTTATCTAGTGAGGGGACTCTGCTTTTATCTTGAGTGCTCTTAATTGTGGTGAGGCCATCCTTCCTGGAGAGTTTGGGGTTGGAGAAGGGCATCATGAGATTGAGTTGGTCTAACCCCTGGCTTGTGTGCAGGGACAAGGGTGTACAGCCCCCCAGAGTGGATCTCTCGACACCAGTACCATGCACTCCCGGCCACTGTCTGGTCACTGGGCATCCTCCTCTATGACATGGTGTGTGGGGACATTCCCTTTGAGAGGGACCAGGAGATTCTGGAAGCTGAGCTCCACTTCCCAGCCCATGTCTCCCCAGGTGAGGCCTCACTGACCCCAGCCCAGAAGACTCCATCCTTCTCAGGGACCAGTACCCCCTACTGACTGCTAATCTTCCCTCTCTGCTTCTTGGCCTACAGACTGCTGTGCCCTAATCCGCCGGTGCCTGGCCCCCAAACCTTCTTCCCGACCCTCACTGGAAGAGATCCTGCTGGACCCCTGGATGCAAACACCAGCCGAGGATGTACCCCTCAACCCCTCCAAAGGAGGCCCTGCCCCTTTGGCCTGGTCCTTGCTACCCTAAGCCTGGCCTGGCCTGGCCTGGCCCCCAATGGTCAGAAGAGCCATCCCATGGCCATGTCACAGGGATAGATGGACATTTGTTGACTTGGTTTTACAGGTCATTACCAGTCATTAAAGTCCAGTATTACTAAGGTAAGGGATTGAGGATCAGGGGTTAGAAGACATAAACCAAGTCTGCCCAGTTCCCTTCCCAATCCTACAAAGGAGCCTTCCTCCCAGAACCTGTGGTCCCTGATTCTGGAGGGGGAACTTCTTGCTTCTCATTTTGCTAAGGAAGTTTATTTTGGTGAAGTTGTTCCCATTCTGAGCCCCGGGACTCTTATTCTGATGATGTGTCACCCCACATTGGCACCTCCTACTACCACCACACAAACTTAGTTCATATGCTCTTACTTGGGCAAGGGTGCTTTCCTTCCAATACCCCAGTAGCTTTTATTTTAGTAAAGGGACCCTTTCCCCTAGCCTAGGGTCCCATATTGGGTCAAGCTGCTTACCTGCCTCAGCCCAGGATTCTTTATTCTGGGGGAGGTAATGCCCTGTTGTTACCCCAAGGCTTCTTTTTTTTTTTTTTTTTTTTGGGTGAGGGGACCCTACTCTGTTATCCCAAGTGCTCTTATTCTGGTGAGAAGAACCTTACTTCCATAATTTGGGAAGGAATGGAAGATGGACACCACCGGACACCACCAGACACTAGGATGGGATGGATGGTTTTTTGGGGGATGGGCTAGGGGAAATAAGGCTTGCTGTTTGTTCTCCTGGGGCGCTCCCTCCAACTTTTGCAGATTCTTGCAACCTCCTCCTGAGCCGGGATTGTCCAATTACTAAAATGTAAATAATCACGTATTGTGGGGAGGGGAGTTCCAAGTGTGCCCTCCTCTCTTCTCCTGCCTGGATTATTTAAAAAGCCATGTGTGGAAACCCACTATTTAATAAAAGTAATAGAATCAGAAGCGGCTGGCCATTTGTAGGTGTGAGGCTTTTATGGAGCATCTACTGTGCACTGAGACAGACTGTCCCTCTGCTTTGTCCTCAGGAAGCCACAGTCTTATGTTGCCATCCTAAAGAGCTTTAAGGATTCTTGAAGCTGCACCACACACACACAAAAAAATCTTGATTCCCCTGCCCCTGATCTTATGCAGTGCCCAGTATGTGCAGAAGGGTTCTCTGTTGGAGATACTGTGCATATTGAAGGTGTTTAGGGCACATCCCCAATCAAGATGGCTATCTCAGAAGCAGAAAAACTACCTTCCCTGGCACCCCAGGGGAATGAAGAAGCCCTTTCCCCTGTTGCAGAAGAAAAGCCCTGTCAGGGTACTGGCCAGGGCGGGGCTGGGGTTGGGCGCTGACTGGAATCTGTCCAGGGTGTAGTCACCTGTTTTGCTCTTTATCTTTAGCCTCTTCCCCCATCTTTACCCTTACATACCCATCCCTCTAATTTCTCCTTCAACACTTGACTTACCTGGCCTACCCTATTCCATGTTGGTTTCACTTGTTCCGACCTGAGTTGTTCCCTCTCTTGCCCTGCTTATTTGTCTCGGTTCAGTATAAACTCCGCCTTCCGGGTTCCAGCGGTTCTCCTGCCTCAGCCTCCAGAGTAGCTGGGTACAGGTGCATACCACTAAGCCCGGGTAATTTTTTTTTTTTATTTGAGACGGGGTTTTGTCGTTTTGCCCAGGCTGGAACTCCTGAGCTCAGGTGATCGCCCGGCTCAGCCTCCCAAAGTGCTGGGATTACAGGCGTGAGCCACCGCCTCTGGCCCGGACTCTTGCCCTGCTTCCAAATGCTAGCTAACCTGTGAGCCTTTCGCCTGTCCCCTTTGCCATCCTCAGTGGTGACTCACTTGTCTTCCCTTATGTGCGTCAACTTTCCTTTGCATTTTCACTTGTTTATCCTCACCTGCTCTGCTTTTATCTGCTAGCTTAACATTCCTGACTCGCACCTGATGCCAGTACGCCCTCACCCCGACCCCGCCAGGTCAAAGTTTCTTCGTCCCCAGATTCCCGTGTGCTCTCCAGGGGGCGAGGCCTCTCTGGAAGACGGGAAAGCGGAATTTCAGTCCAACCATGAAGCACCTGGTAGTTTCTGATACGGAAAGGGCGGCGCCTTATGGAGAAGCTGCCAATAAAGAGCCGAGATGAAAGGGGTGGCTGAACCAATGAGTCTAGGAGACAAGATCGGGGGATGATCTGGAAAGCGCGATCAGTGAAGCGGACGAACGGCAGGATAAGGCGGGTCTAGTGACAGGAATGGGCCGATGAAGCTCTGTAGGGATGGTGGGTAGGCCGATCGGGCCGTGTCCCCGGCCTCCCGATCCGACGGAATTTGGAAATCCCGGGGCTATTCATACATTGAGCTTTTAGGAGCGGAGGAGAAAAGCCACCACCCTGACGATCCCGGCTCTCGCTCCACCTTCACTCAGGTGGCCCGGCAGCGGAAGTGACGAACGCGGAAGTGGTTTTTCTGTTGCCGAGGGGACGGGCCGGGCAGATGCCAACATGGCAGCGGTTGGGGCTGGTGGTTCCACCGCGGCGCCCGGGCCAGGGGCGGTTTCCGCGGGTGCATTGGAGCCGGGGACCGCCAGTGCGGGTGAGACAGTCTGCCCGAGCAGTCGCATGGGAGGCGGAGGTCGGGATCGCTGGGAGTCGGGAATGTTCCTCACTAAAGTGAGAGGGAGCATCCCGTGTGGACCGACGTGTGTGTGTGTGTGTGTGTGCACATTGTCAGTGTGTTGGGGGCGGGGAAGAGAACATTCTGAGAGTGATTGTGGGATCCTTCCGCATATGGAGAGTAGAGACCATTGTGAGTGTGGTGGGTAATTCTTTTTGGGAAGGCTAAGGCCACCGAAACCATTCTGAATATGTGGAGTCCTTCCGTGTGGAAGAGACCATTCTGCGGGTGTGGGAGTTCCTCACTGAAGAAGGGGGAGACTATTCTGAGGGTGGTGGTTCCTTCCTTATAAAGGGACAGAGACTATTGTGAGTTAGGGTGGGGCGAGTCCTTCTTTATGTGACTAGAGAGGGTCCATTTTGAGGATGGGGGTGTCTTTCATTATGTGCGGAGGAGACCGTTCTGGGGGCTCCCTCCTAATGGAGGTAGAGTTCATTGTACATTCGGGTGGGAGGGCTCATCGTTATATGGTGGAGAAAGAACGTTCTGAGAGTGCCGGGTCCTTCCTTATAGCAGAGAGAGCTCATTGTGAGTGTGGGTAGAGCAAGGAAAAATTCATTAGCTAGAGGGTCCGTGTGCGGTGGTGGGAGGGCAGACCATGTGGAGTGCAGGGAAGTATTTCCTCATCTGGTTGAGGGAGCCAGACCTTTCTTGGTGGGATAACCATTCCTGATACAGGATTCAGTCCCTGGGAGCATGTGGGAATCATTTCTTGTATTTAGTAGACTATTCTGGTTCGAGAGGAACCAGTTGTCACAGGAGTGAGGGGTTGGAGAGACCATTCTGGGTATGAGGAGGATCATTCCATATGGGATGTAGGCCATTCTCAGTGTGAGGGAATCGAATCATTTCTTAGATAGGAGAAAGACCGTTCTTAGGGGGTGAACATACCTCATACAGTGGCCTCATTCCCTGCATTGATGTGTTATTCTTTACATGAGACAGTCCCTCATTAAACAGGAGCATCATTTCATATAAATTCTCAGTTTGCTAATCCATAAATGGGAATCCTCGCAGTTCTTTTGGAGATGACAGTGATATGAGTCTATTGAGGTAATCCATAGAAATCCCTTAACCCAGTGATAGGCATACAGTAAACACTCAATAAACGTGGAGAATGTAGTTGTCGGTATTCTTTCTGGGGAAGAGTTGCTTCTCACTTGGGAGGAAGCCGAGGCGCGTGGCCAGGGTTTGCCTCAGCCATTACCTGACACCTCAGTAAGGATTCCAGGTATGGACTGGGACAGGGTGGGGCCCATTTCTCCCTTCTGGCTCTTCCTGCTCATGGCTGAGGCAGTAAGCCGGTAGGAGTCAGACCCTTATTGGGTGAGGGCAGGCAGGCTGAGGGAGCAAGTAGCCATGGCTAGGAGGGTCCTGGGTGAGAAAGAAAGGGGGTGGGTGGTGGTGTGGCTATGCCCCAGCGGCTTCTGACCCCGTCCTTCCCCCTTGCCCCTTCCGTTCCCCACAGCTCACAGGCGCCTGAAGTACATATCCCTAGCTGTGCTGGTGGTCCAGAATGCCTCCCTCATCCTCAGCATCCGCTACGCCCGCACGTTGCCAGGGGACCGCTTCTTTGCCACCACTGCTGTGGTCATGGCGGAAGTGCTCAAAGGTCTCACCTGCCTGCTGCTGCTCTTCGCACAGAAGAGGGGTACGAACCAGGGATGGGGCTGCACTGGGGTCGGTGGGTGAGACTCCACATGTATGTGTGTGTGTTCACACAGATGGTTTGCTTCAGGAGTGTCTCCAAATCTCAACCTGCCTGGAGCGCCACTCCAGCTATGCGTAGCGGCATCTTACACTTTTCTAGCCCTAACAGCCGGGTAGCCGGCCTGTGTGGGCTGTAGGAGTGAGATTGCCAATGCTTATAAAGTAGCAGGGATCTCTCACATGTGATTTAGCTTCATATTATGGAGAATTCCGAATACATGCAAAATCAGAGAGAATAATCAAATAGTAAAATATCCATGTACCCATCCCCCAGAGTCAGCAATTAGCAACTCATGGCCGCTTTAAACAACATCAGTGATTGTTCACTCACTGCCAATCTATATGTCTACCTACGTCCTTATCCTCTTATTATTTTTAAGTAAATCCCACACGAAGTAATATTGTATGGAAGTAAATTCCCCTGAATTATCTTGAATAAATGTAGCTGGGATTACAGGCACGTGCCACCACGCCCAGCTAATTTTTTTGTATTTTTAGTAGAGAAGGGGTTTCACCATGTTAGCCAGGATGGTCTCGAACTCCTGACCTCGTGATCCGCCCACCTCAGCCTCCCAAAGTGCTGGGATTACAGGCGTGAGCCACCAGGCTGGCCTTGTTTGGTATCTTCTAAATCTGTTAATCTCTAGGGGTTTTTTGGTCTTTGCAATTAATTTGTTGGAGAAAACAGGTCATTTGTTTTGTAGACTTTGGGTAGTCTGGATTTTGCTGACTGCCTCCCTAAGGCAAATATTCTCAAAAATTTAACAAGTATTCTGTCTTCTACATCTCTTGTAAATTGGAAGTTGGGTTTATCTGCTAATTTCAACATCTCCCTGAAGGCCTTCTACTTTGAAGTGTTGCCCAATTGTTTCTCTAAAAAGGTCTTGCATAAGTAAAGGGATGGAGATGAATTATGCACCTTTGCCCTTTGTTTACATTGAAGAGAATATTCTCACCCACCTGTTAACTCCAGGTTAACAAGAGACCTGCTCTTACCTTTGTTAACTCTGTGAACAGTGTAGGTGTGAACACTGCCTCAGGCCGTGGGGGTAGATGGGTTAGCAATGCAGAGGAGCAGCTTGTCCTCATTGCTGATGGAAGATGGAAATAACAGATAGCCACAGACTTAATCACAGGCCTTCATCTCTTAGCCACAATTTCAGCACCCCTCTCTCCCCTGCCCGGAATTTTTTTCCCCTGAATTCGAGTTTGGAGACCAGGAGTGCACAGGGTTTGGTGAATGAACATCAGTAGGAGTTCCTGGGACAACCTTGTTCAGTGTTTGAAGAAGTTTTGCCTGTGGAGTGACACCCAGCTGTGACTTAAAAGATGAACTGCTGGCTGGGCGTGGTTGCTCACGTCTGTAATCCCAGCACTTTGGGAGGCCGAGAGGCAGGTGGATCACAAGGTCAGGAGTTAGAGACCAGCCTGGCCAAGATGGTGAAACCCCGTCTCTACTAAAAATACAAAAATTATCCAGGCGCGGTGGCAGGTGCCTGTAATCCCAGCTACTAGGGAGGCTGAGGCAGGAGAATTGCTTGAACCCGGGAGGCAGAGGTTGCAGTGAGCCAAGATCACACCACTGCACTCCAGCCTGGGCGACAGAGCAAGACTCCTCACCCACCCACCCCGCCCCGCCAAAAAAAAAGATGAACTGCCAAAAAGTGGGGCGAGCTTTGCAAAGGCCTTGTTACATAGGAAATGATTCTCATGTTTTTTGTTTGTTTGTTTTGAAATGGAGTTTTGCCCTTGTTGTCTGAGCTGGAGTGCAATGGCACGATCTTGGCTCACTGCAACCTCCGCCTCCCGGGTTCAAAAGATTCTCCTGCCTCAGCCTCCTGAGTAGCTGGGATTATAGGCGCCTGCCACCACACCCGGCTAATTTTTGTATTTTTAGTAGAGACGGGGTTTCACCACGTTGGCCAGCCTGGTCTCGAACTCCTGACCTCAGGTGATCCACCCACCTTAACCTCCCAAAGTGTTGGGATTACAGGCGTGAGCCACTGCGCCCAGCCCGATTATCATGTTTTCACTGGAGCAGGTCCCAAGCGGACTTCTGCTTAATGGTCAAGCCTGCATTCATCCATGTGGCAGAGGCAACTCTGTGTCTAGGGCTGACAGAAAGATGCAACAAGGGGGAGATGGCCCCTGCCCTCAGACGGCACATGGGTCAGTGAGGAGCTAGGATAAGTCTAAAAGTCTAGACTATGCCTGGTGTGGTGGCTTACACCTGTAATCCCAGAACTTTGGGAGGCCGAGGTAGGCGGATCACGAGGTCAGGAGATCAAGACCATCGTGGCTAACACGGTGAAGCCCCATCTCTACTAAAGATACAAAAAATTAGCTGGGAGTGGTGGCACGCGCCTGTAGTCCAAGCTACTTGGGAGGCTGAGGCAGGAGAATGGCTTGAACCTGGGAGGTGGAGCTTGCAGTGAGCCGAGATCGCGCCACTGTGCCAAAAAAAAAAAAAGTCTAGACTAAACTCTTCTGTGTGGGAGACAGCCCTCCACCCCAGCTCCTAGGGCTTCTATTTCATAAGCTCCAAGTTAATGATGGTTATTTCTTTCTTTCTTTTTTTTTTTTTTTGAGATGGAGTCTCACTCTGTTGCCCAGGCTGGAGTGCAATGGCATGGTCTCAGCTCACTGCAACCTCCACCTCCCAGGTTCAAGCAATTCTCCTGCCTCAGCCTCCCAAGTAGCTGGGATTACAGTCGCTTGCCACCACACCTGGCTAATTTTTGTATTTTTAGTAGAGATAGGGTTTCAGTGTTGTTGGCCCAGCTGGTCTTGAACTCCTAACCTCATGAGCCACCTGCCTTGGCCTCCCAAAGTGCTGGGATTACAGGCGTGAGCCACGGCACCTGGCCTAATGCTGGTTATTTCATTGTACACAAATATATTGAGTATTGAGTGCTTTCCCTGAATGGGGCTCTCTGCCAGGGAGGTAGGCTCTAACATGAGTGACATGCTCTGTGATTAGCAGACACGGATGGCTGATTCTTTTGCTGCCATTAAACTGAGTCTCAGAAAAGCTTGCTGGAAACATGGTTGTACTCTAGGGAAAACCAAGATCACATACTTCATTCCAGCCTCCAGGGATTGGACAGCAGGGTGGATGGGGGAGTCACAGGAGCAAGGCCTGTTCCCAGCCTTCAGGGGTTCCCCATGTATGGCTGTCAGTGCTAAGAAGGGCTCTCCTCCTCCCACCTAGGTAACGTGAAGCACCTGGTTCTCTTCCTCCATGAGGCTGTCCTGGTGCAGTATGTGGACACGCTCAAGCTCGCAGTGCCCTCTCTCATCTACACCTTGCAGAATAACCTCCAGTATGTTGCCATCTCTAACCTACCAGCTGCCACTTTCCAGGTGAGCCCCAAGCCCAGCATGGCCCCAGAGGAACTAACTGGGTTGGGGACTGGAGTATGGGAATAGCGTGGTGGGGGGGTGTTGCAGAGGACAGGGGCTATGTCACCTTCAGAATGTCCTTGGAACTCCTTCAACCTCCCTTTTCTCGTCTGTGAAAATTGGGGGTGGAAATAGTAATGCCTGTTCACTGAGATGCTAGGATACTTAAAAGAAATAATACCTGTGAAGAGCCCTTGATTGGTGACAGATAAGCTTTAGGCTATTTGTGGGCAGCTTTGTGAAATGGTTAAAGAGCCTGGATTCTGGGGCCAGGCTGTCTGGGTTCAAATCTCAGCTCTGCTACCTTCCAGCTGTGTGATTTTGGGGCACGTCACCTAACCTCTCTGTGCCTTAGTTTTCTCACCTTTAAATTGGGGCTTACAGTGGTGCTCACTTCAGAATGGTGTTGTGAGAATTAAATGAATGAATTCACGTGCAGTGCCTAGAACCACACTGATATATTGTAAGCACTATGTAAGTATTTGCTGACATTGTTGTGGCTATTGATTCATTTGTATCAAGTCCCTCATCACAAAGATACTTCCATACCTCAGCCATCTTTTATAGATGATGATGCCAGGGCTCAGACAGGGCAAGTGCTTTGTCCCCAGTCACACAGCCAGGAAATGGGATTGGGATGTGGACTTCTTGGCACAGCCATCCTTTTGTGCACTTGCTGGGAGAGACTTCAGAACTGTTTTGCTGCAGCTCAGCCAATGGCCAGTGGCTGGCTCCTTTTGCTGTTTTTGCTGTCATACCCCCCACCCTGTCCCTCCATTGTGCCTGGGGGCCCACAGTGGGTGCTGCCCCCCATGTGCACCTGTTGGGGGCCAGGGTCAGCCCTCAGTGCCTTCCACGTGCCACTCGCAGGTGACATACCAGCTGAAGATCCTGACCACAGCGCTGTTCTCCGTGCTCATGCTGAATCGCAGCCTTTCCCGGCTGCAGTGGGCCTCCCTGCTGCTCCTCTTCACTGGCGTCGCCATTGTCCAGGCACAGCAAGCCGGTGGGGGAGGCCCACGGCCACTGGATCAGAACCCTGGGGCAGGCCTGGCAGCCGTCGTGGCCTCCTGTCTCTCCTCCGGCTTCGCAGGTGTCTACTTTGAGAAGATCCTCAAAGGCAGCTCAGGCTCCGTGTGGCTGCGCAACCTGCAACTGGGCCTCTTCGGCACAGCACTGGGCCTGGTGGGGCTCTGGTGGGCTGAGGGTACCGCCGTGGCCACCCGTGGTTTCTTTTTTGGGTACACACCTGCTGTCTGGGGCGTGGTGCTCAACCAGGCCTTCGGCGGGCTACTGGTGGCTGTGGTTGTCAAGTACGCTGACAATATCCTCAAGGGCTTTGCCACCTCCCTGTCCATTGTGCTGTCCACTGTTGCCTCCATTCGCCTCTTTGGCTTCCACGTGGACCCATTATTTGCCCTTGGCGCTGGACTCGTCATTGGTGCTGTCTACCTCTACAGCCTTCCCCGAGGTGCAGCCAAAGCCATAGCCTCTGCCTCTGCCTCCGCCTCCGGGCCCTGCGTTCACCAGCAGCCTCCCGGGCAGCCACCACCACCGCAGCTGTCTTCCCACCGTGGAGACCTCATCACGGAGCCCTTTCTGCCAAAGTCAGTGCTGGTGAAGTGAGGGCTGGCAGCAATGGGGGGACACAAGGGAGGGGGACTGGGGTGGAGGGTGTTGGGCATCTGCAGGACCCAAGTCGCCACCCTCCGGGGCCTGGCTCCTCTGGGTTTGGGAGATGGTCTTTTCTCCCAGGTCACTGAGACTTCTGGAGGGGTGTGGGACTAGAGCTGGGTGTCACGTGAACCCTTCCTGGTAGGGTGACCCCCTTCCCCTGGAGGGGGTTTTAGAGCTGCCGCCTCTGCTCCCTCTAACCTCTTTGGAGGCAGGGTTGGGGGTATTGTCATTCAAGGCCTTTTTTTTGTCTGCTCCCTCCCCGACCCTGTGCCCTCTTCTGGAGGTTTCTCGTCTGGGAGAGTCCCTCCCAGCAGTCCCTCCACCTCCATAAGGACACACTGGACAAAACTCCCGCAGCTCTTCAGGAATGACCGATGCCTACCTGTGGGGTTCAGTTGCCCATAGTTTGAGGCCTTCTCTCCTCCCTTACCACCGCTCTGGATCATGTTACTAGTTCCGTCTTTTGTGTGGCCTTGGGCCAGCTTCCTTGATACCTTGAAGATGGGCTTCTTGTGAGTCCCCAGGGAGAAAGGGACAAGAGCTAAGATTTTTGCATCAGCCCTTCTGGCAGAAGGTGTGGTAGGGGCCATTTGTTTTTTTTAGTGGACTTGGGATTTGTGGTGTAATCATATCATTAATGATCCAGGGTGTGGGAAAAATGGAGGTCCTTGAAGTGGCTGAATCTCATTGTATTTAAGACACTGTCAGTTGCCAGATGTAGGCTTATTTTTGGAGATGTCTAGGAGAGGAAAAAGCTACCAATCATACTCTTGATATCCGTCTGGCTGTGTGAGGCACCCCTACCTCATGGGGGTGTCTTGGGATTGATGAACTGTGGAACCTGCCTCCTGCGCTCCCCAAAGCTTATTAACCCCTTAACTGTATCGGGGCGGGGTGTGTGTGTGCATGGAAGATGCCTGGGCTGTCTTTGCTATATGTAAATAGAGCCATTGGATCTTTATTTTTGATTAATTTGTTCTGATTTTTTGGTTTGTTTTTTAAGGAACTGTAATGAACAAATGTCAGGATATCCAATGCCAAATAAAGATGTTGTATTTATTTAGTCCACGTGTAGCTTTCTGACCAGGTGGGCACCATTACTAACCCCAGGACTACCAGCCTCACCACCGCCGCCCTCACTTGCTCAGGAAACCCGCCTGCCAGCCTAGCCCAGCTTTGTGTTTTTCTTTCCTCCCCATTCCCACCACAGGTTGCTCACCAAGGTGAAGGGTTCCTAGCCGCTGGGATTGAAGACATTGGCCTGGCCTCGTTCTCTCTTCTTGCCCTTGGCCCAGCTGGGACCAAACTCTGATCAGTATTAGGGGTAGAGTGAGGTAGACACTGGACTCCCTGTCCCCACCACCCCTGCCCCACCCAGGGCCAACATGACTAAGCTCTCTCATGACCCACCTCAGCTCAGCCCCCCAGCCCCTGCCAGCTCCACACTATCTCTTAGCTGAGTTTTTGCAAATAAAATGTGTTGTGTATCTTGCCGACTTGGGTTGGGCAGCCTCAAAGGAAGCACTCAGGTATGGTGGGCAGGATCACCAGAAAGCTTTTATTTTAACCCAGGGCCAGGGAGGCCGAAGCTTCAATCCTGCTGCTTGGTTCGGGAGGCCTCTGCATTGGCCCGGAGCACAGCCCCTGGGGATGGATACGGCCGCTGCTGGAAGAGGGGCCCAGCTGCTGTGGTGTCAGCGCCAGTCTTGGCCTCATTCCGCTTGGGGAGTCCTGTTGACCACGTGCCCCTGCCGGTGAAAGAGTCAGGGGATGGGGATGGGTGATGTGGCGGACACAGCCCACCTGGTCCCAATGAGGAATGGAGGAAGGAGGCCGGAGGATGGTGTCCACGTACTGAGTCAAGAGGGGTTGTCACTTACCGGGGGGCGTCTGAGTATGAGCTAGGGTCCATGGGGTCTAACTCTTCATCCTTTCGGCTTACTGCTGTGGAAGTGGCAGGGCAAAGTCTTCAATAGAGGCACCAGGATCCCCTGATCACTGAGCCCCACCCCACAAGAAGAAATGAAGCCCCTGGCTGCCATGTACCACAGCACCCTCCTCTAGCCCCAGGTCCAGGCATCTTTTTGAGGGAAGGCTTCCTCACGCAGTGCACCCTGCACCTTGTTGGTCTCACCGAGCCCCATTCTGCCCAGCTTACCCTTCTTGCTCTTGGGATAGGGAGCCAGCTCCTCCCGGCGATGGTGGCGCCGTTCTTTGCCCTCTTCCCGGTCTGCCTTGTCATACCCGCGGTCCCGATCCCGTTCCCTGTCTCGCTCTCTCTCTCTGTCTACCTTGTCATAGCCACGCTCTCGATCCCTGTCAGACTTGTCGTGGCCCCGGTCTGACTTGTCGTGGCCCCTGTCTAGTTTCTCATGGCTGCGGTCCGACTTGTCATGGCCCCTGTCCGACTTGTCATGGCTCCGGTCCAACTTTTCTTCAGCATCTGGGGACACAAGTCTTGAAGTGACCTCTTGCCACCCCAGGACCCAGCAGCCTCTGCCTTCAACAACCTCCCTTGCCTGAGGCTGGGCCCGCCTGGTCTCACCTGCCCCTCTGATCCACTATCATTCTACTTGGCCTCTCCGTGAGAACTGCTAAGATCACTCAAGGCACGCTTGTACCTGCCAACTCACCTGCATTACTGCTTCTGAGCTTCTTGGCCGATTTGGTAACCACGGAGTTGGGGTCATGTGGGGAGAGCCAGGATACAAGGTCTGTGTCTGCATTCCAGTAGTAAGGGAGCCCGCTGTGGGGCCGCAGGAAAGAAGTGTCAGCACAGATGTCCTTGCCTTGGATCCTCAACTCTTGTCTCCCCAGTCTCTGCCTATACCTGCCCCATGTCAGGACCCCACAGGCAGGATCCCCAGAATCTCTTCTCCTGAAGAGAAAACACTGTCAGCTGGGCGTGGTGGCTCATGCCTGTAATCCCAGCACTTTGGGAGGCCGAGGCAGGCGGATCACCTGAGGTCAGGAGTTCGGGACCAGCCTGACCAATATGATGAAACCCCATCTCTACAAAAAATACAAAAATTAGCTGGGTGTGGTGGTGTGCACCTGTAATCCCAGCTACCTGGGAGGCTGAGACAGGAGAATCGCTTGAACCCACGAGGCGGAGGTTGCCATAAGCCGAGATCACACCATTGCACTCCAGCCCGGGCTACAAGAGTGAAACTCCGTTTCAAAAAAGAGAGAAAAGACAGTCTTCCAACCCCAGAGGAGCCAGGCCCCAGCAGGCAGCAACTTGAGTCCTGCAGATACCTAATGCCAACACCCTCCACCCGAGGCTCCCTCCCTTGTGTCCCCCTAAACCTCACAACCAAGGTCAGCACAGGAAGGGTGAAGCCAGAAGTTAGCTCCCCCTCACCCAGGCTCACCAGGAAGGGTCGAACACCTTGTACCAGCTTGGTGGTAGGCCCTCCAACCTGGTGGCCTCGTAGTCCACAGGATCATCGTCATAGTCCTCGGCAATGATCTCTTCCTCTGGTTCTGGTAGAACAAGGTGGGGATGAGGAGAGCAGATAAGGACCAGGGGACCTCATCCTACATGTAGAGCCTAGAGACACGCACTCACATTCACACAAGCCACACATAAAAGACACGTGTGTGTGTGTGCCGGGAAGAATATGAAGTATCTTTCACATTCCAAATCCAACTCTCTATATTAGGAGGTTTACAAAAAAAGGTTACCTAAATCTGTGTCTGGGTTCAGATGATGAGTTCTACTGTTAGCCAAAGCTATCTGGTTTCAGAGTTGATAGGGATTCATCAAAAAATTTACTCATCTTGGCCAGGCGTGATGGCTCATGCCTGTAATCCCAGCACTTTAGGAGGCCAAAGTGGGTGGATCACGAGGTCAGGAGTTCAAGACCAGCCTGGCCAAGATGGTGAAAACCCGTCTGTGAGACTAGCCTGGTCAACATAGTGAGACCCCTGTCTCTACAAAAAAAAAAAATTAGCTGGGCACAGTGGCACACGTCTGTAGTCCCAACTACTCAGGAGGCTGAGGCAGGAGGCTCATTTGAGCCCAGGACTTTGAGCTTGCAGTGAGCTATTATCGTGCCACTGCACTCCAGCCTGGGCAACAGAGTGAGACCCTGTCTCTAAACAAATAATAAATAATATATATACCATAGGCACAGGTCATTCAATAGGCTTAAAAGAAAATCCAGCCTGGCCAACATGGTGAAACCCCATCTCTACTAAAAAATACAAAAATTAGCCAGGCACAGTGGAGCACGCCTGTGGTCCTAGCTACTCGGGAGGCTGAGGCAGGAGAATCGCTTGAACCCGGGAGGCAGAGGTTGCAGTGGGCCAAGACTGCACCACTGCACTCCAGCCTAGGTGACAGAGCGAGACTCTCTCAAAAAAAAAAAAAAAAAAAAAAAAAAAAAGTAAATCAATGATCATTGCCAGTTTTATTTTTTTGAGATGGAGTCTTTCTCTGTTGCCCAGGCTGGAGTGCAGTGGCATGATCTCGGCTCACTGCAAGCTCCGCCTTCCGGGTTCACACCATTCTCCTGCCTCAGCCTCCCGAGTAGCTGGGACTACAGGCATCTGGCACCACGCCCGGCTAAGTTTTTTGTATTTTTATTAGAGATGGGGTTTCACCCTGTTAGCCAGAATGGTCTCGATCTCCTGACCTCGTGATCCGTCCACCTCCGCCTCCCAAAGCGCTGAGATTACAGGCATGAGGCACCCTGCCCGGCCTGGGATCATTGACAATTTTATTAACCACAAGGTCTATACCTTGCACACAGTAGGCTTGTAATAGATGTCAGTTATCAATAAGGAGAAGATATATTTTCCAGTGCCTGGCACACTATAGCCCCAAATAGATGCCAGTTTTTAGTATTACTGATAATAAGGTGTGATTTGCAGCCAGAGCACAGTAGGCCTAAATGATAGATCCTCACTGCAACTACGCTTGGCACACAGGAGACAGCAGTAGAGGTTAGCAGTACTTCCTATTAGATACTATGTCATCACCCCCATAGAGTAATCCATGGGATTTAACTTGGCATACAGTAGGCCCCAAATAGGCATTAGGTGGTCAGTATTATTTTGTTGTTTTTTTTGGATTTTTTTCAGACAGGGTCTCCATGTGTCGGCCAGGCTGGAGTGCAGTGGCACAATCTCGGCTCACTGCACCCTTGACATCCTAGGCTCAAGAGATCCTCTCACCTCAGCCTCCCAAGTAGCTGGGACTACAGGCATGCACCACAACACACGATTAATTTTTGTATTTTTTGTAAAGACGGGGTTTTGCCATGTTGCTCAGGCTAATCTCTTAATCCCTAAACTCAAGCAATCTACCCGCCTCAGCCTCCTAAAGTGCTGGGAATGCCAGCTTGAGCCGCCACGCCCAGCCAGTCAGTATTGTTAAGAATGAAATATCTGCCGGGCACAGTGGCTTATGCCTGTAATCCCAACCCTTTGGAAAGCCAAGGGTGGGGGGTGGATCACCTGAGGTCAGGAGTTAGAGGCCAGCCTAGCCAACATGGTGAAACCCGTCTCTACTAAAAATGCAAAAATCAGCCGGGTGTGGTATCACGTGCCTGTAATCCCAGCTACTTGGGAGGCTGAGACAGGAAAATCGCTTGAGCCCGGGAGGCGGAGGTTGCAGTGAGACGAGATCACGCCACAGCACTCCAGCCTGGGCGACAGACCGAGACTCTGTCTCAAAAAAAAAAAAAAAAAAATTGCCAGGTGTGGTGGGGCGGGGCGTGCCTGTAGTCCCAACTACTCGGGAAGTTAAGGCAGGAGAATCGCTTGAACCTGGAAGGCGGAGGTTTTAGTGAGCCGAGATCGCGCCACTGCACTCCAGCCTGGGTGCACAATAAGACTCTGCCTCAAAAAAAAAAAAAAAAAAAAAAAAAAAAAAAAAAAAAAAGAATGAAATATCTATTCCCCCAACCCCCTCCACTTGACACGCGGTAGGGATGGATGTCAGGAATCCACATTGTTAACAACGAAAAATGCCTGCCACCCCATTGCTTGGTGCACAGTTGGCCCATGCTAGGTATCAAGCGTCAGTATCAACAACAAAAGTGCCTGTCGAGGCTGGCACGTGTTAGGACCATCTGCTTTTAGCTGTCTCACCAGGCTCCAGATGTTTGAGGATGCCTCTCTTGGCCAAGCGGGTCTGCAGCGCAACGGGCAGCGGCATAGCTGATAGCAGACAGACCTAGGGACAGACGAACAAACTGACAAGCAGCTCAGATAAAGATTCCTATCTGGATCCCGTAACCAAGCGCCTCCCGTAAACATGTACTCATCTGACTCCGATCTACTCAAATGAACCAGTAGCTGGGTGGACAGAACATACGCACTAAAAGATGTAAGAGGTAGGTGGCAATATCATCGCAACTCCCACCAACCCTACTGTCCCCGAAACCAGGTGCTCCAGGGCCCTGTTCCTCTCCCAGGCCCAGGCTCCGCCCACAGCCTAAGAAGCCCGGCCCCTCCGCACTTCAGAAATGGGCTCATCCAGCGTCCCCATGACTGCCGGGTGGGAGAAACCAAAGCGCTGGGATGGGGGAGCAGAGGGCAGCACTTCCTCCAGCTCCAAAAGAGTGCACCCACCCCAACGTTACCAATACACTCGTGCAGGTAGTGGAAGGCTGTCACACCGCCCGTCTCTCTCGTGTCGCCGCTACGATACCTGGGCCCACACGACTCTCTTCCCAAAACACCGAATGAGACCTTCTCTCAACGAGGCCTTCACTCCCCGAGCCTGAAAGTAACTGGACTACGCTCAGGAGGCAATGAACAAATGGCAGAAACTCGATTGGCCAATGAGAGTGCGTCCTTGGCGTGACATGCGGTATAGCGACCCAATCGCTGCCCGGTAATAGGCGGAAAGCTCCGACGCCGGTGTGCGTCTACGCTGGGGGCGTGGCCTGACTGCGCGGCCAGACGCCAGCGCCATGGAGGAGTACGCTCGGGAGCCCTGGTACGGCAATGGGCACAGGCATCCGGAATATTGCTGCGACGCCAAGGCCAGCCGTGGGGGTCGGGCGGGGGAGGCATCGGCCGCACAGAGCCATGTACCAGACTCGGGGGACTCTTAACGTATCTCCCGCTACCCCCACTCGGTTCCTGTCATTCGGGCTCCGTTATGAGGGGCCACAACCAGAGAAGGTGCGGCGAAGGCCGAACCACGCCATGTTTCTCCTGACTTCGTAATCTCCTAGCCCTGTTAACGAAAAAAGACACGCTGGACGATCCATCCCGGCTAGGGGTGGTACGGTGTTGACCGGAAATCCCCAGAGTTGCCGCCAGTGGTTTTTCCCAGGTCGCCTTTGTCAGTGGGGGGCGGGGCACGGATGAACCTGTTGAGGGCCGGCGGGGACGGTGGATGCTTCCCGCGGTCGCTCTTGGTTTTTCCCAGTTGTGCCGGATTGAAAAGGGGCGGGGCATGGTTGGACGGGCTCACCGTCGGAGAAGGGGTGCGACGCGGTCCTGCTTTGCTGACAGTCTGTCTTGGCTAGTTAACACGCCTATGTCGCTTATTGAAACGTCAACTCTGCGTGTGCCAATTCATTTAATCTTTGATCACAGTAAAACCGTTGGCTGATTCCTTGGTTGGTAGACAGGGCGAAGACTAATATTTCTCCCCCTTTGCCCCATTTCTCGCTTTAATGGGGGGGTGTGTGGAAAAAGCGTGACAGAACTAGCTCATTATTATCTGAAGTGTTTGTTCCTACTTAGGAACTTCCCATTCTGGTGACTTGGTTTCTCCCAGTTAGAAAAGAGTTCGTGTGACAGGACCTGGGGGAGGGCTCACATTAACCCCGTCCTTCCCTTCCTGCTTGCAGCCCATGGCGAATTGTGGATGATTGCGGTGGAGCCTTCACTATGGGTGTCATCGGTGGCGGAGTCTTCCAGGCCATCAAGGGTTTCCGCAATGCCCCTGTTGTGAGTCCAGGCCTTCCCTGGGTTGGTGTGGGGTTAGCTATCTTGCCCACAAGGGAGGCTGCTCTGAAAACTGCTTGGAGCTGCCAGTCACGTGCACTTATTCATTCTGGTGCCCACTCACCTACTATGTGCCGAGCCTGGCTCCTGTATCTGGGATTTTGTAGGGATTGCAAACATGGCCTCTGTCTTCCACCCTCCACCCCACCCAACTGGAGCTCCTCTGTGGAAATGCTGTGTCGTTCAAAGAGTCATCACCAAATTTTAAATGTATGTGCAAAGCCAGACAGTTTTTTTTTTTTTTGAGACAGTCTTGCTCTGTTGCCCAGGCTAGAGTGCAGTGGCACGCTCTTGGCTCACTGCAACCTCTGCCTCCTGGGTTCAGGCAATTCTCCTGTCTCAGCCTCCCAAGTAGCTGGGACTACAGGCATGTGCCACCAGACCTGACGAATTTTTGTAATTTTAGTAGAAATGGGGTTTCACTATGTTGGCCAGGCTGGCCTTGAACTCTGGACCTCAGGTGATCCACCTACCTCGGCCTCCCAAAGTGCTGGGATTACAGGCGTGTGCCACTGTGCCTGGCCATGTTTTTTTTTTTTTTTTTTTTTTTGAGACAGCATCTTGCCCTGTTGCCCAGGCTGGCGTGCAGTGGCCTGATCATGGGTCACTACAGCCTCCGCCTCCCAGGCTCAAGTGATCCTCCCACCTCAGCCTCCCAAGTAGCTGGGACCACAGGACTGCGCCACCATGCCCGGCTAATTATTTATGTATGTATTTATTTATTTGTAGAGACGGGGTTTCAACGTGTTGCTTAGGCTGGTCTCTAATTCCTGAACTCAAGTGATCCACCCACCTCAGCCTCCCAAAGTGCTGGGATTACAGGTGTTAGCCACTGCGCATTTTACCTAGAGGCAGATTCTGGCTCAGAAACCCGGATAGAGGAAAATGACAGGAATTTAATTGGCAGACGGAAGACAGCCTTGAAGTTGAGAGAATTCTTTTAACATAATTCTTTTTCTCTGACCACCTCCCCTCCCAGAAGATCGCAAATGCCATGACTTTAAATGCCATCTATTAGCCAAGGTCTCTGCAATTTATATATGTAGCCCCGTCCCTCCCCTAGACTCCTGGAACTCTCCTCCCTGGATCTTTGCCCAAGTTTGTCATCCTCAAGGTCTCAGCACAGATTCCCCCTCCTTCAAGAGGCCTTTCCTGACCCCTCAGCCCCAGTCATATTTCTTCATGGCATTTCCTCTACAGTGCAGATTGCTGTCTGAAGCTCCCTTGTTTATCTACTCTTGCTCAAGATCTGTGTCTCCCACCGTTAATGTGAGCTCTGAGAGGGCAGAGAGCAGACCTACCTTGTTCATGGCTGTATCCCTGCATATGGCATGGTGCTTGGCACATATAGTAGGTACTTGTTAATCATTCACTGAATGAATGAATGAACAAATGTATGAATGAATTAGCACTTCTCAACCTAGCTCTGAGAACACCCATGTTGGGGCGCTCTCCAGGCCACTAGTTCTTGGCCACTTCTCCACATCTCTACAGCTCATACCTCTAACAGGTCTCCCATCTTCTTCCCTCTCTTAAAAGTTGGAAACGTGTCTGCCAGTGGCTTCAGCCCTGCCCTAACGCCCTTCCTTCCTTTCCCCAGGGAATTCGGCACCGGTTGAGAGGTAGTGCCAATGCTGTGAGGATCCGAGCCCCCCAGATTGGAGGTGAGGGACTTGGGGAGATAGATATAGGAGATGTCTTGGCAAAGGTGGGAGTGGTTGATCCTTTGGGTCTAGGCTGCAAGTTAGGGGTTCAGATTCTAGCCCCTGCCAGAGACTTTCTAGGGGGGTGATGTTTCCCAACAATTGAATATGGAGGGGAAGAAAGTGGGTTCTGGAGTTTAAATCTAGGTCCTGACTGTTCCCTGCCATGTGACCTTGGGCTAGTGGCTTAACCTCTCTGAACCTCACTTGTACCGTGGGGGTGGTGATAACAGTAACCACTTCATCGGTAGTTTTATAGTTTATGTAATTTACATACTACTAAGTGCTGGTTGCTATGCTAAACACTTTAATAACATTAACTAATTTAAAATTGCAGAAGTTAAATAACAGAGCACCTCGAACAGGTCCTGGCACACAGTAAGCCCTCAGTAAACATTTTAACTATCATATTAACTGGGTTTCCTAACCTATTTCCTTCTCACTGAAACCCAAATCAGAATTCCAACTCTGTGTGGTGATTATGAAGCTCAAAGTTGCTCTGTTAAAAGCCATATGAAGATAAATCTGCTTGTAAACATTTGTCAACTCCCCATAAAGATGAAGGGAATGTTGATGGTGATTATAGACGGCTTGAAGTGGGAGCTACCACAGGATGGGGACAGATAGGAAATACTCTGTGTGGGTTTGCTATCTGCCTTTGTGTCTGGGTTTTTCTCCCTGTTCTTGGCCAAAGCATTCAGGCCTTGGAAGTCCCCTGAGATGTGAATTCTCAGGATTTCCCAGGAACTAATTAGGCCTCGGTTCCACTACAGGTAGCTTCGCAGTGTGGGGGGGCCTGTTCTCCACCATCGACTGTGGCCTGGTGCGGCTTCGGGGCAAGGAGGATCCCTGGAACTCTATCACCAGTGGAGCATTGACCGGGGCTGTGCTGGCTGCCCGCAGTGAGTGACCCCTGGCCCTGGCCCCAGCCCCTTCCACCCTGTTCTGCCTGCTCTCACCTCTGTTTCTCTGCCTCCAACTCCCCCAGGTGGCCCACTGGCCATGGTGGGCTCAGCAATGATGGGGGGCATCCTGTTGGCCCTCATTGAGGGCGTTGGCATCCTCCTCACTCGCTACACAGCCCAGCAGTTCCGAAATGGTGAGTAACTGGTGGTCGGGGGAGTGGGAAATACTCCACCTGGCCTCTTCCACTCATCCTTACCCAAGTCTCCCTTCTCCAGCGCCCCCATTCCTGGAGGACCCCAGCCAGCTGCCCCCTAAGGATGGCACCCCGGCCCCAGGCTACCCCAGCTATCAGCAGTACCACTGAGGAAGCCACTGCCACCATGGGAGCTACTTCTCGGTTCCCTCCCCGATGGTCTACCTCGAAGGGAGGGCTGGCTCCCAGTTAGCCCTGGGACCCTCCAGAGAGGGTTTCTACTCTGCTCCCTAGTCCCAGGGTGGGGGTGGGGCACCCCAGCTGCCCTGACAGATGGGTCCCCTTTTTCTCTCTCAGGGCACCCCAGCCCCACACTCACATGTACGAAGTTCTCACCCCAGCTCCTTTGTGTGGCACCCTGATGAGTATTTAAAGCCCGTTTTGAAATGCCTATGTGTGGACTCCTTGAACTGCCTATGGGGCCCCTCCTTAGGATGAGGGGCAGAGCCTGCTTCAGGGACTTGGAAGCCCTAGGACTTGGAGGCCCACAGCAAGTGGGCTCTAGTAAATGTCTATGGGATGGATGAGCAGGAAGGGAGAATGAAGATGTGAATTAGGGACATGAATAAGGTTGTCTGGGGCCTGGTGATGGGTCCTAGCTGTCAGAGGAACAAGCTTGGGAAAGAAGTGAATGAACACCAGGATTGCTGGGGATGGGGGTGGTTCTGGACGTTGCACCCCTGACCCCATCCCCCCCCACACACTCCAATATCCCTGACTCCTGGTCCACAAGCCCCCGTCACCGAGGCTGGGAAATGTGGCCTCACAGGAGTCCCTTCTTTCTGGACACTCAGCACGGCATTTGTGAAGGTGATTCCCCTCCCTCCATGTGGCCTCAGGGTGGATCTGGGATGGAAGAAGGGGGCCAGGAGACCTAGCTCCTTCAAAGAAGGTGCCCTGGATCAGCCTCCCCTTCTGTCACAGAGCTGCTTTTCTGCTTTCCTCTGCTCAGTGTGGTCAAGTGTTTTTATTTGTTGTTTTGAGACGGAGTCTTGCTCTGTCACCCAGGCTGGAGTGCAGTGGCGTGATCTCGGCTCACTGCAACCTCCACCTCCCGGGTTCAAGTGATCTCCTGCTTCAGCCTCCTGAGTAGTTGGGATTACAGGCGTCCACCACCACACCCAGCTAACTTTTTGTATTTTTAGTAGAGACGAGGTTTCACCATGTTAGCCAGGCTGGTTTCGAACTCCTGATCTCAAGTGATCCGCCCACCTCGGCCTCTCAAAGTGCTAGGATTACAGGCGTGAGCCACCACGCTCGGCCAATTTTTGTATTTTCAGTAGAGACGGGGTTTTACCATGTTGGCCAGGCTGGTCTCAAACTCCTGACCTCAGGTGATCTGCCCGCCTCGGCCTCCCAAAGTGCTGGGATTACAGGCGTGAGCCACCGCACCCGGCCAGGTCTAGTGTTTTTAAAGGGTAACCACAAAATAACCAGAAATGAGTTTTCATTTTGGGATGGGGGAGCTAGGAGATTTTTCTGGGTGGACATACCCCCGCCCCCAAGCTGTGACTTCTGCGAAAAGCTCTACCTGGGTGGGGCAAACATTGCCTACACTGGGGTGCAGAAGCCACGGGGAGGCTCAAAAGCTTCCTGAGGAGTTAAGGGTTTCCTCTGCACAAACTGCTCCAGTGGCGAATACCTCGAGAGACATGAAAAACGTCCCTTTCTTGCAAGCCAGTCCCTTACAAAACTGGTCCGTGGGAATGTAAAGAGTCCTCAGCGGTGACAGCTGTGATACCTGTTTGAGCGACTCAATGCCGGGCAGGGCGCAGCCACGCCACTGAGGGACCAGGGAGGGCAGCGCGGGGCCCGGGCTTAGGCCTCGAACCCGCATCTCCACAAGTACCGCGGCGGCAGCACCAGGCATGCATCTTTGAGATCGGAGCGCCAGTCAGACCCAGGGTGTTCCTTGTGTCCTGGGGCCAATACCTCCTTTAGTCCCGCCCCTTCTGGATCTTTGGGCCGGCCCTGCCCCCTGCAGGCCTTCACTTGCGTGGATCTAGCGCCGCCCCTGGAGAGTAGCTCCTGGAGGCCCTTCCCTTCCGAGAGTCCTGGAGGCTCCACGCTCCCTTGGTCTCCGGCCCTGCCCCTCGGACCCGCCCTGGTCGTTTCGCTCAACACCGTCCCCTGAGCCCGCGGCGGGCCCCACCTCCTTCCTACAACCACCCGGCTCCTCCGAGGCTGCGCCTCTCCACGCTCCCCGAGACCCGCAGGCTCCCGCCCTCGGCAGCCTCTGGACCCACCTCCTCCCACCGCCAGGCCCCGCCCCTCTCCCGCGCGCGGGTCCAGCTGCGCAGTCTCCAGGCTGCGGGCGGCCGGACCCACCCGCGGGGCCTAGGAGCGGTCCTTCTGCGTGCCCTCGGCCCGGGTGGCTTGACCGCTTGCGGCGACGTTCGGGGCCTCCTCCGGCCGCTGGCTGGGGCGGGGCTGGGGGGCCGGAGTCACCTGGAGTGGGGCGGGAGCAGCACCACGTTTAGAAGCGAGGGAGCGGGCTGGGAAACCGAGGCTAGGGGCCTCGCGTGAGAGTTGCAGGGAGGCTGGGGACGGTGCCGGGGGAGGGGGGACTCCGTGGAGGCCTCGCGTCAACGGCATCACCCAGGCTCACCAGGCCCGGAGCTGGGGCTGGGGCGCCCTGGGTCGTCCGCGGCTCGCGAGCTGGGGCGCGCGGCTGGGGCGAGCCCTGAGGCCCCGCCCTCTGACTGACCTAGGCCCGGGGCCGGCGGCCTCTGTTCCTATAAGAAGGAAATACGGGGTGAGACCCTTGGTTGTTTCGACGAGAAGAGACTACAGAGACCAAGGGAAGACGGGGGATGGAGAGATAAAGAGAGGGAGAGAAATAGAAACAGACATGCACGTAGGGAGGTAGAGACCGACAGAGAGGTGGAAAGAGATGGAGGCAGAGAGACACGCAAGAGATCAATGAAAAGAGACAGAGAGGAGGAGAGACGCTAAGAAATAGAAGAAGCTGCGTGAGGGTCAGAAACGCAGGCAGGTAGAGGGGAATACCACGTCAGATGCAGGCAAACACAGGAGACATAGTGAGGAGCGGGTGAGCTGTGAGCTGGCTTCAGGCCGGGCCTCCTCCGGCTGCCGCCCACCCACACCCTAGCTGCGGGGCCTCAGGGGACAGATGCCTTACCTGCATCCTCTTGGTGTCTCTCTCTGGCACTCTCCCAGTCTCGTCGCTCATTTAATCCCATCTGCTTCCAGCAAGGACTTCAGCGGCTCTGTCTCAGGTTCCTCCTCCTGTTTCTTCCTGCTTCCTCCCTGCCTAAGCCCTTAGTCTCTGCCTCTATCTGTCTTGATCTCTCAGCTCCGCATCCTCATTTTTTTTGCTTTGGTCTCCCTGGCTGGTGCTTTCACAGTGTGACCCCGGTGGCCCTTGAGTTTGCCACCCACCTGTCTGCATGGGGAGAAGGGAAATAGTCTGTGGGCAAGAGGGGTTAAGGAGGTGGGTGGGATCAGAGAAGAGCAAGGGGGTCCAGCCCTGACAGGTGTGGGATCACTTTACTCACTTCCTCAGGGACAGACCCCGACAGGTCAGGGAGAAAGAGACAGACATGGGGGAATCAAAGGGACAGAAAGAGAATAGGGAGAAAGACATAGAAAGAGAAGCCAGAGTTTACGGAGAGATCAAAGGAGAGAGAGATGCAGAAAAAGATACCAAGAGGCCGGGCGTGGTGGCTCATGCCTGTAATCCCAGCGCTTTGGGAGGCCGAGGTGGGTGGATCACCTGAGGTCAGGAGTTCGAGACCAGCCTGACCAACAAGGTGAAACCCCGTCTCTACTAAAAATACAAAAGTTAGCTGGGCATGGTGGCACATGCCTGTAGTCCCAGATACTCGGGAGGCTGAGACAGGAGAATTGCTTGAACCCGGGAGACAGAGGTTGCAGATAACTGCACTCCAGCCTGGGTGACTGAACGAGACCCTGTCTTAAAAAGAAAAAAAAAAAGTGAGAAGGAGGGGCCAGGTGCAGTGGCTTATGCCTGTAATCCCAGAACTTGTGGAGGCCGAAGTGGGCAGGTCACTTGAGGTCAGGAGTTTGAGACCAGCCTGGCCAACATGGTGAAACCCCGTCTCTACTAAAAATACAAAAATTAGCCAAGCACGGTGACGGGCGCCTGTAATCCCAGCTACTTGCACGGTTGAGGCAGGAGAATTGCTTGAACCCGGGAGGCGGAGGTTATAGTGAGCCGAGATCGCGCCACTGCACTTCAGCCTGGGAGCCAGAGTGAGAATCCGTCCAAAAAAAAAAGTGAGAAGGAGAAAGACACATTGGCAAAGACACAAGGCAGAGGTAACAGGGAAAAAAGAAAAACAGGAGCAGAGAGAGAATGAGATTGAGAAGGTAAAACGGATACAGAGGAGCAAGAGATGGAGTCAATGCAGAGGCAGGAGGAGCAAAAGGGAGACGGAAGAGAGGTGCACGCACTTCACCTTGAGTCGGGCTGCTGGTCTCAGTGTTCCTATTTCCGCTGCTCTCTTAGTGGCATTTGGAGAACAGGGCTTGACAGGCAGGGCAGCTCTGACACCCCTGACCCCAACCTAGGGGCAGACCTTTAGAGATTGATGCTCTGACGTTAAAAAATGCGAACCATCCCGGTGGGCCCATTTAGGACCACGTCTGAGGTGACACAAAACTGCCTTTTGTTGTCCTCATTTGCACTTGAGGAAACTGAAACACAAAAAGGCGAAGCAACTTCCCATGACTACACTGCCTCAGAGGGGCAAGGCTGGGACTAAAATCCACGGCCGGGCGCAGTGGCTCGCACCTGTAATCCCAGCACTTTGGGAGGCCAAGACGGGAGGATTGCTTGAGGCCAGGAGTTCAAAATCCTTATTTACAGCACTTAGAGTTTCAGAGATGTCATTTACAACATAGACAACATATTCTCAATTATAACTACAGGTGTCATTTGAAGGTTTTATGAGCCTTCTTTGCTAAAGTAATAATTTCAAGGACAAACATTCCTCTTTTTGCTTTTATTATTTTATTTATTTAAGACAGTTTTTCTCTCTGTTCCCTGGGCTGGAGTGCAGTGGCACAATCTCGGCTCACTGCAACCTCTGCCTCCTGGGTTCAAGCGATTCTCGTGCCTCAGCCTCACGAGTAGCTGAGATTACAGGCACATCCCACCATGCCCAGCTAATTTTTGTATTTTTGGTAGAGATGGGGTTTCACCATGTTGGCCAGGCTGGTCTCGAACTCATGACCTCAAGTGATCCGCCCGCCTTGGTCTCCCAAAGTGCTGGGATTACAAGTGTGAGCCACTACACCTGGCCTATTATTATTATTATTATTATTATTTTATTATTTTCGAGACAGAGTCTTGCTCTGTCACCCAGGCTGGAGTACAGTGGCGTGATCTCAGCTCACTGCAAACTCCACCTCCTGGGTTCAAGCAATTCTCCTGCCTCAGCCTCCCAGGTAGCTGGGCTTACAGGCACACACCACCATGCCCAGCTAATTTTTGTATTATTTTTTTTTTTTAGTAGAGATGGGGTTTCACCATGTTGGCCAGGCTGGTCTAAAACTCCTGACCTCAGGTGATCCACCTGCCTCGGCCTCCCAAAGTGATGGGATTGCAGATGTGAGCCACTGTGCCTGGCCCCAGCCTATTATTTTTAATAGACACATAATAATTGTAAATATTTATGGGGTACAGTGTGACTTTTTCATTTTGAGGCAGGATCTCACTTTGTCGCCTGGGCTGGAGTGCAGTGGCACCATCATAGCTCACTGCACCCTCAACCTCCTGGGTTCAAGCGATCCTCCTGCCTCAGCCTCCCAAGTAGGTGGTACTACAGGCATGCACCACCATGCCTGGATAATTTTTTATTTATTTTATTTTATTTTATGTTATTTTATTTTATTTGAGATGGAGTCTTGCTCTGTCACCCAGGCTGGAGTGCAGTGGCGCAATCTCAGCTCACTGCAAGCTCCGCCTCCCGGGTTCACGCCTTTCTCCTGCCTCAGCCTCCCGAGTAGCTGCGACTACAGGCGCCCGGCACCACGCCCAGCTAATTTTTTTGTATTTTTATTAGAGACGGGGTTTCACTGTGTTACCCAGGATGGTCTCAATCTCCTGACCTCGTGATCCGCCCGCCTCGGCCTCCCAAAGTGCTGGGATTACAGGCGTGAGCCACCACGCCCGGCCTTTATTTTTTATTGAAGACAAGATCTCACCATGTTTCACGGGCTGCTCTTGAACTCCTGGGCTCAAGTGATCCTCCCAAAGCGCTGGGATTACAGGCAAGAGCAGCCTGGCCTGGCCTATAGCTGTACTTTTGTATTTGTTAACCAACCTTTTGCTCTCCCCACTGTGGACAGACTTGACTTAATGGAGATGGCGTTGGTAACGATCCTGGGCATTTCAGAGGGTTCTGTAGTTGTACAGGGACTCAAGACAGACATTCTTGTCAAAGTTTCTCAATTCAACACTTCACCAAATCAGATGGTGTAAACAAACTTTATGATGGAGATTGGACTCTCTCCCCCCACAGCCAAAAGGAAACTTAGATTCCTTTAGTTAATTATAAAGACAATCATTATTAAGGCTAGTGTCTGGATCTGGAATTTAATTAGGTGAACATTAAAAAGAAAATACATTTAGGCCTATGGAGCTAACTTTTTATTGCAAAATACAAAGGATAGTCAATTTTCTTTAAATTTCAGTGAAATAATGAGCATGTTATGTTTTCCATCTACAAAATCAAAGGATTCCTTTAGGATCTGTCCCCCACTTAGCCCCCTTTCAGTTCAAACAGGCTTTCCTTCTTTCGTTCTTTTTGAGACAAGGTCTCATTCTGTCACCCAGGCTGAAGTGTAGTGGTGCCATCTCAGCTCACTGCAGCCTCAACCTCCTGGGCTCAAGTGATTCTCCTGCCTCAGCCTCCCGAGTAACTGGGACCACAGGCGTGAGCCACCACATCCAGCTAATTTTTATACTTTTTTGTAGAGATGGGGTTTTGCCATGTTGCCCAGGCTGGTCTTGAACTCTGGGGCTCGAATGATCTGCCTGCCTTGGCCTCCCAAAGTGCTGGGGTTACAGGCATGAGCCACTGTGCCCGGCCAACACAGGCATCTTCTGAGATGTGCCAGATACTATGTGGTCCTTGGATGTTGACTCATGTATGATGCTCCTGCTTTATCCCTCAAACTGACTATGGGGTACTTCCAGGTCTAACTCTCGGTTAAATCTGTATCCCCTAGAGGCATAGGAAATATTTGCTTGCTCTTCCCAGCCATAACGGGAGTGCAGTGGTTTTGTGGGGCCCATCTGCCTAGACCGACATACAGATATGTCTACCCAAAAAGACATAGTCAGCTTCAAACACATATGGTTGACAAAGGATGAATAGCCACAATACAAGGGGACTTCAAAAAGTGTGGAAAAATGAAATGACAATTGCCTTTGTTTGATGAGAGGAGTAGGCAGGAGCATTGTTGTGGTGGAGAAAGATTTTCTGGTGAAGCTTTCCCAGGTGTTTTTCTGCTAAAGCTTTGGTTTTCTCAAAACACTCAGAATACATAACTTTTTTTTTTTTTTTTTGAGACAGAGTCTCGCTCTGTCGCCCAGGCTCAAGTGCAGTGGCTCGATCTCGGCTCACTGTAACCTCTACCTCCCAGGTTCACGCCATTCTCCTGCCTTAGCCTCCCAAGTAGCTGGGACTACAGGCACCCGCCACCACGCCTGGCTAATTTTTTGTATTTTTGGTAGAGATGGGGTTTCACCATGTTAGCCAGGATGGTCTCGATCTCCTGACCTCGTGATCCGCTTGCCTTGGCCTCCCAAAGTGCTGGGATTACAGGCGTGAGCCACCGCGCCCGGCCCTTTTTTTTTGGAGACGGAGTCTTGCTCTGTTGCCCAGGCTGGAGTGCAATGGCGTGATCTCTGCTCACTGCAAGCTCCACCTCCCGAGTTCATGCCATTCTCTTGCCTCAGCCTCCTGAGTAGCTGGGACTACAGGTGCCTGCCACCACGCCCGGCTAATTTTTTTGTATTTTTAGTAGAGACAGGGTTTCACCATGTTAGCCAGGATGGTCTCGATCTCCTGACCTCGTGATCTGCTCGCCTTGGCCTCCCAAAATGCTGGGATTACAGGTGTGAGCCACTGCGCCCGGCCCTTTTTTTTTTTTTTTCAGATGGAGTGTCGCTTTTATTGCCCAGGCTGGAGTACAGTGGCACCATCTCGGCTCACTGTGACCTCCACCTCCTGGGTTCAAGTAATTCTCGTGCCTCAGCCTCCCGAGTAGCTGGGATTAGAGGCACCCACCACCATGCCCAGCTAATTTTTGTATTTTTAGTAGAGACGAGGTTTCTCCATGTTGGCCAGGCTGGTCTCCAACGCCTGACCTCAAGTGATCCGTCCGTCGGCCTTGGCCTCCCAAAGTGCTGGGATTACAGGCGTGAGCCACCACGCCCAGCCATAATACATAACTGATTAATCCCCTGGCCAGGCACGGTGGCTCACGCCTGTAATCCCAACACTTTGGGAGGCCAAGGCGGGCGAATCACGAGGTCAAGAAATCCAGACCATCCTGGCCAACATGGCGAAAACCCGTCTCTACTAAAAATACAAAAATTAGACGGGCGTGGCTGGGCGGGGTGGCTCACGCCTGTAATCCCAGCACTTTGGGAGGCTGAGGCGGGCGGATCACGAGGTCAGGAGATCGAGACCATCCTGGCTAACACGGTGAAACCATGTCTCTACTAAAAATACAAAAAATTAGACGGGCATGGTGGCAGGCGCCTGTAGTCCCAGCTACTCGGGAGGCTGAGGCAGGAGAATGGCGTAAACCCGGGAGGCGGAGCTTGCAGTGAGCAGAGATCACGCCATTGCGCTCCAGCCTGGGCGACAGAGCGAGACTCCGTCGCAAAAAAAAAAAAAAAACAAAATTAGACGGGCATGGTGCCGGGTGCCTGTAGTCCCAGTTACTCAGGAGGCTAAGGCAGGAGAATGGCTTGAACCCGGGAGGCGGAGGTTGCAGTGAGCCGACATCACGCCATTGCACTCCAGCCGGGGCGACAGAGTGAGACTCCATCTCAAAAAAAAAAAAAAATAATAAAATCCCCTACCTGCTCCTTTTCTCTTGCAACCTGTGGATGACCACACCCTCCCTCTTTCCCCGCCAGCCCGCTTTTCCCATTTAAATATTGAAGCCCTCAAAATCATCTTTGGAGAAAGGCACAGGCACAGATGTGTGTCCAGGGCATTGTCCTTAACCTTGGCAAAGTAAACTTTTTTTTTTTTTTTTTGAGATAGAGTCTCTCTCTGTCACCCAGGCTGGAGTGCAGTGGCGAGATCTTGGCTCACTGCAACCTCTGCCTCCCGGGTTCAGGCGATCCTCATGCCTTAGCCTTTCAAGTAGCTGGGATTACAGGCATGTGCCACCACACCTGGCTAGTTTTTTCGTTGTTGTTAGTAGACATGCAGTTTCACTATATTGGCCAGGCTGGTCTCGAACTCCTGTCCTCAAGTGATCCGCCTAGCTCGGCCTCCCAAAGTACTGGGATTACAGGCGTGAGCCACCTCACCCGGCCAACCTTGGCAAAGTAAACTTCAAAACTGATTGAGACCTGTCTGGGATACTTTTTGGTTCACACCCTCTTAGGAGGCTGCCCCTTACCTGGTCCTTTGGCTAAGGGGAAGAGGTTTCCCCAGGTCTCTGGGTCTTTTATTTCTTTGTTTAGAGATGAGGGTCTCACTATGTTGCCCAGGTTAGATTTAAACTCCTGGGCTCAAGCGATCCTCCTGCCTCAGCCTCCTGGATAGCTGGGACTACAAGCACGCACCACTGTGCCCGCCAGGCTTTCCTGAGTCTTTTTTTTCTGCACCGCTTGGTGTTCTGCGTTGCTGCTTTCTCCAGCACCTGGTCTTGAATGCATAAGAAAACCCACGGGGCTCAGCACCATGTCATTTCTCGATTCCGAATCCCTAGCCATCTGCTGGCTCTTCTGTACCTTGCAGTCTTCTCAAGCTTGTTTTCTATGTAACATCCATTGGTTTCAGCTGTACTTTGTAGGCGAAACAGGGAGGAGTGTATCCACTCCGTCTTTTCCAGGAACTGTGGCAGGTCAGGTCTCCATAAGCCCTTTGTTGTAATGATGAGTGTATAAGTCAAACATTAAAGCAGGAGCAAAAAATGAATACTGACCTGGGAAAACTGGTGCCTGAGTGCCAGAGCTGAAATGCAAAAACAAACCATGAAAACCCCTCCTGGATTTCTCAATCTCAAAACCTGATAGAGTAATAAAAGCATTCCTACACATGCGACCCCTACCAAAACCCATTTAGGATTAAGATTAAGAAACTTGGCCAGCCACGATGGCTCATGTCTGTAATCCCAGCACTTTGGGAGGCCAAGGTGGGCGGATCACGAGGTCAGGAGTTCGAGACCAGCCTGACCAACATGGTGAAACCCCATCTCTACCAAAAAATACAAAAATTAGCCAGGCGTGGTGGCATGTGCCTGTAGTCCTAGCTACTCAGGAGGCTGAGGCAGAAGAATCTCTTGAACCCGGGAGGCAGAGGTTGTAGTGAGCCGAGATCACGCCATTGCACTCCAGCCTGGGTGAGAGAGCGAGACTCCGTCTCAAAAAAAAAAAAAAAGAAAAAGAAAAAGAAATAAAGTTTCCTACCTTCAGACCCCTAGTTAAGAGGATTAGATGGCCAGGTGAGGTGGCTCACGCCTGTAATCCCAACTCTTTGGGAGGCTGAGGTGGGTGGATCACTTGAGCCTAGGAGGAGTTCGAGACCACCCTCGGCAACATTGGGAGACTGCATCTCTACAAAAAATTTAAAAATCAATTGGGCATAGTGGCGCTGTTCTGTAGTCCCAGCTACTCAGGAGGATGAGGTGGGAGGAATGCTTGAACCGGGGAGGTCTAGACTGCACTGAGCTGAGATCATACCACTGCAGTCCAGCCTAGGCGACAGAACAAGACCCTGTCTCAAAAAAAAAAAAGACAAAAAACAAAAAAACCATTAGATTAAGAAACACTCCTGCACATAGGCATAGAGTTTGAATTGTATACATAAGCTAACAAAACACCTAACTTTGGGTGGGTCTGGTGAGTTACTCCGACCTTCTCTCTGTAGCCAGCTGCAGAAAAAAACTCCCTTCTCTTCTAGTCTGTCTGCTTCTTATTATTGGACCACAAGAACAAGCAGGTCCATCTGGGAACAGAACCAGAAGACTGGGTATTGGCGTTTATCAAATACTGGGGTGGGCCGGGTACAGTGGTCACGCCTGTAATCCCACCACTTTGGGAGACCAAGGCGGGCAGATCACTTAAAGTCAGGAGTTCAAGACCAGCCTAACCACCATGGTGAAACCGTCTCTACTAAAAATACAAAAATTAGCTGGGCATGGTGGTGCACGCCTGTAGTTACAGCTACTTGGGAGTCTGAGGCAGGAGAATTGCTTGAACTTGGGAAGTGGAAGCTGCAGTGAGCCCAGATTGCGCCACTGCACTCCAGCCTGGGCGACAGAGAGAGACTCTGTCTCAAAAAAAAAAGAAAACAAAAAATAAAAAACTGGTTTTGTTTGTTTGTTTTTTAGATGGAGTTTTGCGCTTGTTGCCCAAGCTGGATTGCAATGGCGTGATCTTGGTTCACTGCAACCTCTGCCTCCTGGGTTCAAGCGATTCTCCTGCCTCAGCCTCCTGAGTAGCTGGGATTGCAGGTGCCCGCTACCACGCCCGGCTAATTTTTTTGTATGTTTAGTAGAGGCGGGGTTTCACCATGTTGGCCAGGCTGGTCTCAAACTCCTGTCCTCAAGTGATCCACCTGCCTCGGCCTCCCAAAGTGCTGGGATTACAGGCGTGAGCCACCACACCTGGCCACTGGGTTGTTTTTGTTTTCTCATCAATTGATATGATCATATGCTTTTTTTTTTTAACCTGTCGTGGTGGATGACATTGATGAGTATCAAAAACTGAACCAGCCTTTCATACCTGGAACAAATCCTACTTGGTCATGGTGTATAATTCCTTTAAAACATTCCTGGATTTGATTTCCTAATATTTTGTTGAGGGTTTTTGTGCCTAAATTCACAAGAGATATCAGTTTGTAGCTTTCCTTTTGTGTGTATGCTTTTTTCCCTGGTTTTGGTAGCAAGGTAAAACTGGCCTCATACAATGAGTTGGGAGGTGTTCCCTTTGCTTCTATTATCCGGAAGACAGTCTACAAAATTGACACTAATTTCGCTTTAAGTGTTAGGAGGAATTCTCCAGTGAAAACATCTGGGCCTCAAGATTTCTTTTCTGAGGGCTAAATAATAAATTTAAATTTTTAATGGTTGTAGAATTATTCAGATCGCCTATTTTATATTGCTTGAGTTTGGTCGTTTGTGCTTTTGGAGTAATTGGTCCATTTCTTCTAAGTTGTTGAATTTATGAGAATAGAGTTCTTCTTCATGGAACTTGCAGTATCCTTTCAGTGACTGCAAAATCTGTAGTGACATCCCCTCTTTCATTCCTAATATTGATGATTTGTATCTTCTCTCTTTATCTTTGCCAGTCTTGCTACAAGTTTTTCAATTGTATTGATCTTTTCAAAGATCCAAGTTTTTGTTTCATTGATTGTTTTCTCTGCTGTTTTTCTGTTTTTAATTGTATTGATTTCTGTTCTTATCTTTATTATTTCCTGCCTTCTGCTTCCTTGAGGTTCCTTTGCTCTTCTTTTTCTAGTTTCTTGAAGTAGGAACTTAGATTATTGATTTGAGACCTTTCCTCTTTTCTAATGTAAGTACCTAGTTCTATAAATTTCCATCTCAACACTACACTCATGCATTGCACATATTTTGACAGGTGTATTTTCATTTTTTCCAGTTCTGTGTATTTATAAAATTTCCTTTTGACTTACTTTGTGACCCATGGGTTATTGAGAAGCATGTTTTTAAATAAGTGTTTAGGGGGTTTTCCTGTTGTCTTTCTGTTATGATTTCTAATTTGATTCTATATAATCAGAGAAGATACTCCCTCTGATTTTAGTTTTTTTAAATTTGTTGAGGTTTGTTTTATGGCCCAGGTAATGTTCTATCTTGCTGAACGTTCCACAGGCACTCAAAAACAACATGTATTCTGTTGTTGGGTTGAATGTTCTATAATGTCATTTCAATACTGTTTTTTTGTTTTTTATTTTTTGACACAGAATCTTGCTCTGTCGCCCAGGCTGGAGTACAGTGATGTGATCTTGGTTCACTGCAACCTCTGCCTCCTGAGTTCAAGCGATTCTCCTGCCCCAGCCTCCCAAGTAGCTGGGACTACAGGTGTGTGCCACCACACCTGGCTAATTTTTGTATTTTTAGTAGAGACAGGGTTTTGCCATGTTGGCCAGGCTGGTCTCGAACTCCTGACCTCAGATGACCCACCCACCTTGGCCTCTCAAAGTGCTGGGATTACGAGCGTGAGCCACCAAGCCTGGCCTTGTTACTGTTGATTGATGGTGTTGTTTAGTTCTTCTTTATCATTGCTTGAATTTCTCTCTAGTAATTCCATTTGTTGCAGGGGTGGTGTTGATATCCTCAATTATAATTGTGGATTTGTCCATTTCTCCTTTCAGCCTGATCATTTTTTCTTCGTGTAATTTGAAATGATCTTGTTTAGTGCATGCACATTTAGGATTGCTATATCTCTTTGGTGGATTAATGTGTTTTTTTTGAGACAGAGCCTCGCACTGTTGCCCAGACTGGAATGCAGTGGCACGATCTCCGTTCACTACAACCTCCACCTCCTGGGTTCAAGCGATTCTCCTGCCTCAGCCTCTTGAGTAGCTGGGACTACAGGCGCATGCCACTACGCCCGGCTAATTTTTTGTATTTTTAGTAGAGGGGGGTTTCACCATGTTGACCAGGATGGTCTCGATCTCCTGACCTCGTGATCCACCAGCCTTGGCCTCCCAAAGTGCTGGGATTACAGACGTGAGCCACCACACCCGGCCCACGTTTTCTTTATTCACACATTGTTGGATAGAGGTTGATTTCCTATCTTGGCTATTGTGAATAATGATATCATGAACATAAGAGTGCAGATATTATTTTAACATATTGATTTCTTTTTTCTTTTTTTTGAGACAGAGTTTCACTCATGTTGCCCAGGCTTCAGTGCAACGATGTGATTTCAGCCCACTGCACCCTCTGCCTCCCGGGTTCAAGCTATTCTCCTGCCTCAGCCTCCCGAGTAGCTGGGATTACAGGCATGTGCCACTAAGCCCGGCTAATTTTTTTTGTATTTTTAGTAGAGATGGGGTTTCTCCATGTTGGTCAGGCTGGTCTCGAACTCCTGACCTCAGGTGATCTGCCCGCCTCGGACTCCCAAAGTGCTAGGATTATCTTTCATCTTTTAAAAAAATGTATTTTATTTTTATTTTAGAGACAGGTGTCTCACTGTGTTGCCCAGGCTGGCATAGAACTCTTGGGCTCAAGTCATCCTCCCAACTCAGCCTCCCTAGTAGCTGATACTAAAGGCATCCACTGCTGTGCCCAACTTTGTCTTTTGGTTTTAATTTATTTTTATTTATTTTATTTTATTTTTGAGACAGGGTCTTGCTCTGTTGCCCAGGCTGGAGCATAGCGGCGCGATCTTGGCTCACTGCAGCCTCTGCCTCCTGGGTTCAAGCGATTCTCCTGTCTCAGCCTCCCTAGTAGCTGGGACTACAAGCACACATCACCATGCCTGGCTAATTTTTGTATTTTTAGTAGAGACAGGGTTTCACCATGTTGGCCAGTCTCAAACTCCTGACCTCAAGTGATCTGCCCGCCTCGGCCTCCCAAAGTGCTGGGATTACAGATGTGAGCCACCACACCCAGCCTCTTCATCTTTTTATTTGAGATGGAATCTTGCTCTGTCACCCAGGCTGGAGTGCAGTGACGCAATCTTGGCTCACTGCAACCTCTGCCTCCCGGGTTCGAGCAATTCTCCTGCCTCAGCCTCTTGAGTAGCTGGGATTACAGGAGTGTGCCACCACGCCTAGCTAATTTTTCTATTTTTAGTCGAGATGGGGTTTCACCATGTTGGCCAGGCTGGTCTCTAACTCCTGACCTCGTGATCTCCCCACCTCAGTCTCCCAAAGTGCTGGGATTACAGGTGTAAGCCACAGCGCCTGGCCCTCATTGTGGTTTAAATTAGTATATTTTACTATTGTTTTCTGTTTGTTCCCTCTGATTCTCATTCCTTTGTTTCTCTCCCTTTGCCTTCCTTGGGGTGGGTACATGACCATTGTTTTTAGAATTCCATTTTGACTTATTTATATAATTTTTGAGCATATCACCGTTATGATTTGAATGTTTTTGTCCCTTCCAAAAATTCATGTCTAAACTTGATCCCCAATGCAGCAGTGTTGGGAGGTGGGGTCTTTTGGGATGTGTTTAGGTCAAGAGGACTCTGCCCTTATGAACAGATTAATGCTGTTAGAATAGGGCTTGAAGGAGGGAATGCCTCCCTTTTTGCCCTTTCACCTTTTTTGCCACGTGAGGACACAGTGTTCCCCCGCTCCAGAGGATGCAGCATTCAAGGCACTGTCTTAGAAGCAGAGAGCAGCCCTTCCCAGATGCCAAACCTGTTGGTGACTTGATCTTGGACTTCCCAGCCTCCAGAACTGTGTGAAATAAATGTGTTTTATAAATTATCCAGTCTCAGGTATTCTGTTACAGCAGCACAGAATGTACTACGACAATCACTTTGTATGGTCTTCTTAGTGATTGCTCTAGGTATTACAACCTGCACGTGTAACTTATCACAGTCCACCAATGTCAATGTTTTACTACTGTAATTGACGTGGAGGAATTTACTTCCCTTTAGATCCCTTTACCTATCCTATTTTCAAAATGTAATTGTCCTAAGTGTTCTCTCTATATACATTGAAAACCGTATCAAATGTTGTTACAATGTTTTGCTTCAACCATCAAATATGGTTTAAAAACCTCATGAGAAAATGAAAAAGCTCATGAGGAGAAGAGTATTTACTCCTATTTTAACCCATTTTGTTGTTCTCTTTTCCTTTCTGAAGTTCCACACCTTCGTCTGTTATTTCACTTCTGTTTGAAGAGCTTCCTTTCACCTTTCTTTAACAGCAGATGTCCTGGAAACAAATTTGCTATGGACTGAATTTTGTCTCCCCCAAAATTCATGTGTTGAAGCCTTCACCCCCCATGTGACAGTATTTGGATGTGGGATTTTGGGGAAGTAATTGGGTTTAGATGAGGTCATCAGGGGCCCTTGTGATGGGACAAGTGCCCTTATAAGAGACACCAGAGAGCTTGTTTCCCCTACCCTTCTCTCTCCTCCCACCATGGAAGGACACAGCCAGGAGGCAGCCCTCTGCAAGCTGCTAAGAGAGCCCTTTCCGGAAACCAGATCAGCCAGCATCTTGACTGAGGACTTCCCAGCCTCCCGAACTGTGAGAAATGAATTCATGTTGTTCAAGCCACCCAGTCTATGGTATTTCATCATGGTAGCCTGAACTGATTAACACAGACTTGTTTTAGTTTTCCTTCGCCTGAGAATGTCTTTATTTCCCTCTCATTCCTGAAAGAGACTTTCCCCAATGTAGGACTCTCAGTTGACAGTTCTTTCAGTACTTGAAGAATATCATGCCACTTCCTTTTAGTTTCCCTAGTTTCAGATGAAAACACCACTGTCATTCTAATCAGTGTCCCCTATGCCTCATGTGTCATTTCTCTCTAGCTGCTTTCAAGGGTTTTCCTTTGTTTTTAGTGTTTAGAGGTTAAATGATGACATATGGGCGTGGGTTTCGTTTGGTTTATCCTACTGGGGTTTGCACAACTTCAATCCGTAGGTTTATGTCCTTTGCCCAATTTGGGAAGCTTTCAGCCATTATTTCTTTAAATATGTTTTCTTCACTACTATTTCTCCTCTTCTTGCAGAAGTCCAGTGACATAAATCTTAGATCTTTGTTGTTGCCCTATAGGTCTCTGAGACTCTGTCCATCTTTTTTTCAGTGTATTTTCTCTCTGTTGTTGAGATTGGACACTTTCTACTGTTCTGTCTGCCAGATCACTTCTCTGTCATATTCATTCTGCCATTGAACCTTTTGCATTAGCTTTAATTTTCTGTTTTCTTTTTCTTTTTTTCTTTTTTTTGGATGGAGTTTTGCTCTTTTGCCCAGGCTGGAGTGAAGTGCAGTGGCTCACTGCAGCCTCCGCCTCCTTGGTTCAAGCCATTCTCCTGCCTCAGCCTCCCCAGTAGATGGGATTACAGGTGCCCGCCACCACGCCCGGCTAATTTTTGTATATTTAGTAGAGACAGGGTTTCACCATGTTGGCCAGGCTGGTCTCAAACCCCTGACCTCAGGTGATCCACCCACCTTGGCCTCCCAAAGTGCTGGGATTACAGGCATGAGCCACCGCGCCAGGCCAGTTTTAATTTTCATTTATAATTTTTAGTTCTATCATTTCTATTTGGTTCTTTTTCTATATCATCTATATGTTGATAATTTTTTTTTGAGATGGGGTCTCACTCTGTTGCCCAGGCTGGAGTGCAGTGGTGCAATCACAGCTCACTGCAGCCTCAACCTCCTAGGCTGAATCGATCCTCCTAAGCTCAGCCTCCCAAGTAGCTGGAACCACAAGTGCACACCACCATAACTGGCTACTTTTTGTATTTTCTGTAGAGGTGGGGCTTCACCATATTGCCCAGGCTGGTCTTGAGCTCCTGGACTCAAACGTCCTAACCGCCTTGGCCTCCCAAAGTACTGGGATTACAGTTGTGAGCCATCGCACCTGGCCAAAGAATTTCTATTTCTTCTTTTGTTTCCAGTTTATTTGTAATTCCTTATTGACTCATTTTTATGGTGACTACTCTAAAATCCTTGTCAGATAATTCCAGCATGTGATTCATCTTGCTATTGGCTTCTGTTTTTTGTTTTGTTTTGTTTTGTTTTGAGACAGACTCTTACTCTGTCACCCAGGCTGGAGTACAGTGGCATGATCATGGCTCACTGCAGCCTCAACTTACCCTGGCTCAGGTGATTCTCCCAGCTCAGCCTCCCGAGTAGTAGCTGGGACTACAGGCACGTGCCACCACGCCTGGCTAATTTTTCCATTTTTTTGTAGAGATGAGGTTTCGCCATGTTGCTCAGGCTGGTCTTAAACTCCTGGACTCAAGCGGTTGGCCTGCCTTGGCCTCCCAAAGTTCTGGGATTACAGGCATGAGCCGCCACACCTGGCCCATTCTTAAGCTGAGTTATCTATTTGTAAACTGCTGATTTATTTGGGGGCATTGTCCCCATAAACTTTTCAGAAAGCATCAATGATTTTTCACCATTCTTCCACCCAACCATCACCATAAATTTGATTTTGTTCTTGCTTCAGTATTAGCAGAATTCATGTGGCTCTGGTAGAGGCTCTTTTCAAATTGATGTCTTATCCTTCTTAACCCCTCAAACCAGATCCTGTTCAGACATGTTATAACAAGTTAGTACAGATTTATTTTGGTGTAAAAAAAAATTGAAATTCAAAAAAGAAAAAACAAAAATAAATAAATAAAAGCAAAACAAAAATAGGAAGGAAAAAAGCAAAACAGAAAAACAACAAAAAACTATAAAACATTTGAAATCCATGCATATAGTTTTTTTCACCAAATGCATTTTCCGTGTACTTTTAGATGACCCCTCATATAAAAAGAACTCCTAAAAAATTTTAAGGGAAAGACAAGACGCCCAATCAAAAAGTATGCAAAGGTTATGAACAAACATTTTGCATAAGAGGAAACCCAAATGGCCAATAAATATATAGAAATATGCTCACACTAAATCAGAGAGCTGTATATTAAAGGAACAAAATGTTATTTCCTGTCTATCAGATAGGCAAAAAGATTTTTTTTTTTGAGATGGAGTCTTGCTCTGTTGCCCAGGCTGGAGTGCAGTGGCACTATCTCGGCTCACTGCAATCTCTGCCTCCGGGGTTCAAGCAATTCTCCTGCCTCAGCCTCCTGAGTACCTGGGACTACAGGCATGTGCCACCATGTCCGGCTAATTTTTGTACTTTTTAAGTAGAGACGAGGTTTCACTATGTTGGCCAGGCTGGTCTCGAACTCCTGACCTCAGGTGATCTGCCTGCCTTCGCCTCCCTAAGTGCTGGGATTATAGGTGTGAGCCACCGCTACCCAGCCCCAGATAGAGAAAAAATTTAAAATCTGATAATACCAACTGTTGGTAAGCATTTCCAGAGACAGAATGTCTCATTCACAGCTGATGGGAGCATAATGGATACAACAATTATTTTGGAAAACCGTTTTATAGTTCCTTTTTTCTTTCTTTCTTTTTTTTTTTTTTGAGACAGAGTTTCACTCTTGTCACCCAGGCTGGAGTGCAGTGGCAAGATCTTGGCTCACTGAAACCTCTGTCTCCTGGGTTCAAGTGATTCTCCTGCCTCAGGCTCCCAAGTAGCTGGAATTACAGGCGCTCGCCACAACGCCCAGCTAATGTTTGTATTTTTAGTACAGATGGGATTTTACCATGTTGGCCAGGCTGGTCTCGAACTCCTGACCTCAGGTGATCCACCCGCCTTCGCCTCCCAAAGTGCTGGGATTACAGGCATAAGTCTCCATGCCCAGCCGGCAGTTTCTACTAGAGCTGTATATGTGCACACCCATCACTCAGTGATGCCACTTCTGGGTATATACTAAACAGAATGTGTATAAATGTTTTTTTGTTTTGTTTTGTTTTATCCTTTTTTTTATTATTATACTTTAAGTTTTAGGGTACATGTGCACAACGTGCAGGTTAGTTACATATGTATACATGTGCCATGTTGGTGTGCTGCACCCAGTAACTCGTCATTTAACATTAGGTATATCTCCAAAGGCTATTCCTCCCCCGCCCCCCATCCCACAACAGTCCCTGGTGTGTGATGTTCCCCTTCCTGTGTCCATGTGTTCTCACTGTTCAATTCCCACCTATGAGTGAGAACATGTGGTGTTTGGTTTTTTGTCCTTGCAATAGTTTGCTGAGAATGATGGTTTCCAGCTTCATCCATGTCCCTACAAAGGACATGAACTCATCATTTTTTATGGCTGCATAGTATTCTATGGTGTATATGTGCCACATTTTCTTAATCCAGTCTATCATTTTTGGACATTTGGGTTGGTTCCAATTCTTTGCTATTGTGAATAGTGTCACAATAAACATACATGTGCATGTGTCTTTATAGCAACATGATTTATAATCCTTTGGGTATATACCCAGTAATGGGATGGCTGGGTCAAATGGTATTTCTAGTTCTAGATCCCTGAGGAAGCGCCACACTGACTTCCACAAGGGTTGAACTAGTTTACAGTCCCACCAACAGTGTAAAAGTGTTCCTATTTCTCCACATCCTCTCCAGCACCTGTTGTTTCCTGACTTTTTAATGATCACCATTCTGACTGGTGTGAGATGGTATTTCATTGTGGTTTTGATTTGCATTTCTCTGATGGCCAGTGATGATGAGCATTTTTTCATGTGTCTTTTGGCTACATAAATGTCTTCTTTTGAGAAGTGTCTGTTCATATCCTTTGCCCACTTTTTGTGATGGGGTTTTTTGTTTTTTTCTTGTAAATTTGTTAGAGTTCATTGTAGATTCTGGGTATTAGCCCTTTGTCAGATGAGTAGATTGCAAAAATTTTCTCCCATTCTGTAGGTTGCCTGTTCACTCTGATGGTAGTTTCTTTTGCTGTGCAGAAGCTCTTTAGTTTAATTAGATCCCATTTGTCAATTTTGGCTTTTGTTGCCATTACTTTTGGTGTTTTAGACATGAAGTCCTTGCCCATGCCTATGTCCTGAATGGTATTGCCTAGGTTTTCTTCTAGGGTTTTTATGGTTTTAGGTCTAACATTTAAGTCTTTAATCCATCTTGAATTAATTTTTGTATAAGGTATAAGGAAGGGATCCAGTTTCAGCTTTCTACATATGGCTAGTCAGTTTTCCCAGCACCATTTATTAAATAGGGAATCATTTCCCCATTGCTTGTTTTTCTCAGGTTTGTGAAAGATCAGATGGTTGTAGATATGCGGCATTATTTCTGAGGGCTCTGTTCTGTTCCATTGGTCTGTATCTCTGTTTTGGTACCAGTACCATGCTGTTTTGGTTACTGTAGCCTTATGGTATAGTTTGAAGTCAGGTAGCGTGATGCCTCCAGCTTTGTTCTTTTGTCTTAGGATTGACTTGGCCATGCGGGCTCTTTTTTGGTTCCATATGAACTTTAAAGAAGTTTTTTCCAATTCTGTGAAGAAAGTCATTGGTAGCTTGATGGGGATGGCATTGAATCTATAAATTACCTTGAGCAGTATGGCCATTTTCATGATATTGATTCTTCCTACCCATGAGCATGGAATGTTCTTCCATTTGTTTGTATCCTCTTTTGTTTCATTGAGCAGTGGTTTGTAGTTCTCCTTGAAGAGGTCCTTCACGTCCCTTGTAAATTGGATTCCTAGGTATTTTATTCTCTTTGAAGCAATTGTGAATGGGAGTTCACTCATGATTTGGCTGTTTGTCTGTTATTGGTGTTTAAGAATGCTTGGATTTTTGCACATTGATTTTGTATCCTGAGACTTTGCTGAAGTTGCCTATCAGCTTAAGGAGATTTTGGGCTGAGATGATGGGGTTTTCTAGATATATAAATCATGTCATCTGCAAACAGGGACAATTCGACTTCCTCTTTTCTTAATTGAATACCCTTTATTTCCTTCTCCTGCCTGATTGCCCTGGCCAGAACTTCCAACACTATGTTGAATAGGAGTGGTGAGAGAGGGCATCCCTGTCTTGTGCCGGTTTTCAAAGGGAATGCTTCCAGTTTTTGTCCATTCAGTATGATATTGGCTGTGGGTTTGTCATAGATAGCTCTTATTATTTTGAGATACGTCCCATCAATACCTAATTTATTGAGAGTTTTAGTTGTTGAATTTTGTCAAAGGCCTTTTCTGCGTCTATTGAGATAATCATATGGTTTTTGTCGTTGGTTCTGTTTATGTGCTGGATTATGTTTATTGATTTGTGTATGTTGAACCAGCCTTGCATCCCAGGGATGAAGCCCTCTTGATCATGGTGGATAAGCTTTTTGATGTGCTACTGGATTCGGTTTGCCAGTATTTTATTGAGGATTTTTGCATCGATGTTCATCAGGGATATTGGTCTAAAATTCTCTTTTTTTGTTGTGTCTCTGCCAGGCTTTGGTATCAGGATGATGCTGGCCTGATAAAATGAGTTAGGGAGGATTCCCTCTTTTTCTATTGATTGGAATAGTTTCAGAAGGAATGGTACCAGCTCTTCCTTGTACCTCTGGTAGAATTTGGCTGTGAATCCATCTGGTCCTGGACTTTTTTTGGTTGGTAAGCTATTAATTATTGCCTCAATTTCAGAGCCTATTATTGGTCTATTCAGAGATTCAACTTCTTCCTGGTTTAGTCTTGGGAGGGTATATGTGTCGAGGAATTTATCCATTTCCTCTAGATTTTCTAGTTTATTTGCGTAGAGGTGTTTATAGTATTCTCTGATGGTAGTTTGTATTTCTGTGGGATCGGTGGTGATATCCCCTTTATCATTTTTTATTGCTTCTATTTGATCCTTCTCTCTTTTCTTCTTTATTAGTCTTGCTAGCGGTCTATCAATTTTGTTGATCTTTTCAAAAAACAAGCTCCTGGATTCATTGATGTTTTGAAGGGTTTTTTGTGTCTCTATCTCCTTCAGTTCTGCTCTGATCTTAGTTATTTCTTGCCTTCTGCTAGCTTTTGAATGTGTTTGCTCTTGCTTCTCTAGTTCTTTTAATTGTGATGTTAGGGTGTCAATTTTAGATCTTTCCTGCTTTCTCTTGTGGGCATTTAGTGCTGTAAATTTCCCTCTACACACTGCTTTGAATGTGTCCCAGAGATTCTGGTATGTTGTGTCTTTGTTCTCGTTGGTTTCAAAGAATATCTTTATTTCTGCCTTCATTTCGTTATGTACCCAGTAGTCATTCAGGAGCAGGTTGTTCAGTTTCCATGTAGTTGAGCAGTTTTGAGTGAGTTTCTTAATCCTGAGTTCTAGTTTGATTGCACTGTGGTCTGAGAGACAGTTTGTCATAATTTCCATTCTTTTACATTTGCTGAGAAGTGCTTTACTTCCAACTATGTGGTCAGTTTCGGAATAAGTGCGGTGTGGTGCTGAGAAGAACATATATTCTGTTGATTTGGGGTGGAGAGTTCTGTAAATGTCTATTAGATCCACTTAGTGCAGAGCTGAGTTCAGTTCCTGGATATCCTTGTTAACTTTCTGTCTCGTTGATCTATCTAATGTTGACGGTGGGGTGTTAAAGTCTCCCATTATTATTGTGTGGGAGTCTAAGTCTCTTTGTAGGTCACTAAGGACTTGCTTTATGAATCTGGGTGCTCCTGTATTGGGTGCATATATGTTTAGGATAGTTAGCTCTTCTTGTTGAATTGATCCCTTTACCATTATGTAATGGCCTTCTTTGTCTCTTTTGATCTTTGTTGGTTTAAAGTCTGTTTTATGAGAGACTAGGATTGCAACCCCTGCCTTTTTTTGTTTTCCATTTGCTTGGTAGATCTTCCTCCATCCCTTTATTTTGAGCCTATGTGTGTCTCTGCACGTGAGATGGGTCTCCTGAATATAGCACACTGATGGGTCTTGACTCTTTATCCAATTTGCCAGTCTGTGTCTTTTAATTGGAGCATTTAGTCCATTTACATTTAAGGTTAATAGTTATGTGTGAATTTGATCCTGTGATTATGATGTTAGCTGGTTATTTTGCTCGTTAGTTGATGCAGTTTCTTCCTAGCTTCAATGGTCTTTAAAATTTGGCATGTTTTTGCAGTGGCTGGTACCGGTTGTTCCTTTCCATGTTTAGTGCTTCCTTCAGGAGCTCTTTTAGGGCAGGCCTGGTGATGACAAAATCTCTCAGCATTTGCTTGTCTGTAAAGTATTTTATTTCTCCTTCACTTATGAAGCTTAGTTTGGCTGGATATGAAATTCTGGGTTGAAAATTCTTTTCTTTTTCTTTTCTTTTTTTTTTTTGAGACAGAGTTTCGCTCTTATTGCCCAGGCTGGAGTGCAGTGGTGTGATCTGGGCTCACTGCAACCTCCGCCTTCTGGTTTCAAGCGATTCTCCTGCCTCAGCCTCCTGAGTAGCTGGGATTACAGGTGTCTGCCACTACGCCCGGGTAATTTTTTTTTTTGTATTTTTAGTAGAGACAGGGTTTCAACATGTTGGCCAAGCTGGTCTCAAACTCCAGACCTCATGATTCTCCCGCCTTGGCCTCCCAAAGTGCTGGGATTACAGGTGTGAGCCACCGCACCCGGCAGAAAATTCTTTTCTTTAAGAATGTTGAATATTGGCCCCCCCACTCTTCTGGCTTGTAGGGTTTCCGCCGAGAGATCAGCTGTTAGTCTGATGGGCTTCCCTTTGTGGGTAACTCGACCTTTCTCTCTGGCTGCCCTTAACATTTTTTCCTTCATTTCAACTTTGGTGAATCTGACAATTATGTGTCTTGGAGTTGCTCTTCTCGAGGAGTATCTTTGTGGTGTTCTCTGTATTTCCTGAATTTGAATGTTGGCCTGCCTTGCTAGATTGAGGAAGTTCTCCTGTATAATATCCTGCAGAGTGTTTTCCAACTCGGTTCCATTCTCCCCGTCACTTTCAGGTACACCAATCAGACGTAGATTTGGTCTTTTCACATAGTCCCATATTTCTTGGAGGCTTTGTTCGTTTCTTTTTATTCTTTTTTCTCAGACTGACACCTCACACGGGCCGTTACTCCTCTGAGACAAAACTTCCAGAGGAACGATCAGGCAGCGACATTTGCTGTTCACCAATATCCGCTGTTCTGCACCCTCCGCTGCTGATACCCAGGCAAACAGGGTCTGGAGTGGACCTCCAGCAAACTCCAACAGACCTGCAGCTGAGGGTCCTGACTGTTAGAAGGAAAACTAACAAACAGAAAGGCCATCCACACCAAAAACCCATCTGTACGTCACCATCATCAAAGACCAAAGGTAGATAAAACCACAAAGATGGGGAAAAAACAGAGTAGAAAAACTGGAAACTCTAAAAATCAGAGTGCCTCTCCTCCTCCAGAGGAACACAGCTCCTCACCAGCAATGGAACAAAGCTGGACGGAGAATGACTTTGATGAGTTGAGAGAAGAAGGCTTCAGACGATCAAACTACTCCGAGCTAAAGGAGGAAGTTCGAACCCATGGCAAAGAAGTTAAAAACCTTGAAAAAAAATTAGACGAATGGCTAGCTAGAATAACCAATGCAGAGAAGTCCTTAAAGGACCTGGTGGAGCTGAAAACCAAGGCACGAGAACTATGTGACGAATGCACAAGCCTCAGTAGCCGATTCAATCAACTGGAAGAAATGGTATCAGTGATGGAAGATCAAACGAATGAAATGAAGCGAGAACAGAATGTGTATAAATGTTAACCAAAGACATAAAATAATGTTTATAGCAACTTTTTTCATAATAGCCCCAAACTAAAAACTACCCAAATGCACATCAGCCAAAGAATGGATACAAAAATGATGGTATATTCACGCAAGGAAATACTATATAGCAATGTGTTGGGAGGCAGATCTGCACAGATCACTCATGTTCCTGCATGGGCTAGGCCTTCTGAACAATGTTTGAACAGCAGCCTTGGATATTGAGATAGTGCATCCCTCTGGAGAGATTTAGAGACAGTTCAGCGTAAGAAACATAGAAATGCCCCACCCCTCCCCACAACCAGGAGATTGCTGACATTCCAGGGTAATGAATAATCTCTGGCTATGGAGGGGAGGACAGGCAGGTGTGTCAGCAAGTTCACAACAGCTTAGTCTCCTAATTTTAGTTTCTTCCCGCATGATGCAACCCACTGAACGCACAGGAAATATCTGGCTTCGTGTGAGCTGGGGCATGAGGAATTGATGCAAGGTATAGCTCTGGCTGCTGATTTTGTGGTAATCAATGATCCATTTTTCTGATTCATGATCGTGTGTGTGTGTGTGTGTGTGTGTGTGTGTGTGTGTGTGTGTGTTTTGAGACAAAATTTCACTCTGTCACCCAGGCTGGAGTGCAGTGTCGTGTTCATAGCTGACTGCAGCCTCGACCTCCAGGACTCAAGCAATCCTCCCACCTCAGCCTCCCAAGTAGCTGAGACTACAAGCATGTGCCATCAAGCCCCTAATTTTTTTTAATTTGTTTGTAGCAACAGAGTCTAGCTATGTTGCCCAGGCTGGGGTCTTGTGTTTTATATATCTGTGTGTATGCACATGTGCATGTATGTGTGTCTGTGCAAAATTTGGCAGGCTAACTTTTTAGCTTGCAAGTAGGGTAAACTCAAACCCTTCACAGTTCTGACTTACAATGAAAATGAAGAAAGGATAATTCCATGTGCATAACAGGGATGGACCTCACAAACAATGTTGGGCAAAAGAAGCTGCAGGACACAGAAGGATAATACTATATGATTCCCTTTATACAAAGTTCAAAAACCTGGCTTCATGGCCAGGCATGGTGGCTCATACCTGTAATCCCAGCACTTTGGGAGGCCGAGGTGGGTGGATCACTTGAGATCAGAAGTTCAAGACCAGCCTGACCAACATGGTGAAACCCCATCTCTACTAAAAAAAAGTACAAAATTAGCCGGGTATGATGGTGCACATCTGCAATCCCAGCTACCTGGGAGGCTGAGGCAGGAGAATCTCTTGAATCCTGGAGGTGGAGGTCACAGTGAGCCGAGATCACACCATTGCACTCCAGCCTGGGCAACAAGAGCAAAAGTCTGCCTCAAGAAAAAAAAAAGCCAAAAAACAAAAAACCTGGCAACATGAAATCATGCTGTTCAAGTCACAGGGAGGTGCCTGAGGTACTACGGGACATGGCTTTTTTGTTTCTTTCTTTCTTTTATTTTTATTTATTTATTTTGAGATAGACTCTCACTGTCACCCAGGCTGGAGTGCAGTGGTGCCATCTTAGCTCACTGAAACCTCGACCTCCTGGGCTCAAGCAATCCCCCTGCCTTAGCCTCCCAGGTAGCTGAGACTACAGGCGCACTCGGCCTCCAGTGTTGATTCTTTTTGCCTGAAATACGGATATACCTTTCCATTTATTCTGGTCATTTTTTTCTTCTGTCAAAATGTATAGAGCTCATATTTTCTTTTCTTTTTTTTTTTGAAACGGAGTCTCGCTGTGTCACCAGGCTGGAGTGCAGTGGCGCGATCTCGGCTCACTGCAATCTCCGCCTCCCAGGTTCAAGCGATTCCCCTGCTGCAGCCTCCCAAGTAGCTGGGACTACAGGCGTGCACCACCACACCCAGCTAATTTTTTGTATTTTAGTATGAACGAGGTTTCACCATGTTGGCCAGGATGGTCTCGATCTCCTGACCTCATAATCTGCCCACCTCAGCCTCCCAAAGTGCTGGGATTACAGGCATGAGCCACCATGCCTGGCCGAGCTCACACTTTTCTTGCTTACAAGAGGTTGATAAATTTTGTTACTGTGATCAACGGTACCCTGCCCTCTTACATTTTCTGATTTCAGGTGTCTGTCAAGGAAGGCTATACCCATCTTTGTTTTTTTTTTTTCTTGTTTTTTTTTTTTTTTTTGAGACGGAGTCTCGCTCTGTCGCCCAGGCTGAAGTGCAGTGGTGCTATCTCGGCTCACTGCAAGCTCCGCCTCCCGGGTTCACACCATTCTCCTGCCTCAGCCTCCCGAGTAGCTGGGACTACAGGCGCCGACCACCACGCCCGGCTAATTTTTTGTACTTTTTTAGTAGAGACGGGGTTTCACCATGTTAGCCAGGATGTTCTCAATCTCCTGACCTCGTGATCCACCCGCCTCGGCCTCCCAAAGTGCTGGGATTACAGGCATTAGCCACCGCGCCCGGCCCCATCTTTGTATTTTGTATTCATTTTTGGTTTTGGTCACCTTGCTGACTTCTCTTATTAAGTCTAAGAGTTTTTTTTTTTTTTTTTTTATGATTCTCTTGGATTTTCTAAGTGAATAACACCAATGCCCTCCAGCCAAAGACCACCAGGAGCATAGTGGTAGTTTACCAAAATTAGATTTTTTTTTTTTTTTTTTTGAGACGGAGTCTCGCTCTGTCGCCCAGGCTGGAGTGCAGTGCTGCGATCTTGGCTCACTGCAACCTCCACCTCCCAGGTTTAAGCGATTCTCCTGCCTCAGCCTCCTGAGTAGCTGGGACTACAGGCATGGGCCACCATGCCCGGCTAATTTTTTTTTTGTTTTGTTTTGAGGTGGAGTATCGCTCTTGTTGCCTAGGCTGGAGTGCAGCTGTGCAATCTTGGCTCACTGTGACCGCCACCTCCCAGGTTCAAGCAATTCTCCTGCCTCAGCCTCCCAAGTAGCTGGGATTACAAGCATGCACCACCACACCTGGCTAATTTTTTGTATTTTTAGTAGAGACGGGGGTTTTGCCATGTTGGCCAGTCTGGTCTCGAACTCCTGACCTCAGGTGATCCACCCACCTTGGCCTCCCCAAGTGCTGGGATTACAGGCGTGAGCCACTGTGCCTGGCCCGGAAGTTGGATTTATTAACTCATTGCAATGATGAAGCATCCACATCGTGGGAAACCATGGAGCATCTCATTAAAAGGGTGTTAGAAAAGGGAGCCGGACACGGTGGCTCACACCTGTAATCACAGCGTTTTGGAAGGCTGAGGTGGGAGATTCACTTGAGCCCAGGAGTTCGAGACCAACCTGGGCAACCTAGTGAGACCCTCATCTCTAAAAAAAATTTGAAAAGTAGATAGGCATGGTGGCATGCACCTGTAGACTCAGCTATTCAGGAGACTGAGGAGGGAGGGTCGCTTGACCCCAAGAGTTCGAGGCTGCAGTGAGCTGTGATCGTCTCAAAAAAAACAACAAAAAAAAAAAAAAAAAAAGAAAAAGAAAAAAAGAGGCTGGGCACAGTGGCTATGCCTGTAATCCTAGCACTTTGGGAGGCCAGTGCAGGCGGATCACGAGGTCAGGAGTTTGAGACCAGCCTGGCCAACATGGTGAAACCCTGTCTCTACTAAAAATACAAAAAAATTAGCCAGGCATGGTGGGGTGCACCTGTAATCCCAGCTACTCAGGAGGCTGAGGCAGGAGAATTGTTTGAACCTGGGAGGCGGAGGTTGCAGTGAGCTGAGATCACACCATTGCACTCCAGTTCTAGGCAACAGAGCAAGACTCCGTCTCGGGAAAAAAAAAAAGAAGAAGAAGAAAAGACAAGACAAGAAAAGAAAAGGTATTACTGGGTTGGAGTTTGTGTTAGGTGATTTCAGAGAGGGTTAAAGAAGCAGGACTTTGCTCTGGATTGCCTCCTGTCAGAAAGTAGGAGTAATTCTAGGATGTAATATCTTGATTTATATCTACAAGGCAAAAGGAATGAAGTGGATGAAAGCTATAACTGATAAGGAAGCAGGAACCACTCACATCAGCCAGGATGGACGGATGTTTGGCCATTTTGTGGTTTGGACAACGTCCATGTTTTTTTCTGTGTCTCAGACTTGATTCCAGACTGGTCTTGTTTTTGTCTTGATCTACCATGACCGCAGAGCAGCTTCATCTGATGTTAATATTTTGTGGAATTGTTCATGATCAACAGGAGACACCGATGGGAGTGTCAGGTCAGCTGCTCACAACACCAAGGCTTAGGTGATGAACCAGGCCAGTTCTTGGATGTCAGGGACTGCATTTCTTTTTGTCAGTACCCCTTTTGTCAAGGTCATTACTGTATCACCCTGCAGAGGTGAGGTGGATCCATGAATACACACACACAGCAAATTTGGTTCAAATGTCAAGCCTGCTGATGCCACGCATACACCAAGAAGGTATGAAAAATTTATTACTCACACAATGAGGCTTTTGAGAGAGAGTAGGGCTGGCTCCCAAGCTGGTCTGAAAATGATGTTTGTTTTGTTTTGTTTTGAGACGGAGTGTCGCTCTGTCACCCACTGGAGTGCAGTTGTTTAATCACAGCTCAGCAACCTTGACTTCCTGGGATTGAGTGATCCTCCCGCCTCACCCTTCCAAGTAGCTGGGACTACAGGCATGCACCACCACACCTGGCTAATTTTTGTATGTGTTTGTAGAGACGGGGTTTCACCATGTTGCCCAGGCTGGTCTCGAACTCCTAGCCTCATGCAATCTTCCTGCCTTGGCCTCTCAAAGTGATAGGATTACAGATGTGAGCCACCGCACCCTGCCCCTGGTGGCATTTGTATGTCTTCTTTGGAGAAGTCTTTTGTCCACTTTTTAATCAAATTATTATTTTTTTGGTCAGGCACGGTGGTTCACACCTGTAATCCCAGCACTTTGGGAGGCCGAGGCGGGCAGATCACTTGAGGTCAGGAGTTTGAGACCAGCTTGGCCAACATGTCGAAACTCCATCTCTACTAAAAATACAAAAAATTAGCCAGGTATGGTGGCAGGTGCCTGTAATCCCAGTTACTTGCGGGGCTGAGGAAGGAGAATCGCTTGAACCCAGGAGGCAGAGGTTGCAGTGAGCCGAGATTGTGCCACTTCACTCCAGCCTGGGAAACAGAGCAAGACTCTGTTTCAAAAAAAAAAAAATTGTTGTTCTTTTTGTTATTTGCTATTGAGCTGTTGGAGTTTCTTCTGTACTTTGGATATCAACCCCTTAAGCGAGAAATGGTTTGCAAATCTTTTGTTCCATTCTGTATGATCCCTTTTCACTCTGTGTTGTTTCCTTTGCTGTGCAGAATATTTCGGATTGATGTAGTCCCACTTGTCTATTTTAGCTTTTGTTGCCTGTGCTTTTTGTGTCATATCCAATAAATCACTGCCAACACCAATGTCAAGAAGATTTCCTCCTGTGTTTTCTTCTAGGAGTTTTACAGTTTCCGGTATTACATTTAAGTCTTTAATCCATTTTGAGTTGATTTTTTTGAGACGGAGTCTTTCTCTGTTCCCCAGGCTGGAGTGCAGTGGCACGATCTCAGCTCACTGCAACCTTTGCCTCCCAGGTTCAAGCAATCCTCCTGCCTCAGCCTCCCGAGTACCTGGGACTACAGGCGTGCACCACCATGCCTGGCTAATTTTTGAATTTTTAGTAGAGATGGAGTTTCAGCATGTTGGCCAAACTGTCTCTAACTCTTGACCTGAGGCAATCTGCCCGCCTCAGCCTCCCAAAGTGCTGGGATTACAGGCGTGAGTCACCACGCCCAGCTAATTTGAGTTGATTTTTGTGTATGGTGTAAGATAGGGGTCCAATTTCATTCTTCTGCATGTGGATATCTGGTTTTTCCAACAATGTTTGTTGAAGATACTATCATTTTTCCATTGTATATTCTTGACACTCTACTCAAAGATCAGTCAATCTACTGATTGACAATCTACTCAAAGATCAGACTAAGACCATATGTCTTAGTCTGTTTTGTGCTGCTGTAACAGAATACTACAGACTGGGTAATTTTTTTTTTTTTTTTTTGAGACAGAGTCTTGCTCTGTTGCATGGGCTGGAGTACAGTGGCGCAATCTTGGCTCACTGCAACCTCTGCCTTCTGGGTTCAAGCAATTCTCTTGCCTCAGCCTCCAGAGTAGCTGGGATTACAGGCACATGCCACCATGCCTGGCTAATTTTTGTATTTTTAGTAGAGACGAGGTTTTGCCATGTTGACCAGGCTGGTCTTGAACTCCTGACCTCGTGACCCGCCTGCCTTGGCTTCCCAAAGTTCTGGGATTACAGGCGTGAACCACCACACCTGGCCAGACTGGGTAGTTTATAATGAACAGAATTTCATTGGCTCAAGGTTCTGGAGGCTGGAAAGTCCAAGATCAAGGGACCAGCAACTAGGCAAAGCTTGCTGCATCATTCCATGGCAGAAGGGCAAAGCAAGGGTGACAGAGAGAGAGAGAGAATGGGGGTGATATGATTTGGCCATGTCCCCACTCAAATCTCATCTTGAATTCCCACATGTTTTGGGAGGGACCTGGTGGGAGGTAATTGAATCATGAGGGCAGGTGTTTCCAGTGCTGTTCTCATGATAGTGAATAAGTCCCATGAGATCTAATGGTTTTATAAAGGGACTTGGAGCAGGACAAGCCACAGACAAAATCCCTCAGGCACCGAGTTAAAGAAGGAAGGGCTTTATTCAGCCGGGAGCTTCGGCAAGACTCATGTCTCCAAAGACCGAGCTCCCTGAGTGAGCAATTCCTGTCCCTTTTAGGGGCTTACAACTCTAAGGGGGTCCACATGAGAGGGTCATGATCAATTGAGCAAGCAGGGGTAGGTGACTGGGGGCTGCATGCACCAGTAATCAGAATGGAACAGAACAGGACAGGGATTTTCACAGTGCTTTTCCATACAATGTCTGGAATTTATAGATAACATAACCCGTTAGGTTGGGGTCGATCTTTAACCAGGCCCAGGGTGCAGCGCTGGGTTGTCTGCCTGTGGATTTCATTTCTGCCTTTTAGTTTTTACTTCTTCTTTCTTTGGAGGCAGAAATTGGGAATAAGACAAAATGAGGGGTAGTCTCCTCCCTTATTTCCCCGCTTTGAGAATCTCACTCAATAGTGGGAGTTCTCACTTTCATTCTCACTACCCATGCCTTCTTGCAAGATAGATCGATAGTGATTCATATAGCATACCTGTGCTGAAGCATTTTGGTGAACTAAGGTAGCGATGAAGCTCCTTATCGTTTGAAGAAGTACAGATAGTAAACAAGGGAGCAGTAAGCAGGTTTCTATTACTATTATAACTCCCATTATAAGAGTTTTAAATCTTTCCAGTGCTGGGAACCATTTTCCAAACATGGCCCCAGGATCAAATCCATGCCACATTTGCACGGGCACATGTGCCAATTTTGTCATATTTCTAACTATGTCTTCAACTACTCGCCCTTGATCATCTATGTGTAGACAGCAATTAGTAAGGTTAAATTTCCCACAGACCCCTCCTTCAGCTGCTAGCAAGTAGTCGAGAACCAATCTATTTTGATAAATAGCATTTCTCATTTGGGTTTCTTGCCGGGCCAGAATAGTCAAGGCTCTGCTGGTCTTATTAGTGATTATTTCTAAGACAGCTTGTAACCATATGATTCGGTTGAGCATGTAAATGGGGATCTGGTATCCCCACAAGCCGTCTTGTGCCCAAGTAGCAGGCTCATAATATTGTATGATTCTCTCAGGGGGCCATTCATTATCTTTCCAATTTCCAATAGCTATGCTTCTCTTTGCGTGGGAAGCATAGACAGGGAAGCCCAGGAGTTCGCCTGTCTTTATGGGCAGTAGGAAGAAAGATGGTTTAATAGTGCCAATAATACAACTACCTGCCCACTGGTTGGGTAATTTGACATAAGGTCTATGCCCACATATCCGGTATAATCTAGTGGGGGCTGTCCAGTCCCGGTGGGACTCTGGGTGGGTCCACACGTTTTGCAACTTTGGGAATTTACTAAATGGATTTTTCTTAGTGTGGTTTGAACTCCACTAGGTGGCTGTTTTTGTAGTACTATTATACAGTTTTTGCCCAAGGCAGCTGAGTCTTCCCACAGGAAGGGTGAAGTCCTTCCCCACTCTTGCTATATAGTATTATCTAATGATTGAGGCTTTTAGGACCCAGAAATTATCAGGGTAATTTTTTTGAGCCAGGAATTCATCAGGAACTGGGTCTGTAGGTACTAATTTTTGGGCTTCCCATGGCCATTGGTCTCCCATTACCGTTCCTCCACATACATAACATGAAGTGACATTGAGAGACTGGGCTACATGCTCGGCTAATTGAAAAAACAAATTTCTTGTTTTTCCTGGAATTTCTGGTACTGGCACATTCAGTTCATCATAGAAGGTTTGAAATACTGGCTCAGGAGAGTGTTTATAAACTTCTACTCAAACCACAATATTTACTCGAGGATCCAGTCCAGCCCCATCAGTTCCTAAGGTTACATGCTCCCCTTTTTTCCAGCAAGGATCAAGGGATTTGGTTATTACCAGTTCTAAGGGGTTACACTGACCACTGGTACAGGAAGGGCCACTTTTCCCTTTCTGAAGATGGACAGGATTTTTTTTATTTTTTATCCAAGTAGCCTAAATGACACAAGACCACTATCCACATTTATTTCCACACAGTCTTAATTCATGACAAGTGTACTTACGTTCTGCCATATAGCCTCTTTCTTAATTAAGGGAACCACATCATATTCCTAACTTATTACTATTAATGACAGCACAGGCATCAGATTTCAAGGTGACTTGTTTGGGCACCCCTTTTTCTTCTGTTTTGGCTAACACTTTACTCGTATTGTTTATGAGCCCCCATCAGTCCTCAGTTCTTAATCTTATTTCAAAAACTGTGGTCATGGGAGGCTCAGATGGGTCATAACACACATTAGGTTGGTCATTTCCTGGGCTATGTACCTTGTATAGAATAACATTATACAAGCAAGTTCTTTTTAGAGTTCTAGTACACTTATAATAACCATAAAATAATAGGACCGTAGCAACCTTTTGTCCTACCTCAGTGACTTGATGTATACACTAGGAACAGTCCTCAGTCCAAGGAAGGTCAGTTGAAGTCCTTACTGTACAAGTCCAAATGTTAAGGAAAATGAGTCCCGCGATGAGTTTTCTCATGCTTCAGCCGTGCGTGGACCAGTCAGCTTCCGGGTGTGACTGGAGCAGGGCTTGTCGACTTCTTCAGAGTTACTTTGCAGGGGTTGGCGAAGCTGCTCCCGTCCACATACCGCTCACAGTCTACTGATGTTCAAGGATGGTCTCAAAGGTTGGGCCCACTAGAATAAACTGAGTCCAATACCTCTACACAGTTGTGTTCAACTGGGCTCTCTGATACTGGGAGCAAGGTAGCTGGGTTTAGGGTGTTGCAAACTTCAGTGGTTATGTGGGGATTTTCACATAGCAAGCTTTGGTACTTGGTTAATCTAGCATTTGTTATCCAGTGATGTCCTTTGGTATTCATCAAAGTTACCACAGCATGGGGGGCCTTTATATTCAGGTTTTGCCCAAGGGTTAGTTTATCTGCTTCTTGTGCTAACAGGGCCATTGCTGCCAGGGCCCTTAGACATGGGGGCCAGCCTTTGGAAACCCCGTCTAGTTGTTTTGAGAGAGGGCCCCACAGTCTGGGTTAAAACTCCAAAACTGCCATTTTTTCTCTTTCTGACACATAGAGTGTAAAGGGTTTTGTCAGGTCAGGTAGCCCCAGGGCTGGGGCCGACATGAGTTTTTCTTTTAACTCATGAAAAGCTCATTGCTGTTGGTTGTAATAGATGTAGTTTATCCAATCTAAATTTTTATTAACTGTCACCGACCAAAATATTGACTCAAATCCTGCAGCTATTTGATTTCAAGCTTTAAATTGATCTGGTATTCCCCATGGGACTCCAATTGCGTCTAAATAGACATGAGAGTCGAAAGACCTATAAGGGGCTTCTCTCGCTTTACAATGTCTTATTTTTCCTCCCTCTGGTTGATGAAATGCCAGGGTGAAAGGGATAGCCAATTGGACTAAAGTACAAGTGCCACTCCAGTTATTCGGCAGAGTGCCCAATAAAGGTCCACCCCAATACCACCACACATCCACTCAGGGATGAACAAGCGCTGACTGATTGATAAGCTCTTGAAAATTATTAAGCTCACTGCATCCCTTCAGGTCTCCAAGGAATGCTAAGTTTCCTCCCTGTCGTGAGAGACAAGAAGTGAAGTTAGTGTTGGGAGACGGAAGCTGGATGGCCCTTGGGGGCTGACCCACAGGGTGCCGTACTTTGGGATATAGCAGAGAGAGCTTGGCACGACTTATCACTCCAGGCTGTAGAATCCTGGAAAAGAGCTACCATGCAGCGCATGCCTGGTCCACTGGAGGACCACCTTAGTGGAAAGGGGACAATCTGGGACTCTGGCCTGCCATATGCACAAGCATAAGAATTGCTTTTGTTTAAGGTGCAGACGGAATATTTGATCCATTCCAACCAGGCATTTGCATCTTGGTATCCTGTCTTAATTGCCAAAGTTTGTTTTAAGTCTTTAACTTCTATGATCCTCTAGTAAAATGAATGTATGATTTTAGGAAATTACAAAAACCAGTTGGGGCAGTCCATCCTTGCACTTTAGTGGTCCACAGAATGTTGGACCAAGTACAGCATAAAAGCTCTACATTGGGGAGCAAGACTCCTGGTTGACACTGGAGTCTTTATTGAAATTTCCCCTGATTAAATGGTCCTAATTTACCAATGCCCAGTCTGAGGAGAGTCAGGAGGGACAGATGTATTTTTCTCAAGTACAGAACTGTCTTTGACTTGGCAGGTCCCCACAGGGTATAACAAGACAAGCATTAAATGCAATAGTCTGAGGTAAAATTGACTTGGTTATGTTAATAACTAGATGGTCAGCAATAGAGCGAGGAAAGAAGAAAGAGTAATAGAATAGATGAAAGAGTTAAATTTTTCTTAGCTTTAGTTTGGTAGGGTTTTCCCCTGGGACTATGGCCCATGATTCTGGAGGGGGTGGCGCTTTCTTGACTCAGGTGTGATGAGTCCATCCTTTTTTCGCTGTACGAACAGCAGTCTCGGTGGTTAGCAGCACAAGATAGGGTCCTTCCTAGGCTGGCTCGAGTTTCCTTTTTTTTCATCCTTTGATGAGAACGTGATCTTCAGGCTGGTGCTGGTGCTGGTTTACTGGAAATTCTAGGGGTGGTACATGTGCTAAAAGACTTTTAGTTTTGAGGGAAAGGGAAGTGGAGGATTAACCAAGTATATAATTTTTAAGAAACTGACCTTTTGTTTTAAATGTGGGGACATCAGCAGTGGACATTATAGTCCTTGGTGACTTTCTACTGAGAAATTTCCTTTAGCACCTATTTTTATTAGTTTTTGGACCAAAGAAGTCAAACACCATTTTATATTTGATAATGCTTCCTGTATGATTTTTATACCAGATAAGCTAAATTTCACCTTTATATTAGTGTGTTATTAATGTTAAACTTAGTTTTTTTTTTTTTTTTTGAGATGGAGTCTCACTCTGTCACCCAGGCTGGAGTGTGGTGGCTCCATCTCGGCTCACTGCAAGCTCTGCCTCCCTCCTGCCTCAGCCTCCCGAGTAGCTGGGACTACAGGCGCCTGCCACCACGCCCGGCTAATTTTTTGTATTTTTAGTAGAGACGGGGTTTCACCGTGTTAGCCAGGATGGTCTCGATCTCCTGACCTTGGGATCTGCCCGCCTCGGCCTCCCAAAGTGCTGGGACTACAGGCGTGAGCCACTGCGCCCGGCCAATGTTAAACTTAGTTTTAATAAAACTTTGCAGACATATTTATTCAGTTTTTAATGTCAGACCATAAGGTAAGATTTTTATAGACTCTTTTTAACCTTTTATAATCTGTGTTAAAGAGCAGGTTAGTGCTTTAAGAGAAACACGTTGTGTTTTTATTTTAATGTTCACTTCACAGAAAAACTGGATGATACCCCTTTAACTTTAGCTAATATGTTTACACGCAGAATTTTTTTTACAATTAACATTTTAAAACTTGCTTAAACCTTCAAAACAAATTTGTTTTAACCTTTTAATGTAGGTAAAAATTTACATTCTTATGCCACCTTATAATCCTTTTACCAAAGGTATATTTTACTTTCCTTATACACCTTGCACATAAACTATTTTTTCAATAGTTTTACATTCAGGAGGCTTAGTTACTTTTAAATTATACAACATTTCTTGCATAAATTCTTTTTTTATAATATATATTTTTTCTCTTTCATGACTTTCACAGACAATTCTTTGACCTGCCTCAACTTTCAGACTTATTACAAACATTTCTTTCTTTAAACAACCAGTTAATTTATTTCAGGACAAGAATTTACCATATAATATTCTTTTTACATAAACTCTGCCCCCATCTTTTCCCCCCTTTTTTTTTTCTTCTAAGATAACCATTCTTTTCCAAAGTGAACTTCCTTTATGTCTGTGGGCTAGATTGTCTAAGGCCACAAGATTAGAAGTTATTATAATACATGTTACATTGTTAACTTTTAGCAAACTTTACTTTTGTTGAAAATCTTGTAAGTTTGGGATTTCAATTATCCTTTGCTATTAATAAGACCTTGTTTAGTCCAAATTAACTTAGAATTGGTATAGATGGCTTTTTTTTCTTCAATTACCTGGGAGGAAGCATCTATCATCCTGTCCTGAAGGGAGTTCCTCCTAGGTCTGATCAGACCTTTGTATGGTAATTAAGATTTAGATCCCCTGTTAGGAAACCTGCTGGGTTAAGGGAATTTTCAGTGGTTAATGTTAAATCATCTTTTTTTTTCCCCCGCTTAGGATACTTCTGAACTAGTGAGGTGTGCTCATAATGAGATTTCCTCTAAAAGTTATTTTTCTACTTTATTCTGTTAGCAAAGCAGTTGCCACTACAGATTGAATGCATTTGGGCCATCCACAGGTTACTGGGTTAAGGATTTTTGATAGGAAGGCTACAGGTAGTCAGTGGCCTCAATGCTTTCAGGCTACGCCCTTGTTTACACTTACAACAAGGTTGTATTGGAGTGTTGTAGGGTCACGGAGAAGACCTTCAATTATCAATTATAGGTATTAAATTTACCCGGGCTTTTAAAGGAATAGATAGGGTACGCTGTTTTTTTTTTTTTTAACTACTTGTATATTTCTCTCTTTCTTTTTTTGACTTTCTGTCTCTCTTTTTGACTTTCCTTTTGCCTCTGTCTCTTCCTCTCTTTTTCTCCTCGACTCCCTCTTTGTCTCTCTGTCTCTTCCTCTCTCTCTTTGCCTCTTTCCTCTCTGTCTCTTTCCTCTCTCTCCCTCTGCTGGTCTTTCCTTGCCTCTGCCAGCCGCTTATGCTGCTGTTCTCTCAACCACTGTGTGTGTGGGGGGGTCTAAAACCACCTGTAACCAAGTGTCTAGCTACGGGAACTGGTCTGGGTTCCCTGGCTTACAGGTTACCTTGTGCCATACCTTTAAAACAAGGGACCTGTCCAAGCTTCCTTCTGATGGCCAACCCACCTCTAATGCTGGCCAGTCTATTTCACACAAAGTTCTAAGTTTTCCTGGTGTCATAGTAACACTGTAATCTCCCGTAAATCCTTTCTTGAAAATTTTCAACATAGTTCCTAGTGGGGTGGGCTTACCTTGTGCCCGACCCATGCTTCCTCAAGACAAAACACCACTCTCACACCACACACACACCACAAAACAAAGAACGGGTAAAAAGGGCACACACACACTTTTACAGTTTACACCAAACCAGAATCAAAACCAAAATCAGAGTATCCAGAAATCTAAGCCAGGTCAAAACCAAAACCAAAGTATCAAGCAACCCAAGTCAAGTCAAAAACAAAAACCAAAGTGCCGGTACAGGCACATCGTGGGTGATCAGGCCACGCTTCCATTGAAATGGAGTGGGCAAGTTCCAAAGACCAGTCTTACCAAGTTTCAGATGTCCAGACTCCAAGTGCCAGTTCCTTCCCGGTGTTCAGCCACTGAGTTGATCTTCCACAGGGGCCTGCCACATGCTGCTCTGGTGAGGCGTTCCACTGGGGTAATTGCCTACCCCGGGGCACTCTCAGGATCCGCGTCACTCAAGCTGGCTGGAGTCCCCTGCAGGGATGCTCCACAGGGCAGGCCTAAGCTGCCTAAGGGGCTGCCTCCACCATCCATTAATCACCTTTCTAACTGGTCAGGGAACCAAGTAATGTAGCAGGACAAGCCTCAGACAAAATCCCTCAGACACCGAGTTAAAGAAGGAAGGGCTTTATTCAGCTGGGAGCTTCAGCAAGACTCACATCTCCAAAAACTGAGCTCCCCGAGTGAGCAATTCCCATCCCTTTTAAGGGCTTACAACTCTAAGGGGGTCCACGTGAGAGAGTCATGATCAATTGAGCAAGCAGGGGGTACGTGACTGGGGGCTGCATGCACTGGTAATCGGAACGGGACAGAATAGGACAGGGATTTTCACAATGCTTTTCCATACAATGTCTGGAATCTATAGATAACATAACTGGTTAGGTCAGGGGTCAATCTTTAACCAGGCCCAGGGTGTGGCAGCCTATGGATTTCATTTCTGCCTTTTAGTTTTTACTTCTTCTTTCTTTGGAGGCAGAAATTGAGCATAAGACAATATGAGGGGTGGTCTCCTCCCTTAGACTAATGGTTTTATAAAGGGGCTAATACAATAAATTGGTACCAGGAGTTGGGTGCTGCTATAAGGATACCCAAAAATGTGGAAGCAACTTTGGAACTGGGTAACAGGCAGAGGTTGGAACAGTTTGGAGGGCTCTAAAGGAGACAGGAAGATGTGGGGAAGTTTGGAACTTCCTAGACATTTGTTGAATGGCTTTGACCAAAATGCTGGTAGTGATATGAAAAATAAATTCCAGGCTGATATGGCCTCAGATGGAGATGAGGAACCTGTTGGGAACTGGAGCAAAGGTATGCTTTAGCAGAGACTGGTGGCTTTTTGCCCCTGCCTTGGAGATCTGTGGAACTTTGAACTTGAGAGAGATTATTTAGGATACCTGGCGGAAGAAATTTCTAAGCAGCTAAGTGTTCAAGAGGAAACAAACAGAGCATAAAAGTTTGAAAAATTTGCAGCCTGAATATGTGATAGAAAAGAAACCCCCATTTTCTGGGGAGAAATTCAAGCCACTTCAGAAATTTGCATAAGTAACGAGGAACCGAATGTTAATCACCAAGACAATGGGGAAAATGTCTCCAGGGCATGTCAGAGACGTTCGGGGCAGGCCCGCCCATCACAGGCCTGGATGCCTAAAAGGGAAAAATGGTTTCCTGGGCTGGGTCCAGGGCACCCCCTCCTGTGTGCAGCCTAGGGACTCCCAGCCTTTCCAGCCGTGGCTAAAAGGAGCCAAGGTACAGCTCAGGCCGTTGCTTCAAAGGGTGCAAACCCCAAGCCTTGGCAGCTTCCATGTGGTGTTGGTCCTGCAGGTGCACAGAAAACAAGAACTGAGGTTTGGGAACCTCTGCCTAGCTTTCAGAGGATGTATGGAAATGCCTGGCTGTCCAGGCAGAAGTTTGCTGCAGGGGCAAAGTCCTCATGGAGAACCTCTGCTAGGGCAGTGCAGAAGGGAAATGTGGGGTCGGAGCCCCCACACAGAGTCCCCACTGGAGCACTGCCTAGTGGAGCTGTGAGAAGAGGGCCACTATCCTCCAGACCCCAGAATAGTCGATCCACCAACAGCTTGCACCATGAGCCTGGAAAAGCCACAGACACTCAACACAAGCCCATGAAAGCTGCTGGGAAGGAGTCTGTACCCTGCAAAGCCACAGGGGTGGAACTGCCCAAGACCATGGGAGCCTACCTCTTGCATCAGTGTGACCTGGATGTGAGACATAGAGTCAAAGAAGATCATTTTGGAGCTTTAATATTTGACTGCCCCACTAGATTTCTGACTTCCATGGGGTCTGTAGCCCCCTTGTTTTGGCCAATGTCTCCCACTTGGAACAGTTGTATTTAGCCAATGCCTGTACCCCCATCATATCTAGGAAGTAACTAACTTGCTTTTGATTTTACAGGCTCATAGGCGGAAGGGACTTGCCTTGTCTCAGATCAGACTTTGGACTGTGGACTTCTGAGTTAATGCTGGAATGAGTTAAGACTTTGGGGGACTGTTGGGAAGGTATGATTGGTTTTGAAATGTGAAGACATGAAATTTTGGAGGGGCCAGGGGCAGAATGATATAGTTTGGCTGTGTCGCCACCCAAATCTTATCTTGAATTCCCACCTGTTGTGGGAGAGACCTGGTGGGAGGTAATTGAATCATGGGGGCAGGTCTTTCCCATGCTGTTCTCACGATAGTGAATAAGTCTCATGAGATCTGATGGTTTTATAAAGGGGAGTTTTCCTGCACAAGCTCTCCTCTCTTGTCTGCCGCCATGTGAGATGTGCCCTTCATCTTCCACCATGATTGTGAGGCCTCCTCAGCCACGTGTAACTGTGAGTCCATTCAACCTCTTTCTTTTGTAAATTGCCCAGTCTCGGGTATGTCCTTATCAACAGCATGAAAACAGACTAATACAGGGGGTTAAACTCCCCCTTTTATAGTGAACCCACTCTTGTGATAATAGCATTAATTCCTTCACTCTGCCCTATGGCCTAATCACCTCTCATTAGGCCTCACCTCCCAACACTGTTGCATTGGGAATTAAGTTTTTAACACATGCTTTTTGGGGACACATTCAAACCACAGCCTTCTGCCTCTGGTCCACCAAATTCATACCCTTCTCACATGTAAAATACATTCATTCCATCTCAATAGACCCATAGTCTTAATTTGTTCCAGTACCAACTCAAAAGTTCAAAGCCCAGAGTCTCGTCTAAACCAGATATGGGTGATACTGTAAGCACAGTTCATTCTAAAGCAAATTCCTCCAGCTGTGAACCTGTGAAATCAAAACAAATTATCTCGGCTGGATGCGGTGGCTCACGCCTGCAACCCCAGCACTTTGGGAGGCCAAGGTGGGTGGATCGCTTGAGGTCAGGAGTTCAAAACCAGCCTGGCCAACATGGTGAAACCCCGTCTCTACTAAAAATTCAAAAATTAGCCAGGAGTGGTGGCACGCACCTGTAGTCCCAGCTACTCAGGAGGGTGAGGCACAAGAATCGCTTGAACCCAGGAAGTGGAGGTTGCAGTGAGCCGCGATTGCACCATTGCACTCCAGCCTGAGTGACAGAGTGAGACTCCATCTCAAAAACAAACACAAGTTATCTACTTCCAAAATACAACAGTGGGACAGGCAGAAGATGAATGTTCCCATTCCTAAAGGGAGCAACAGGAAAGAAAAAAGGAATAGCAGTTCCCAGCAAATCCAAAAGCCCACAGGGCAAACAACATTGTCTTAAACCTCCACAATTATCTTTGACGGTATGCACCACCTTTGGGCACACTGGGGTAGGGATTGGGCCCCCAAGGCTTCAGGTAGCCCCGCCCCCACAAGCTTGCTGGGCTCAGCCCACACAGCAATCTCTCAGGGGTTGCAGGCACCCAAGCTGCTGTTGCTTGCTGGTAGCTCTACAGTTCTGGGTTCTTGGGGAGTGGGGGGGGCCCACCTCCAAAGCTCCACTAGACCTATTCTCTGTGGTGGCTCTGACCTCACAGCTTTGTTCTTTTTTCTCAAGATTGCTTTGGCTATTCTGGGTCTTTTGTGGCTACATATGAATTTTAGAATTGTTTTCTCTATTGCTGTAAAAAATGTCACTGGGATTTTGATGGGTCTAGGATTGAGGCTGCAGATTACTTTGTTGTTGTTGCTGTTGTTTTTGAGACAGAATGTTGCTCTGTTGCCCAGACTGGAGGGCAGTGGCACAATCTCGGCTCACTGCAGCCCTGCAACCTTCATTTCCCAGGCCCAAACAATCCTCCCACCTCAGCCTCCCGAGTAGCTGGAACTACAGGTGAGTGCCGCCACACCCGACAACTTTTTTGTATTTTTAGTAGAGACAGGGTTTCACCATGTTGCCCATGCTGGTCTTCAACTCTTGGCCTCAAGTAATCTGCCTTCCTCAGCGTCCCAAAGTGCTGGGATTACAGGTGTACACCAATATGCCTGGCTAATTTTGTATTTTTAGTTGAGATGGGGTTTCACCATGTTGCCCAGGCTGGTCTCTAACTCCTGGTTTCAAGTGATCCACACACGTCGGCCTCCCAAAGTGCTGAGATTACAAGTGTGAGCTACTGCGCCAGCCTTGTAGACTTCTTTGAATGGTATGGATATTTTAACACTATTAAGTCTTCCAATTCATGAGAACAGGATGTCTTTCCATTTATTTGTGTCTTCATTACTTTCTTTCACTAATGTTTTCTAGTTTTTGGTGTACAGATATTTCATTTACTTGGTTAAGTTTCTTCCTAAGTATTTAATTATTTGTGATGCTATTGCAAATGTGATTGTTTTCTTAATTTCCTTTTCAGATAGTTGTTAGTGTATAGAAACACAATTAATTTTTGTATGTTGATTTTACAGGAATCTCAAAGAGCTATCCACACTTCCATGTTCATCATAGCATTATTTACCATAGCCAAGGTATGGAAACAACCTGAAAGTCCATTGACACATGAAAGGATATCAAAAATGTGGTATATACATACAGTGGGATATTATTCAACCACAAAAAGAAGGAAATCTTATGGCCGGGTACAGTGGTTCACACCTGTAATCCCAGCACTTTGGGAGGCTGAGGCAGGCAGATCACTTGAGGTCAGGAGTTAGAGACCAGCCTGGCCAACATGGTGAAACCCCGTCTCCACTAAAAATACAAAAAACCAGCTGGGTGTGGTGGCTCATGCCTGTAGTCCAGCTACTGCTTGGGAGGCTGAGGTATGAAAATCACTTGAACCCGGGAGGCAGAGGTTGCAGTGAGCCGAGATTGTGCCACTGCACTCCAGCCTAGACAACAGAGTGAGACTCTGTCTCCATAAAATTAAAAAAAAGAAAAAGAAATCTTACCATTTGCAACAACATGGATGTTATGCTAAGTGAAATGAGCTAGTCACAAAAAAAGACAAATACTGCAGGATTCCACTAATATGAGGTATCTAAAGTAGTCAAACTCATAGAGGCAGAGAATAGAATGGTGGTTGCCAGGGTCTCCGGGGAGAGGAAAGGGAGACTTGTTTCTCAATGGGTATAAAGTTTCAGTTATGCATGAAGAATCAGTTCTAGAGATCTGCTGTACAACATAGTAATTATAGCTTACAATATGGCATTGTGCACTTTAAAATTTGTTAAGAGGGTAGATCTCATGTTAAGGGTTATGCCACACACAAAAAAACCAAAGCTAAAACAAACCACTACAAAGGGACACAAGGAAACGCTGGAGGTGATGGATATGATTATTATCTTGATTGTGGTGATAGTATCATGAGCATATACATAAGTCAAACTCACAGATTGTATACACTAGATATGTGTAGTTTTTGTTGTAAGTGTACAACATTAGTTATATCTCAATACAAGTATACCTCAATAAAGTTGTTTTAAGAAAAGACATTTTTTGGCCAGCCATGGTGGCTCACACCTGTAATCCCAACAGTTTGGGAGGCCGAGGCAAGTGGGTCACTTGAGCCCAGAAGTTTGAGACCAGCCTGGGCAACATAGTGAAACCCTATCCCTAATAAAAATACAAAAAATTAGCCAGGCATGGTGGTCCATGCCTGTAATCTCAGCTACTCGGGAGGCTGAGGCACGAGAATTGCTTGAACCTGGGAGGCAGAGATTGCAGTGAACTGTGATCATACCACTGCACTCCAGCCTGGGCGGTAGAGCGAGACTGTCTGTCAAAAACAAACAAACAAACAAAACAAAATAAACAAAACAACAACAACAAAAACCATATATTTATTTATTTAAAGATGAGCTCTTGGCCGGGCACAGTGGCTCACGCCTGTAATCCCAGCACTTTGGGAGGCCAAGGAGGGTGGATCACCTGAGGTCAGGAGTTCAAAACCAGCCTGACCACCATGGTGAAACCCTGTCTCTACTAAAAATACAAAAATTAGCCGGGCATGGTGGCACATGACTGTAATCCCAGCTACTTGGGAGGCTGAGGCTTCTCTTGGGAGGAGAATTGCTTGAACCCGGGAGGTGGAGTTTGCAGTGAACTGAGATCGCGCCATTGCACTCCAGCGTGGGCAACAAGAGCAAAACTCTGTCTCAAAAAAATAAAATAAAATAAAGATGGGGTCTGGCTATGTTGCCCAGGATGAAGTACAGTGGCTATTTACAGACGTAATAATAGTGCAATATAGCTTCAAACTGCTGTGCTCAAGCTATCCTCCTGCCTCAGCCTCCTGAGTAGCTGGAAATACAGGTACAGACCACCATGCCTGGCTAATTTTTATATTTTTAGTAGAGACAGGGTTTCACCATGTTGGCCAGGCTGGTCTTGAACTCCTGACCTCAGGTGATCCACCCACCTTGGCCTCCCAAAGTGCTGGGATTACAGGCATGAGCCACCATGCCCAGCCACTCCCTTCTGCATTTTTGATGCTCTGGAGAGCGTCGGCTTCATACTCACCATTATGGCTGCTGGGTTGCCTCAGTCTCCCAAGCTCCCAGCACTGCTGCAGCAACGGGGAGCTGCATGGCCCACCTGGCCACCATCCGCGATGCTTCCCGCCGCCCTGGCGGAGGTGCGGCCTCAGCCCTAAGAAAAGGTCCAGATGTTATAGGCCCAGCCGGGGCTACTGCTACCGCCTCTCTCGAGGTCGCAAGTTCTGGCTCCTCCCAGCGCTGCAGCCTACACCACATGGACTGGGGTCCCCACAATGCAGAATGTGAGGCACTCGCACAAGGCTCTCCTCTATGCCTGGCCAGGCCCCTGCAAGGCCAGGATCCACGACCCAGGAGGGACCTAGCTTCCCTACAGGACACCAAAGCCCAGCCTTGGATTGCTGGATGGCTATGACAGCCAACGGATGAACTTGGAACCCTTAGAAAGTGCTACTCCCCAGGAAGACATTTAAAAACTAACAGAAGAACTCAGCTCTAACTACAAATAAATACTATCTTAAAAACTTTTTTTTTTTTGAGACAGAGTCTCACTCTGTTGCCCAGGTTGGAGTGCAGTGGCGAGATCTTGGCTCACAACAACCCCCACCTCCTGGGCTCAAGTGATTCTCCTGCCTCAGCCTCCTGAGTAGCTGGCATTATAGATGCCCGCAACCATGCCTGGATAATTTTTTTTTTCTTTTTAGTAGAGACCGGGTTTCGCCATGTTGGTGAGGCTGGCCTCGAACTCCTGACCTTGGGTGATCCGCCTTCCTTGGCCTCCCAAAGTGCTGGGATTACAGGTGTGAGCCACTGTGCCCGGCCAAAACTTTTTCTTTTTTTGAGACAGGGTCTCTCTCTGTTGCCCAGGCTGGAGTGCAGTGATCACAGCTTACTGCAGCCTCAACCTCCCAGGCTCAAGTGATCCTTCCACCTCAGCCTCCCTAGTAGCTGGGATTACAGACGTGAACCACGACACTGGACTTTGAAAACCTTTTTAAAAAAAAGACTCTGGACAGGATACATTGGCCAAATGCAACACAGGCAATCACAGAAACAAGCTGAGGTTTAGTCTTTATAATAGACACTGAAGGCTGGGAGCTGTGGCTCACACCTGTAATCCCAGCACTTTCAGATGCTGAGGCGGGAGGATCGGTTCAGCCCAGGAGTTTGAGACCAGCCTGGGCAACATGGCAAGATCCCCGTCTCTACAAAAATACAAACAATTAGCCAGGCATGATGGCTTTCACCTGTCGTCCCAGCTAGTCAGGAGGCTGAGGTGGGAGGATTGCCTGAGCTGGGGAGGTCGAAGGTGCAGTGAACTGTGATCACACCACTGCACTCCAGCTTGGGTGACTGAGTGAGAGCCTGTCTCAAAAAAACTTCAACCAAACAAACTAGACTCCGAAGACAGGAGCCTAGACGGCCAAACCAGACCAGGGAAATATGTCCCAAAGCCTAGTTGGTCTCCTGTAGAGAACCAGGTAACTTTTTCTTTTCTTTTTTTTTTGAGACATTCTCGCTATGTTGCCCAGGCTGGTCTCAAACTTTTGAGCTCAATTGATCCTCCTGCCTCAGCCTCCCAAAGTGCTAGGATTACAGGCATGAGCCACTGCACCTGGCCAACTTTTTCTTTTAACCTCATCAGAAACTGTTCTACTTGACTTGCAGAGTTGATATAGGTGCATCAAAAAGTATTTGCTTTATGTTGAGTCTTGACAATGAGGAAAAAAAAAAAGAAGTGTTTACTAAAGCATACACTCCCCCTTGACTAGCCAAAGGAAATCAAGGGTTATGTTCATGACAATTCTGGCTAATGAATATTTTTGTGGGGGTTATCCTGCATCTCTTTTTTATTTTTTATTTTTATTTATTTATTTTTTTTTTTTTGAGACAGAGTTTTGCTCTTGTTGCCCAGGCTGGAGTGCAATGGCGCGATCCCGGCTCACCTCAACCTCCGCCTCCCGGGTTCAAGTGATTCTCCTGCCTCAGCCTCCTGAATAGTTGGGATTACAGGCATGCGCCACCACGCCCAGTTAATTTTGTATTTTTAGTAGACACAGGGTTTCTCCATGCTGGTCAGGCTGGTCTCGAACTCCCGACCTCAGGTGATTCGCCCGCATCGGCCTCCCAAAGTGCTGGGATTACAGGTGTGAGCCACAGTGCCTGGCCTTATCTCGCATCTCGTTACGTCGAGATGGCAAATGAATTTAAATTTAAACTGGTTTGTTGGGTTTCTAGAGTAGAAGTTGTGTCATCTGCTAAGGTCAGAGACAAGTTTGGGACCACCTTTTCCAATTGTGTGACTGCCACTGTGGGAACTGCAGCTCATATGAAGAGACTCAGCAGTCCCTACTGAGAGTTCTTCTGCGTAGCCCATGCTTGCCTCCCTTTGGGAGATTTTTGAATACCCGAGGGAAACAGGGTCCCCAGGAGGTGACAGTTCTCCTGCTCTGTCACCCCGGCTGGAGTGAAGTGGTGTGGTCACCACTCACCACAGCCTCGACCTCCCAGGCTCAATTGATCCTCCCGCCTCAGCCCCCAAGAGTAGCTGGGACCACAGGTCCTTGCCACCACGCCCAGCTAATTTTTTTATTGTTGAATTTTTAGTAGAGACGGGGTTTCACCATGTTGCCTAGGCTGGTCTCTCGACCTTCTGGGCTCAAGTGATCCACCCACCTCAGCTGCCCAGTGTTGGGATTACAGGCATGAGCCATCGCGCCTAGCCTACCAATGATTTTATTTAAAAATTTATTTTATTATGGTACAATACAACATGAGATCTACCCTCTTAACAAAATGTTAGGTGCACAGTACAGTATTGTTGACTCTAGATGCAATGTTGCACAACAAATCTCTAGAGCTTATTCATCTTGTTTTTTTCTTTTTCTTCTTCTTTTTTTTTGTTTTTTTGAGACAGAGTCTTGCTCTGTTGCCAGGCTGGAGTGCAGTGGCACAATCTCGGTTCACTGTAACCTCCGCCTCCTGGGTTCAAGCAGTTCTCCTGCCTTGGCCTCCCAAGTAGCTGGAACTACAGGCGCATGCCGTCACGCCCGGCTAATTTTTTTTTTTTTTTCGTATTTTAGTAGAGACAGGGTTTCATCATGTTGCCCAGGCTGGTCTTGAACTCCTGAGCTCAGGCAATCTGCCCACCTCAGCCTCCCAAAGTGCTAGGATTACAGGTGTGAGCCACCGCACCCGGCTGAGCTTATTCATCTTGCCCGAGACTAACCTTTATGCCTGTTCATTAATAACTCCCCATTTTGGCCAGGTGCAATGGCTCACTCCTGTAATCCCAGCACTTTGGGAGACCGAGGTGAGTGGATCACCTGAGGTCAGGAGTTTGAGACCAGCCTGGCTAACATGGCGAAACCCCGTCTCTACTAAAAATACAAAATTAGCTGGGTGTGGTGGCGGGCGCCTGTAATCCCGACTACTCGGGAGGTTGAGGCAGGAGAATTGCTTGAACCTGGGAGGCAGAGGTTGCAGTGAGCCAAAATTGCGCCATTGCACTCCATCCTGGGAGATAGATCAAGACTCTTGTCTTAAAAAAAAAAAATTAGCCAGGCATGGTGGCACATGCCTGTAATCCCAGCTACTTGGGAGGCTGAGGCAGAAGAATTGCTTGAACACGGGAGGCGGAGGTTGCGGTGAGCCAAGATTGTACCATTGCACTCCAGCCTGGGCAACAAGAGCGAAACTCCATCTCAAAAAAAAAAAAAAAAGCCCTCCCCATTTCCTCTTCCTCCTGGCCCCTGGCAACGACTCCATGACACTCTTTGGGTCTATGAATTTGACTATTTTAGATACCTCAGATACGTGGAATCATGTAGTGTTTGTGTTTCTGTGACTGGTTTATTTCACTTAGCATGATGTCCTCAATACCAGTTTAATTGGTGTCCCTTTTATTGGAGAATAAATTGGGATTCCCTAAGTCGGAATACAGTTTCCCCCTGTATTGCAATGGCTCTCCAGCAAAGAAAAGCTCAATTCACCCTGAAAATAACCAAGGACCAGAACTTACTCATAGCCCACTTGGAAGTGTTCAAAAGGGCCTCAGGTCTTTGGTTCCTATCCATGTTCTACCTTTATAGTCATTGCCATGACTGTGTCACTGGAGGAAGTAGGACATGGAAGAACCATCCTGGCAATACCCTTAAAGTGACCCCATCAATGTTGGTTCAGTATCAGGGCCCATTTAGCTCTCAGATCATGGCTCCTTCCTTTCTTTCTTCTTCTTCTTCTTTTTTTTTTTTTTTTTTTTTTTGAGACAGGGTCTCACACTGTTGCCTAGGCTGGAGTGCAGTGGCACAATCTTGGCTCACTGCAACCTCTGCCTCTGGGTTCAAGTGATTCTTCTGCCTCAGCCTCCCTGGTAGCTGGGACTACAGGTGCCCCCCACCACGCCCGGTTAATTTTTGTATTTTTAGTAGAGACGGGGCTTCACCATGTTGGCCAGGCTGGTCTCCAACTCCTGTCCTCAGATGATCTGCCCACCTAGGCCTCCCAAAGTGCTGGGATTACAGGCATAGCTACTGCTGCCAGCCTAATTTTTTTTTCTAAAGTAGATATGGGGTTTCACCATGTTGGCCAGGCTGGTCTCGAACTCCTGACCTCAGGTGATCTGCCCACCTGGGCCAGTGCTGGGATTACAGTTGTGAGCCACCGCACCTGGCCTTGGCTCATTTCATTAGTAGCTATCTCAGTAATAATAAGGCATACAAATTTTTCTTAATTTGTTGTCCATTCTTATAAGGGTTCCTGTAGTGCTCTGGGAATCCTTTTGTTGATAAAACATTTCAAAGTCATGGACTGACCCGAAATCATATATGTTTATATCAGTATTAATATATGCACCTCCTAGGCCGGGCGCGGTGGCTCACGCCTGTAATCCCAGCACTTTGGGAGGCCAAGGTGGGCGGATCACGAGGTCAGGAGATCGAGACCATCCTGGCTAACACAGTAAAACCCTGTCTCTACTAAAAATACAAAACATTAGCTGGGTGTGGTGGCGGGTGCCTGTAGTCCCAGCTACTCGGGAGGCTGAGGCAGGAGAATGACGTGAACCTGGGAGGCGGAGCTTGCAGTGAGCTGAGATCGCACCACTGCACTCCAGCCTGGGAGACAGAGCGAGACTCCGTCTCAAAAAAAAAAAAAAAAATGCACCTTCTATTTTCTGTCAGCTGGCAGATCTAGGCAAGGGCAATTAATTTAGCCATATGAACTAATTTATATATAACTCTCTCTCTCTCTCTCTCTCGCTCTCTTTCTATATATGTGTGTGTGTGTGTGTGTGTGTGTGTGTGTGTATGTATTTTTTTTTTTTGAGACAGAGTCTCGTTCTGTTGCCAGTCTGGAGTGCAGTGGCACGATCTCAGCTTACTGCAAGCTCTGCCTCCCGGGTTCAAGCGATTCTCCTGCCTCAGCCTTCCGAGTAGCTGGGAGTACAGGTGTGTGCCATCAGGCCTGGCTAATTTTTTTCTATGTTTAGTAGAGACGGAGTTTCACTGTGTTAGCCAGGATGGTCTCTATCTCCTGACCTCGTGATTCGCCTGCCTCGGCCTCCCAAAGTGCTAGGATTATAGGTGTGAGCCACCACACCTGGCCGTAAATATGTATTTTTTGAGACAGAGTCTCACTCGGCTTACTGCAACCTCTGTCTCCCGGGTTCAAGTGATTCTCCTGCCTCAGTCTCCCGAGTAGCTGGGATTACAGGCATGCGCCACCATGCCCAGCTATTTTTTGTATTTTTAGTGGAGATGGGGTTTCACCATGTTGGCCAGGCTGGTCTCGAACTCCTGAACTCAAGAGATCTCCCGGCCTCAGCCTCCCAAAGTGCTGGGATTACAGGCATGAGCCACCGCGCCCGGCATATTTGCATTGTTGTGTAAGTACAGTCATCATCCATCTGCAGAACTCTTCTCATTTCCACAACTGAAACTCTACACCCATTAAGTGATAAACTCCGTTCCCTCCTCCCCCGAGACCCTAGAAACCACCATTCTACTCTGTCTCTGAATTTGACTGCTCTAAGTACCTCATATAAGTTGGACCATACAGCATTTGTCTTGTGACTGGCTTATTTCACTTAGCATAATGTCCTCGAGCTTCATTCATGTTGTCAGGTGTCAGAATGTCCTTCTTTTCAAGGCTGAATAACATTTTATTGTATGTATATATCGCATTTGCTTATCCATTCATTCATCAAGGAACATGAGTTGCTTCTACATTTTGGCCATTGTGAATAATGCTGCTCTGAACATGGGTGTATAAATATCTCTTTGTGTTCCTGCTTTCAATTCTTTTTGCTGTATACTCAGAAGTGAAATTCTACCTACTCCTAGGGTATATAAAAGTAAAAAAAAAAAAAAAAAGGGCTGTGTGTGGTGGCTCACTCCTGTAATCCCAGCACTTTGGGAGGCCAAGGCAGGTGGATTGCTCGAGCTTAGGAATTCGAGACCAGTCTGGGCAACATGGTGAAACCCCATCTCTACTAAAAATACAAAAATTAGCTGGGCATGGTGGCGTGAGCCTGTGGTCCCAGCTTCTTGGGAGGCTTAGTCACAAGAATCACTTGAACCCTGGAGGCGGAGGTTGTAGTGAGCAGAGATCACTGCCACTGCACTCCAGCCTGGGTGACACAGCCAGACATTATCTCAATAATAATAATAATAATAATAAAAGTTTTTAAAAAGTG